>NC_000003.12:55464545-55767575 GCF_000001405.40 Homo sapiens
TCTCTAAAATACTAAGTGTGCCTTCCCAGCATTGAGCCAATAGTGTTAGGTGTGTTAAACAGCACTGATCCCACGTTGCCTTGATTTAGCCTTCACACTTATTCCAGTGTTCTTTTCCTCAACACCTTTCTCTCTCAGCTAACATTTATTGAGCTGTTACTATGTAGTAGAACATGCTCTAAGCACTCCCTAAGTGTTAACTCATTTTTATCTTCACAAGAGCCTGAAGAGGTAGATTGCAATGCTCTCTCTCATTTTAAAGACAAAGGCCTCAGAAGCACTGTGAGGTTGTGCATCTTCCCCAAGGTGAAAGGGGTACTGGGATTTGAACCCGGGCAATCTGGCTCCGGAGCCTATGTTCTTAACTGCTAAGCCAGGCTTCCCTGGAATAGATGCCACCTCTCCATCTTGGGAGTAAAACTCCCAAGGGTCTTGTCTCACTCATGAGTCAACCTAGGCAAGCTCAATAGTTCACCAAGGTGGTCAGCCAGTATTCCCCAAGTGTTCAAACCTCAGTCCCTCCAACTAAAGTCATGGTTTTAAACTGGGGGTGATTTTGCTCCCCAGGGCACATTTGGCATGTTTGTAGATGTTTTTGATTGTCACAAATGGAAGGATGTTATTGGCATCTAGTGGGTAGAGGCCAGGGATGCTGCTGAATACCACATAAAATAAATCCCTACAACAAAGAATTATCCAGCTCAAAATGTCAACAGTGCCAAGATCGAGCAACCGGCACAAAATCTAAAGAGCTTACTGGCAACTGTTCTAAGATGAAAAAAGCCACCTGCAGAATATTCCAGGTGGTTCAGTCTGTTCTTCATCTTGAACATCGTTTTAGTTCTCTCCTGAAGTCACTCTTTCTTCCCTTGCCCTAGAATTTCACGGTAGTCCCATCTCACTGTGCTAAATGCCTACACTAAAAAAAAAATCTTACTACAACTCTTAGGGATTAACAGCAGCAGAGCAGATAAGAAATGAAAAAAATCAGCAACAGGCAAAAGAAAAATGAGCACTAAAGTACAAAATACATGCTTGAGCTTCAACCACCATATCATCTACATACCTGAAATGTACGTGTGTTTTTCTGGATACCCTAAGCCGTAATCCGTGCCCACATCAAACTTCAATGAACACTCTCTCTGCTAAACACACACGCACGACTGCACTGGATTTCATAAAATGATTTTAATAGAAAAGTACAAGATATGAACAAAAATAAATAATCTTTATCTCATTTCTAGCCCAGCAAATTGTACACTGCATATAAAAATGGTCTAAGATGCAATTTTCCTCCATTCCTTTTTTGCTTTTAAAATACTGAGACAGCATTTTAATTCAATATTCTAGGTTCAAACTGATACATTAAAAAAAAATCATACCAACCTTTAATCATTCTACATCCATTTTTTAAAGTTAGCTAACAAGATGATGTTTCACTAAAATAAAATATCCAATCATCAGATTAAAGTGTAAAGTTTGTGTGAACAGGGAAATTAGATCATTTCTCTAAGTTTTAATTCCTATGTTTCTGAATGTTTCTTGAATTAAAAATTCATTTCATCATCTTACTTTCAAAACACGGCATCTCTCTTTCACCATTCCACAGAGAGAGAAAAGACTAGAAAATACTTTAAAAAAAATAAATATTTTAAAAGTATAGCTTACAGTGACAATGTAGTATTTTAGACCTGTGCCTTCGTGCCTATTTGCATTAAATACATGCTTCAAGTTATAACTACCTTTTCTATCTCTCTATATATTGTGGGCCACTAAGTGTTTGTGGACTGATGCTGCTAACGATCTCTTGGAGTTAGCTAGTACCGGTCTCTTATTCAGAGTATTTACTCTGCTATAGCGTCATATTTGATAATTCTAGTGGCTTGAATAATGTTTTGTAAAAACAAATTGAAACTTGGTATTGGCAAAATTGTACGAGAAAAGAGCTAGGGTAGGCAACTAAAACTTACACAGTGCCAGTCTCAGGAGGTCAGTAGCTCACAGAACTCAACAGATAAACTGGATTAAAACTTAAAAGTCTTCTTTCTATTTGAGCCCATAATGACTATTTTGAACATGGCTCTTTTGCTGCTGCCTATATATAAATTTTTTATTAATTTTCTTGTATTGGGAAGATCTTGAATACGCTCCAGGATGAGAAGAAAAAATACGCTGACACTGCTAAATCGGGTATATGTTTTTGCAATAAAGAACACTGGTCAATATACAACTGAGGAAAAACTGAAACAGATGTGAGTCCTAGAACCACAAGAGTTTGAATTTGCCCAGAAATGCTATTTTAAACACTCTATATGTTGGTCTGCTGTTTTTTTGTGGAATAATGCATTCTTGGCATCCTTAAAAGGTTTCAATATGTTACAAGGTTATCCGGAAAGAGAAAAAGCAAAGGCTAATGTATCAATCTGTGGAGCACTGTCCAGATTTCCGTGTACATTTTTGAAAAGCACAATAACTTGTATTAATTGCACTTAACACAATGAACCTTTAGTTTCCAACCAGTTTTCATTCTCTGCAGACCCGGGCTTTCTTTTTATAAAAACTGCTTTCAAAGGGCATAGAGACACCACACATGGTCCACAGTAAATTCAAATAGAGAGGTGCAATAGTTGCAGTGGTAAACACACAAAAAAATACATTTTTTTGGACTAAAAATCTGGTCACGGATAAAAGCATGTGCCTTTTCATTCTTCTCTGGGATGTTACAACAGCAACACGCTCTAAAACAATTAAGTTACATGCATAATGCTAAAAGAATGTGAGCAATCCTATAACCAGCTTTAAGCCATCTGCTTGATTTCTTTTTTTTTTTTTTTTGTAAGGAACATATATAGGAAAAGAGAATTCCCCTTTTGTTCCATTACATATAGAAACCTTTTGAAGCTTCCAAATAGCTTGGTTTTGGTAAAATTCACCACTCTTTTATTACTTTGACATGTAGTCATCCTAAACTATCCGTCATGGTTTCTCCAAAAATCTCCACATGAATTATCTGAAGGACAATTGAAACCACTTACCAATATACAAGTAACGTTTTATTTTATATTCTATCTTCCATTTGGCATAAGCCTTTCGATGTTTGTTTTTTAAACCAGTGAAATATACAAATCACGCAAGACAGAAATATGTACATTAAAAGTACAGAATAAAGGCTAGAAGATATACATAATATCTGAATGACATGTAGAATATTTTACATTAAATAGTTTCTTTTAAAAGCTAGGATTGTTAAACTCAACTCTCTTCATAAACATGAGTCACTAAAAAGGAACAATCTGATTTAGCAAATAAAAAAAGTACTTCATGGTTTTTGTATAATAAAAACCAAAAAAGTGACATTTTAAACTAATTAGTGCTTTTTGCTTTCAAGATCTTTTGCTCACAATTCACTGCAACTGAGGGGATGTGAATATCATTATGCAATAAATTAAGAGCCACAGTTGGCTGAGGTGATATGAAAGCCAACCTGCCTAAGGGGGGTATGAAAGATGTGTATCTTTCCAAACTTTTAAAACAACGTAAGTCTGAGATAAGAACATATTTGATGGCACTGTTTGGAAAGAGGTGTCCTTATTAAAAAAAAAAAAAAAAAAGCTATCTATGTAGTGGGCTGAATATTCCTTAGGGACTCAATTAATAAGTACTGTCATTTCTAATAGGCATGGGTTTCCATTCTGCAGAATGAACTAAGAAAAGAGAAACATTGCTGATGCTTCTGAGTTTTGAATATCTCTTAACGTCCATGTCTATAACGAACAAGTAATGCCCTCTCCACAAAGTGAACAGAAATGGAGGTTGGAGACAAAGGGGTGAGGCAGAAAAGAAAAAAGATATCTTCAACCCAACACGCATTTCAGTGAGTCAGAACTCAAGCTTCCTCAGAAACAAGGTTGCTTCGTCGTGCTCAAGGTATGATCACAGCAGGGCCACAGCCCAAGCTCAAGACTCAAAAAACTTTTGGAATAATCCCAACTGGACTGCAGTGAAGGACAACAATGCTCTAGACAGAGAAATAACCCCAGAGTAAACTGTAAATCTAAATCACTGGCTGCAATGAGATATATTTATATTTATATTTATATATATGTATATATATATATATGTTATGTACAAAAGACTTTGAGATATCAGGCACCATTAAACCACATTTCCCCCCTTATAAATGCAACTGTTCAAGTACACTGGGAACAGTTTTAAGGTACACCTGCAGTACAATAGGAGAAGCATGAGTGGATAATCTAAACACAGGATCATAACAGTGATACGCTGCAACACCTCTGTGAATTCCATTAGCCAAGTTCTGTCATTAAAACATAGAAAACTACTGCTCCTCAAAATAAAAGTTTTAGGAAACAAAAATCCCTAAGTAGTGAACTGTTTTCCAAGCAGAGCTCCTAATGTTTCATTTCCTGTCCTACAACCAAAGGGGACCCAGTGGAGCTGCCGTTTGGAAACGTGGCCAGCATCACATCACAACACGGAGGAATCAGAGAGGGCTCAGTGTGAAGAGGAAGGTGGATTTCACTGTTTTTCCTCAAATAGGTTGTCTGCTCTGGTGCAGTGCTGAATGGCACGCAATTACCTTGTTGCTTGGGCTGAGAACCTGTGAATGGGATTCATGTATTATTTTTACTATTATAATTTACTAACCAAGTATCCCTAAGAAAATAACAGGATATTTTCATTTATGTTCAAGCCAACCTCCCCAAACAAAAAAATCTAGTGTCCAGAATCATTTGGGGATCTTTTTACAATCTGGAATCCTAATTCTTATAACAGCTTCAAATCAACATCTTGACATAAGAGTTTTAAATTTTTTAATTTCTGGGGACTTTCCTCCCTGCTGCCCAAATTTCATGAGCTATTAGAATATGACGGTCTGTCTGCAAATGGAATATTTGAGGAGAATGAGACATGTGATATACCTTTTTTCCTTGAGAATATGACATTCTTGTCCTTCCATTGTAAATTATCATTTTGAAAATGCAGAAAGCAAGCTAGCAGCCCTGCTGGGGAAGGGAGGTTTGTTTTGTTTTGTTTTGTTTTCCCAAGACCTTTTATCTTGCACCAGAGAATTTACAACTCATTTTGGTCATAGAAGCTGAATTGTGAATAGATTTCTACCACCCTCTTTCAACTGGAACCTACCCATCCCATATGATGGCATATTTGAGAAAAAGAAAATGTATTTCTTTACCTTCTGGATGTGTACCATGTCCACACAGCTAAGTTAGGGTATGTGTTATTTCCCCTTCATTCTATACTATCAAAAGAAGTCTTGTATTACCTTTTCAAAGATCCACAAAATAAATATTTTTCTTGGTTCCCACCCCCATTATTGCCAAATAATAATTATAATATTAATAATAAACCACAGAGTTCTTAGATGGTAACAGGAAAAAAAATGGTTCCGGTTGCAATTCTTGGGGAAAAATAAAAAATATTTCTAAAAACCAAAAACCAGAATCACTGTACTTTCTATAAATAAGCGGGTCCTGGGAGCGGGGCTGAGTGCTGGGTGGCACCCACTACTTGCACACAAACTGGTCCACGATCTCCGTGCACTTCTTGCACTTGACGTAGCAGCACCAGTGGAACTTGCAGTGGCAGCGCTCCGTCTGCACGGTCTTGAACTGGTCGTAGCCACGGCCGCAGCACATGAGCTCGCAGCCATCCATGCCCTCCGACGTCTTGTTGCACAGGCGGCCCTGCGTGCCCAGCGAGCCGGTGCTCTCATTGCGCACGCAGTAGTCAGGGCTGGGGTCGATGTAGACCAGGTCTTGTGTGGTGGGCGAGTTGAAGCGGCTGTTGACCTGTACCAACTTGCCCCGGCTGTTGAGCCGCATGGCCGCCGCGCTGTCGTACTTCTCCTTCAGGGCATCACCCACCTTGCGGAAGTCTGCCAGCTGCAGCCAGCATGTCTTCAGGCTACATGAGCCGGACACCCCATGGCACTTGCAGGCCACATCAGCCAGGTTGTACACCGTCTGCAGGGAAATGGGGGCAATCAATACACACATTCATGGAGGAGCCAGATGCAGGCTATAGGAACAAAGTTCTCCTCGACCTTCTCCATGGAGCTATGTTCCCCAGCTGAATTAAGGACTGTATTATATTTCCTTCATTACCAGAAGTCTTATGTTGCCTTCTTTAAAAATTCTTCCAAATAAATATGTTCTTAACCACTCATTATTATATCATTATCAACAACAACTGTGGTTTTTTAATAGGAACAGGAAAAAAAAATTGTTCCAGCTGTATTTTTTTCAGAGAAAGAGCAGCAGCAACATGTGGACACTCATCCCAGAGGTTGTTCACAATGCATTACCTGAATTAATCCCCCGTACCAGCTAGGTGAGAAGTGCTAGTATCATCCCATTTCACAGAGAAGGAAAGTGAGACCCAGAGAGATGAGCCACTCACCCAACTCCCGGGGAGTAAAGGTGCCAGGATTTGAACCCAGGCAGCTGGACTCCAAGCCCGTGCTTAGTGACTTGCCCATGGATATCCAGCCGGTAAGTGCAGAATTGGGAAGAGTCCAGCCCCAGTGGGATCAGGGTTCAAATCTTAACCCATTACTACTATTATTGCTGTGCACCAGGCACTATAAGTGTCCTTACACTCATGATCTCATTTAACCATCCCAGCAACATTATGACATGGGCTGGATTGGATGATGGCACAGTGATGCTGAGTGGCCTGCACAGGTCACACAGCTAAAGTGTGGGGGGACTGCGCCTGGAACTCAGGTATCCTCACTCCTGTTTCCCACACAGTCCCTACCCCATCTACTACCCCGCTAGGCTAAGAGCACCCACCCTGGAGCCAAGCAACATAGATTGTGTTCCTGACTCTACCCTTGAATTCAGACAACAGGCTGCACCTTTCCGGGCCTCTGTTTTCTATCTGCGAAGGCAGCAGTGGTGGCACCAACCTCCAAGTGCTGTTATAAGGATAAAATTAGGGGAGATGTGGAAAGTGCTTGGCACTTAAGACACAGTAAATCTGGTCTTTCTTTAGGGTAACAACGGACACACTCAGGAAATCTGGTCTTTCTCCAGAGTGACGAGGACACGGCATCTGGGCCCTTGCCCAGTCACCTTGGGCCTCCCAGTAGCAGTGCCCACGGGTCTGGCCCTATAACACTGTGCCCAGCAGTCTGGGAGGTGGTGGTTGCCTATTTATAGACTCTGCTGCCCACAGTTCCTTGTGCCAGTGACCCTCCAGAGTCCACGTGGTGTGAGTGTGCTGGAGAAGACCTGTCAGGAACCTGGAAGCTGGGGGTGCATCAGAAGGCCTCTTCCGCAGAGAACAGCCACCCTCTTCCTCCAGGGATTCACAGGGGCTCTTTTAAAGGGGGCCAAAGTGTACTCTCTTGGCATAAAGAGTTTCAGGCACTCAGCTAGTCTGAGGAAGGGTTTTGCAAATGTATTTAACCTTTGCTCCCCACTGAGGAAAATTAAAAAGCTAACACCCCATGGAAATTCTAATATGATTTTCTGGCACAGTGCCCAAATTTCCATCCCCTAGCCCCACCATCCCAGAGCAAAAAAAACTGTCTTCTTCGTAACCTCACTCACCAAAATCCAAACTCAGCTCACTACTCCAATGATCAAATTTACCCCAAAAAAACTCGCTACTAAAAAAATGCAGAAGTGTAACATTATAGGTGCTTTTCAAACTTCCCCAATCCTCTCTTGCCACTTGGAAATCCCTTGACCCGCTCTTCTTGGTTGCCAAGCCTCTGATGATTTCTGGACATGAGAGAAGGCTAAGAAAGTCCCAAAGATGGATGAGAATATCAAATATGGGCATACCCCTGGATAGGGGCCTTTAAGAGTCAGACACATCTCTCTTTTTGAGGCATTTCTGATCTGAGGCACTGGGCATGTCATATATAGAGATCCCAGCGATACATCCCTGAAGAGGGTGATAGCAAGGTTTTATGGGCTTCCAGAGAGAATGGGGCTGACCCCACCCCCCCCAAATTTTCATGTGGCTCTGGGTCCACCACAGAAGAGGCATCCCACACTGCAGACACCATGGCAGTGAGAGGCCTGAGAAAGGAGAGGCCACACTCTGTCTGTGGCAATTATTTGACCCCTCATGGCAGTACAGGCAAAATTCTGTAGAGTTTAGTCCTTCCCCGGAACACCCAAATGTTTAACAACAAATTTGAGAAGATAAGCTAGCTGGAATTATCTACACGATCTTTGACTTCTCTATGTCCTTTGCCTATAATGTTTTAGAAGTTATCATCTATCAAGCACTTACTACTGGCGGACACTAAACTAAGACCTTTAATTAAACCAAATGAAATTGTTATTTTGTAATAAAAAAGAGTCAAGTGTTCACAATTTCACATGGTTCAACCTACTAGATGATCTCACTGAGGCCTCACAATAACCTCAGGTAATTGTAATTGCCATGGCCATTTAACAGATGTGGAAATGGGAAAACTGAGGCTCAGAAAAAGCAAAGAACAGACAACACTGCATTTTAACCCAGATTTCTCTAATTCCCGAACTGCTAGCTCTTCATCTCTTAGCTGTGATGCATGAATTCAATAAAAACGTACCTAGGCTTATATTTCCATTCTTTAATTTTCTTCCATGGTCATGAAGTGGTTTTCTGGGCCTCAGTTTCCTAGTCTTTCAAATGAGTGTGGGGCCAGAGTCTTCTAAGGCTCTGTCCAGTCCTCTACAGTTTACTCTGTGATTAACTTCCTTCTCCCTCACCCCAAAATACAGAAGAGTGAAATCTCTGACCAGAAAGTTCCTGGCACCTACCTTGGGTTCTGTGAAAAAATAATGGCCCTGGTTTTCAATGCTGCCAAAGTTAAGAAAAGTTTTCACCCCTTCATTTTAAAGCAGCCATAAAGTGCCATGTGTTTAACCGCAGGAAAAAAAGGGTCTTTTTAACTATTGAGAAGTAGCTTTTCATATCCCCACCAGGGGAAGGAAAGAGCGGGAACCAGGAGACTCGTGAGGACTGCAAAGATGGTCCTCCCTGGGTACTTCTGCTGCTCTCTTCTCTCCAGAGCTACTTTGTGATTGGCCTGATGGTCAGACCTATAAAATCCCACACTGCTAAAAATGCTGTCCTTTTCCTAGAAAAGCCCTTTTTTAAAAAAACCCTCCATCCATCAGGCCTGCTACCTAATGACATAAAGAGAGGCAGGGAGAAAGAAAGGAGGGAAAGAGCCTCAAAGCTGGGGTGAGGGCTTTCCCATCTGGGCACCTACGAAGACAGAAAAATCCCTGTCCCAAACTGAAAGCCAACCACAGACATCGTCCAGGCAGGAGGGAGAAAGTTATTCCCATTTTTATTTCTGTGCTCCAGTAGCCAAAGGTACCAGGGACTAACTAAGAAGGCAAGGAAAGGTCTTTTTCAGGCAACTGCTGGTTCACCTTGGCTGGGGGCGAAAGGGAGGATGATCCGCCCAGGAGGCCCTTCTGGGATGTGCAGGGGCAACTATGGAGACAGATGGAGGAAAGAGAGGTAGACAAAGGGGGAGAAGAGAGAGACCGGGAAGGAGGAAAGGAAGGGAAGAGGGAGAAAGAAAGTGAGACGGGAACAGGATGAGGAGGAAAGAGACAGGAAAGACAGAGAAAGATAGGGAGAGACAGAAAGAGAAGCAGAGAGATAGAGACAGGACCATATAGCAAAGGAGTGGCAGAGGAGAGGACGGAGCTACAGGGAGAGACCCGAGGAGGCTGGAGGGCAAGGTGAGAAGACAGAGATGCGGGGCGGGGGCGAGACGCGGCACTCACCCTGCGGCCGGCCTCGTTGTTGTGCAGGTTCATGAGGATGCGAGCACTCTCGTAGGAGCCCTTGGCGTGGATGCGCTCCCGCTCGCGGGCGTCCACGAACTCCTTGGCAAAGCGGTAGCCATAGTCGATGTTGTCGCCGCAGCCGCCCCAGAGCCAGTCCCGCGGCAGGTCCTTGGGGCGCGCGGCGCGGCTGCAGCCGCAGGTGGACAGCTCGCCCTCGCGGCACGCCCGGCTCATGGCGTTCACCACCCCTGCTGCGCTCACCGCGTATGTGAAGGCCGTCTCGCGGCTGCCTGTGGGTGAGGACAAGGGATCACTGGCCGCCTGCCTCACGCGCTGGGCCGGGATGCTGCCGGGGGTGGGGGTGGGGGCAAGGTAGGGAATGGTGGGGAGGTAGGAGGTGGGGGGCAAGGTAGAGATGGAGGGGAGGTAGGAGGTGGGGTTGGGGCGAGGTAGGGAGGGGGGAGGTAGGAGGTGGGGGAGGTTGGAGGTTGGGGGGAAGTAGGAGGTGGGGAAGCAAGAATAGTGGGGAGGTAGAAGGTGGGGGGCAGGTAGGGCTGGGGGGAGGTTGGGGTAGAGGGTAGGGAGTAGGAGATGGGGGGGTAGGGGGTAGGGGATCAATAAGGTAAAAGCTCGGGCTGCCCCATCCTTAACACGCACCAGGCCCTGGGCCCAGCTTGAGGGGAAGCCAAGCAAGATCCCCCAAAACACACAGAAGCAACAATTAACAAAGGAGTAGCAGATCCCCAGTATCTCTGCTCAGCCATTTCAGAGCTGCAGGCCAGATTCTAAGCAGTGCTGGATTGATTTTCTCTGCAACTCTTTTGAAAATAGTCAAAACTTGCTATTTGCAAAAATGCACATGAAAGAAGTCATTGAAGGAACACTCAGAATATGGGTAGACTTCCTTACACTTATTTTAATATTAAGTATTATTTTCATTTGAGTTACATATAAGGCAGGATTACAGAATTTGCTAGGCCTTGAATCTAAGGGAGACACTGCCAGCGGCCACACTAGTTTCTGCCACACTCATTTTGGCCTTGTGTCCCCTCCTCCTCTGGCAGTTGTAACCTCTCCTCCCTCTTCCTTCATGCAGCAGAAAGTATTTCTCAGGACAAGTCTCTTTACTTTCCCAGAGGACAATTCTAAATCAGCTCATAGAGAGTTATAAATGAAGCTTGCTATTCTTAAATCCCAGGCTCATTGGCCTGATACTTCTCATTCAAGAATGAGTGTCTGCTTTTAAAACAGCCTGTTGTTCTTCAATGCCACTTCTGCAGACACCCCCTGCCCACTCCCCCACTGCCTTTGCCACAAAGTGTTAGAATGACAGCAAGAAGGAAAAAAGCACAACCTATGGGGAAAAGAGGGAGGGAGAAGTTTTCTTCTTCCCAAAACTAGTAAAGAATATCTCCCCATATAATAGTTACAGGGACCCTATTTGTAAGGAGAAAACTGGAGGCTATCATAGAGTACCCTAAACTTCGCTTGTACATGGAGACATTTCTGCATGTAACAAGAGCTAGTTAATAAAAGTACTGTAATCTGAGAGAGAAAGGGTTATCATCCAGCCAGCTGAAGCGTGGGGTAGGGGTGGGATTGGGGGGCAGGCTCACTTTCCTCAATTGCAAAATAAGGGTACTGAAATACATGCAAGGAAAGGGGCCTCTTCTGGTGCTGAAATTCATGTACCGCAATCAGTTTATCCTATACTTACTTTGAGAGCTTGCTAACAATCTTTTTTCTGAGGGGGAAGTGAGGAGCACAAGAAAAGCTGACAACAGGACTCAGTCTGAACGAGAAGGGTCATTCTGCAGGAGGACAGCGATGCCAGTTTAAGCATCCAGCAGGCCACCTCATTCTTGGTCTTCTGCTCCATGCCAGTCACAGCCATTTGTGAATGGTGATGGTTCTGATTTACCATATATCCTCCCCCTCCCATATTTTCAAAATGAATGACTTGAAGGTGTGTGCTGGTGGTTGGCAGGAGGATCTAGAAAGTTCCTGTGATGCGTTACACCTATCTAGCGGGATTAGAGAGGCAGAGCACATCAGGGGAATGGAAAGGAATGAGGACAATATACAGCTTCTAGGGAGTAATTTGATAGTACAGAAAATGCTGTGGCCCTGGATGGGGGATTTGTAGAACAAAGTAGCTAGAGGAAGAGGAGATGAAGAGGAGATGAAATGATCCTCTGGGGATAGAGGAAAATAAGACACTGTCCTTTGAGTATACAGAGCATAAGAAGGCTTTATACAAAACACAAACAATGCTTCTTTTTTCATAAGTCTATCTTGAGCATTTCCTTTTATGCCGCAGAATACAAACCTGGGAGATCCCTCTAAGCTAATTGGTCACTGCAGGGTAAACGTCAGTTTGAAAAGTATTCTTTGGCTAATTGCCTGAGGATACAGTCATCCTGGTTGGAATACTGCTGATTCAGTTAGGTTTCCCTTCCTGTGAAACCCACATCTACTCCGATCCTCACACCCCTTACAAATGGTGCCTTCCTTACATATCTTTTCACAGCATGGAAACAAAGAAGAGACAGATGGGGACAAAAGCTGGAAGGAAAGGGTAGCATGATGAAAAATGAGAAACTCTCCAAAATGAAGAGTGGGCCCTTCATGAAGTAATTGTGCATGGTGCCTCCAAGGCAACTGGCATCTTAGAAAAATGAGTTGAGGAGGGGGTCAGAGGTGGCGGCCTGAATTTCTCAGACACTGGCCCCATCACAGGGTCAAATTCTCACAAAGAAGAATTATTCTCAATGTCCTTGGTGTGCTGAGGGCTTTGGGGTGGGCACACACACACACACCTTTTGGCATCAAAGGTATTTTAAATTTTCCCTTAGCTCATTCTCTTCAAATACACTCTTAAGTGGAAAAGTGAAAGCAAAGAAATTTTCCAACTATTGGAATTGGATCCATGTTCCTCTTTCATAAAAATCTATTGTTTTCTCTTCTCTCCTGTCTCTTTTTTAATTAAGTAAAAAACAGAAGGCCCCATCAGTGTCCCACCACAAGCCACCCAGCAGCAGCTTTCAGCTCTGAGACGCTAGGCACTTGGGGGACCTTTTGCAGGGGAGGATGCCATATGTGCTCTCATCTTCCCAGGACATCAGCTGACTTGATGATAGTATCTAGGAGGGCTGTCTCAGAGGGTGTGGAGAGGTACCACTCCCATCCACTTCCCATCGACCCAGACAGTAGTGCCGTGCAGCTGAAGACCAGAGAGCATACTTTCCAGGGACAATTAAATACAGGCTTTTGTACCAAGGGTTCTGCTTGTTCCCTGAGGAAGCAGGCTCTTTGAATCTTGGACCGCATTTAAAATAAATCTCCAGCAGAACTCAAATTCACTTAGCAAATGATAGCTTATTCTGAACATTTTGGCCCAAAACAGGCTACGTATGAAAACGAGAGGAGGATCTTAAATCAAAGCTGTGTTCAAGTGACTACACAGATAAACAGTTCCGATTGCTGTTTTCCTTCCTGGTTACCATCAGAGGTGTATGATTTTTGCTAACTCATATACATGTGAAAAAGTAGTCCCATAGGTTGAGAGGAAGGCAGTTTAGGAGGAACATAGAAGAAGGGGGAAAAGTTACCATCCTCATAGAATTTTTCAAAAGTATTTAAGTTCCCTTACAATATCAACACACGGGAGAATAAATCTACCACACTCCCAGTTAACTACATAAGACAGCCCACAGTCAGGGAAAACTCCTGTGTTCCTGAAGCTTAACTCTTAGATTCAGATCCCAGTATATACATTAGCACATTTTAATCATTAACAGAAAGGACAAAGCCCCATGAAACTTTGCAGGCTGAGGCTACAGGCCATTCTCCCATTCAGTCAGAGGAACAGCTTCCAGTCTTGTATTATTTTAGTTTATAAAACCACTTGGCTCAAACATCCCCTGACAACTCTTTTTTGTTCTCAATGAATGTAATTTTCGGGGTTTTTTTTTTAATAAAAAATGCATTTTATCCATCTGTGATGGACATTAAGCCAACTTTTCTCTTCAGTCAGTATAGACAGTTAATTGCCTTGATAAATTGCTTCTTACTTTGGGAGTCACTGCAGTCATATTAATTATAAGGGCTTTTTTGCATAAAAGTAGAGAAACCTAAAATATTCACACTAGAAAACATACATTGGACCACATCTGTCAAATAGTATCCTATACTATTTAAACAAAAGCAGAGGCAAACAAACAGATTTTTTAAAATCTTTGCCTTTAGCCCATTTGAAATGCTATCTCTTTGAATGGGGAAGTAAGACATTCAACAACGTATTTAAAATGAAGAATCGGACTGTGAGCAATACTCTTAATTTTTTTTTCAAGTTCCTAGGTTGACATCCCAAGCATGTGCTTTTATTATATCAATTGCTGACATCACAAACATAAATTGGATCACTTTTAATTAAAATTCTTTCTGGGACTAAAAATAAAGCTTTTAACGTCTATATCTTTATAGCCTCAGGAAATAGTTCTATTAGGAAAATTAAAACTTTGTTCACTTTCAATATATCCAGGATTCTAAAAGACGGCAACTTTTAGTTCGATGCTCGGGCCGTTTCAATTGTGGCTTAAAAAACTAACAGGCAAGAGAGTTTCGACGTTTAAAAGCATATACATGACTTGCTTCCCCCACCTACTCTTAAGAAACCAAAATAAGTGTTCTGCTTCTATTTTAAACAAAATGCTTTATAGAAAAATTAAGTGTTTGCAAAAATGAAGGTGTCTGTGATACTTGCCTCCTGATTTGATTAAAATCCAAAACTTATCATCAGGTGTAGGGACAGGAATTAACATCATTTGCTATAATGACAAAAATGCCCAAGCCACCACCCGAGCTGGAAGGCATCCTCCTTCATGCTTTCTATCAAGCATGAAGTAAATGCTAAGGATTTCTTCTAGGAAAAAAAGTTAATGTTTTAAAAAAATATTTTAAATGTTTTCCTACCTATCTGCATCACCCTGCCAAAAACAGAGGTGTTATCCACAGTGCTGCAGTTCCACCTTCGATGTCGGAATTGATACTGGCATTCTTTGATGCCTGTCTTCGCGCCTTCTCCGATGTACTGCATGTGGTCCTGATACAAGTGGCACAGTTTCTTCTGTCCTTGAGAAAGTCCTGCCAGTTGGCTGCAGAGAGGCTGTGCTCCTATAATATATACTTCTGACATCTGAACAGGGTTATTCATACCTAGCGACCTGCAAGGGGGGGAGATGTGCATTCAAGATTTACGTGAAATCTCGAGGTGGGCCCCCTGAAAGCATGTCAGCAATACATAGTTTTAAGCACACAGATGCTTTTTTCTCTCCTGCTTGTCCTCATGACAAAGTATGAGAAGGGCTTCATAAAACTCCTCTGTTTAAACTGCACTCAGAAAACGGAGGTATTGTGCAGTCCCCATCCTGCCATCTGGCTCCTCAGTTAGTATTTTCACTCCCTTCCTAGCCCCTGTCACCATATACCTGAACCAGTATTTCCAAAATCCACTCAGAAAAGGAGGAAACAGCAGTTTGAGGGACAGGCCTCTGACATTAGAGAAAGTGACCCACTTTGCCCCACAAATTGGACCAATCTGCCTTGAAAACTTATGAATGCTGAAAGTAGACACAATTAGATACGGGTAGGAGATAGCAGTTCCTTTTGACTGATGGAAGAACAGAGGGACAAGTATACAGACTGGAGAAAATTCACCATGTTTCTTGACATTTTAAAAGGGCTCCTTATGTGATTGTGAGGGACCCAAGACAGGGTACCCAGTGAACAGAAGTCATGTTTGACAGTCAGAAAAATGCTGTTCATTTACAGGGAAAAAAATACCCAGAATGCCGTCAAAAATAATCCTCTGGATATATTACAGTCTATCTACAAGGCCCCTACCCAGAAAGAAACCCCCACTTGGGGACATTTGACTACTTCAAGTTAACCTCCTTTTGATTACATTTCAAGCCCCAATACTTCTGCACTTGGAGTGTAGCTGTCCTCCTAGAACTCTGCCTAATTCAAACTCTGTAGGTTAATAATAATCTCGAGTAACAGAAGATAAAGGCTGAAACTCACTTTTACTACCTAGAGGTGGCAAAAAGTAAATTTTGTAGATAGGCTTACAATTACTAGCAAAGTGAATTTCTGTTCTTTTTTATTGCATGATGTACTACAAGCACACGTCTGAACAAGGGCTTCATAGAAACAGGCCTAGATTTATAGTTTCCCATTCCCTAGGAGCTGAAGATAAGCTTTACAATATTAACAAGTTAAAAGAAAATTCTGATTTAAAACTATATATAAGTAAAATGTATACATATGTCTTGCAATAAATACACCCACACTCACTATCCAGCATTAAATATTGCCGCATCATACAAACAAATCTTAAAAAAAGAAAAAGAAGAGGAAGAACACGCACATAGAATGAACTTACCACCAAGAATTGGCTTCAATTACAACCTGGGCGAAGGAGAAAAATATGGCCAAAGCCACTAGGAAGAACTTGGAAGACATTGCACTTCCAGCCATCCCCAAAGCAACTCCTGGGCTTAATATTCCAATGGACTTCTGGAGAGGGAAGAAAGGAGCAGATGTTTATTGCCTCTCAGATAATTTTCAAGCATACAAGTTTAAACAACGGAAGCATCCGGGGTCTCTTAAGTTTACTGTTGATTGACTGCGCTTCTCCTCCGTGAGTTTTTTGATGGCAAGATATAGGCAGTTTCTTTTTCCAAATTAATCCACCCACGCAACCTCACCAGGAAATCTGATTTCGCTGGGATCCTGTGCGCGGGGCACGCCAGCGATTACAAACGTGTCTCAATTCTGTTGAGTCAAAGCCCTGGTGCCAGGCGCTGCCTCCTTCCTGCTCGCTCGAGTCCCGCACCCCCTGGCCCCCCTCTAGTTGGTGCTGTGCTCAGTCCCTCCTGGGTAATTCACTCAGGAACCCGCTGCGGCCACCCTCCGTCCTCTCCCCAACCTGGGCCGAGCAACAAGTGGAGCCAGAATTAATTCCATGGGCGAGAGGAGCACGGAGGCGAGTGGAGCGCGCTGCCGCCAGAGGCTGCCAAGGAGGCGGGGTGGCCAGCGCGGGGGGTGGAGGATGGGGGCAGGACGCGGGAGGGAAGGGCAGGGGGTGGGGGGCGAGGCCCCGGGGACCAGCGCGCGAGAGTGCCCAGCTGGGAAATGCAGCTCCGAATTAACATCGTATGTTTCATAATCAGTTTACGAGCCGATGTGGGGAAAGCCACTTCCAGATGGGGAAGAGCAGCCCGGATTTCCTTAAGGACGTTCTTCAGCCAGACTAGGGAGGGGAGAAGGAGATGGGGGCCCTAGGGGATAATGGAGAGAGAGGTCGGGTCTCCCAACCAAGGAAACTGGAAAAGAGTGCCACCCTCGCCCGCGTCGCCTGTGGCCTCTTCCACGGACTGAGAGAAGGGATGGAACCCTAGAGGAAAGAAGGGAGTCTGGGTCTCGCTTCCCCGGGGAGAAGATCCCTTCCCTGCCCTCCCCACAGCTTTCTCCCAAATTCTGATTTTTCACTCTCCCTCCCACCCCACACCTGGCAGCTGCCAGGGAGGGAGGAGATGGGAGGCCCAGAGAGACTCCAGTTTCCCTTGGTCCTGATCTGGGGTTGTGGGCCACTTTGCCATCGCGGCACTGCGAGCCTGTCGTTGGAACTCTGCCACCCTGCCTCCAGTCTAGCCTCTCCAGCCCAACTCAGACTTGGTTCGGTCAGTGCCGAAAGGTGGGGGTGCGGGGCGAGGCCAGAGCCCTTGCAGATGAGTCCAGACGGGGCCAGAGGCGCTGGCTTCCGAGCCGCAGCTGGGCGCATCGATTCCAGGGCAAAGAGGCCCCCAGCGGCGAAGGTTCCCTTCCTGAAGAATTTCAGGGGTAGGAGTTGGCCTTGGAAGCTTCCGCTGCCGTTCCTCCCCACTGGTGACTTCTCCACCTGTAGGCGGCGGCGGAGCGAGTAGGTGGCGGGTGCGGGTGGGAGGAGCGGGTTTTAAAAATCCCCTTACACGTAAGTCTAACCCTGCCGCACTGCATCGCCCATAGCCCCTGAAGGAGCCCCTTCCACAGAAAAGAAAAGAAAGGTGAGCCTCTTTAAGGCGGTGGAAGAGCCTGGCTTGGAACCTGTGCCGTAAAAGGGGCAGAGGGGACCTAGGCAGCCCTGGTAAAGCTATGGGGCTCAGGGGCGTGCCAAGGTTTTTCTCCGTGAGCCGCCCCTTTGGCCTGGACGCTTCGGGGCTTCTCAAAGAGGAAATGCTTATGTGGTCCCCAGCGCCTGCTAAGCAGGGCTCCACACCCAAGGCCCAGTTGTCCCCAAAACGCTGCAAAGCTGGGGGGCGCATCCTGGAGAATGGAAATCTGGGGTTTCCCCAGCTAGGAGAGAGAAGGCTCCGGCTATCTCCCCACCCCCGCCCTAAGTGTCAAATTTCCTCCAGGGGAGGGAGTGGGCTGCAAAGTCTGCTTCTCGCGCAGCCCAGGCTGCAAAGTCAACTCTCCCCAAGGGCAGCCGATGCCGCGTGCACACACATCATACACATTCACACTCGTGCACATTTACACACTCACACGCGTGCATAGACACACACGCTGCGACATGTTTCCGAGTCAGCGGCCCAGATTGGTGCTGGCCGCGTGCACTTTCCAAGCTTCGCGGCGAGCGGGGCGCGTGGGGCGGGGCTCAAGCAGCAGAGAAATTGATAACAGATTCGGCGGATTACAGCGGATCTCTTTGTTAGAGCCGAAGCCACACAAACCGAACCCACTCCCAGCCCGAAGCCCCCAGGGAGAGTCCACCAGTTCCCAGAGCCCAGGCCAACTGAGAGCGGGCCCATCCGGTCACCAAGACTTGGGTCTCCCTGGCTCCAGGGTAGAGGTAGGCAGAGGGTGTCCCAAAGGGGGATCGGAAAGGAGAGCCTCACGAGTCGCATCTCCACTTAACCCCGCCGCTTGCCCGGAAACACCTTGGCCCTCTTCCCTCTTCAATCCCAGTGCAACCGAGAAAAGGCCCCACAAGTTTGAGACACTCAAAGAACTCACAGCGAACTCACACATACATCGGCTCTGTAGGGTAAAACATCCCCGCCTGTTTACCAAGAGATCAGATCCGAAAAGACAGTATGAAATGAGACCTCTGGGGAGACTGTCAACCCCAGGGGTAAAACAAAAATTCTGATCAGAAACTGAGTTTCCCAAAGAAGGGGCTAAATGTTTTCCAACACTTTCGGGGCTCAGGGAAGATGACTCTGTAAGGACACTGAGAATCTTCCTCGCGTGCCACGGGGAGGAGGACTGGGGGCGTTTGAGGGGCTCAGCGCACCAGAGGAGTGAGGTGGAGGAGGGCGTTCCCGCGTCCTCCTCTTCAATCCAGAGCAGCTCAACGACGTGGCTCCCTTTCTATGTATCCCTCAAAGCCTTCGCGTCGGATTAAAGGTGTTCTTGATCCTTCTTTACCAACCACGGTGCGGGCCAGGCGTGATGAGGGATGAGGGAGAGGAAACCTCAGTAGCAAAATTGTTCAGAGGACGTTCGGAGGGCGCGGGGAGCAGCCGGATGCACACCTAAAGTCTCGCAACACCCAACTCCTCCTCCGCAGGCAGTCCCTTAAGAGAATAGATAAAAAGGCCAAGCAAAGATCCTCTCCCCTCGGCCCCGGGGCACTGCCACATTCAGTCTAGGCATCCCCTTCTGCTAGACTCTCTACGTTTAGGCCCCAAGTTTCTGGGAGTGAAACGATGAGGGACGCCAAATAGGCGGAAGAAGCCCATTTGACCCAGGCTTATGGCAGCGAAGGGGAGGATGGGAAACTCCAAAAAGAATCTCCACTCTTGGTGGAAAAAGAAAGCTGTTTTCCCCACTCTGATCTCTCCCTAAAGCAAGGAGAGAGATGCAGAAACTAGCAGGAGAGCACTCAGTTGCAGCCAAAAACTTGGGACGTCCTGCCCTGGAGAATGCGGGGAGCGGCGCGAGGAGCTAAAGAATGGGCCGGCCCAGGCGGGTAGGAGGTCCGCTTTAGGGGAGCAGACAAAGGAGCCACTACTCCCTAAGCCTCACGCCTGGGCGCAAGGGTTGTGTCCACAGCAATATGTGTGTTGGCGCGCGCGGAGCGGGGTAGGGGAGGAGGGAATTGCCAGATAGAGAAGGCGGAGGTTACACCTTGAGCCAGAATCAGTATGACAAAAGAGAGCCGCCCAGGCCTCAACACTGACAGCAGGTTCCAGGTTCGGGTATAGAGAGGCCCCAGGGGAAGAACGGTCTGGCCTGGTTCTCCTCTGTTTCCTGCCCCCTCGTCCATCCCTTAGACTGGGCTTTCCAGGCCCCAGGATACACACACACACACACACACACACACACACACACACACACACACACACCACTCACACCTTCTCACATAGGATGTCTAGCCCTCTCGGCAGAGGATCAACTTTGTCCAGAGGTGGAGCAGAGTCCTTGGACAGAGGAAGAAAATGAAATGATAGTCCAACCCCCACTCTTTAAAGGTAGTTTCTCTCCCACTTTTTAATAGACGATTAAAGTGAGGCGAAAAGCGGGAAAGCAACACTTGTTCTCGATCATAGAGAGTTGGGAGGCAGCTGAGGCCAGACCCGAGGCCTCCTAGGGCGACACTCTCCTTCCCAAGCCCAGAAGAAGAGGTACCAACCCTGTGTCCAGCTGGCCGAGTCCCATTTGCTGGGCTGGACCCGTGGCCCCTTCCGTATTGCAGCGGCCGGCGGCGCAGCGAAACTGGTCCTCTGGGGGCCTCCGAGGGCCCCTGCTGGGAGAGTGGGGTCTGGTGGTCGGGAGGGATGAAGGGAGCAGGGGTGGGAGGGAGAGGGGAGCAGCTGCCCGCCCGCCCGCCCCAAGGAACCGAGGCTCGCAGGAGTCCTACCTCAAGGCGGCCAACAGGGGGCAGCCGGCACCGCACCGCGGGGAAGAAAAGGCCGCGGGGATGGCTCCGAGTTCTGCGCGCATAGTGCTAACCCCTTGAGCACCGGAGCGCACGGGGGAGGGGAGGAGAAGACAGGGGACTCTTGGGCCGGGCCTCCTGGGGAGGGTCTTCCGTTGAGAGGGTCGGGGGGTGGAGGAGACGAAGGCTACTACGTCCTGGACCCGAGAACAACTCCCCTACACACACAAACACACACGCACACACACGCAGCCAAGGATCCACACACTCGGACACACACACATTTGTCGGCCCGCGGTTCGCTGCGCACTCTCCGCATTGCCCCCTCGAAACTCCCCTGGCAGAGTCTGTCTAGAAACTAAATCTGGCTGGTTCGGCAGTGAATGTGCGAAGGTGGCTGGGGGGAGGGCAGGGGCTGAGGAGGTGCGACCTCACCGCAAGGCCCAAGTTACTTCCAAACAGCGAATTACCCATTTAAAGAGAGAAGAGAGAAAAGAGAGGCGAGAGAGGAGAAGGGGCCTCGATACCAGACAGGGATTAGAAAGTCAAACAGGGCCGTGGGGTCTCCAGACTTGAAGTTTTTTGTTGTTGTTTTTTTTAACTTTTTGGGGGGAAGAGGGGTTATTTGCTTCCAGGAAACATCTTAATTTCAATTCTAACCTTATTTTCTAAGAAACTTAAAATGGGAAAGACCAGAAAAATGGAAATAGGAATCGAAGCTTGGAGGACAGATAAGAAAAATTGTTTAGAAAATAAAAACTTATGTTGCAGGAAGAAACGTTAACTTTTCGTAAAAGTGAACTCTCAGTGACCCTCGGAGTGTGTGATTCGGCTTTAACATACAACTGACAATTAAAACAAACAAGAGTTCGCAAACTGGCCCCCGCCTGCTCTCCCAAAGCGGAGGCCCAAGTGTTTTCTAAAGGACAAGGCGGACTCCGCTCAGGGGGCCGGGGAGCGCTGTCCCGGAGTACGGGATTACAGCCACTACCACCACAACTCCCCGCCCCCACCACTGCTGCAAAGTGCCTGAGCTCACCCAGTGGCGGCTAATAATGCTAATAACGCGACCCCGCTCCCCGCGCCGGGGTGCGCGCTGGCCCCCCGCCAGGCACTCTTAAAGGCAAAGGGGCCTGAAGCGCTCGAGTTACTCGGCCAAGGCAAGCCTACAATCTGGCCTCCGTCGGTGCGGGGGGGTGTCGGGGAAGGTGTACGCCGCTCTGGAGTAGTTGGCCCCTAGTTCCTCTGCGGGTTCTCTCAACCAAGGAGTCCCTTTCCCCATCCCGAGCCCCGGCCACACACCGTCCCGGTGCCCGCGCAGTGGGCGCTTGGTAAATATTTGTTGAATTGAATCATTATCCTGTTACTGAAATATACATAGTAAATTACACTCGATGTTCTCAGAGCAAAAGGAAAGTCGTCAGTGAACCGCACTCAGTTTGTCTACTATCGCTCTTCCCCACTTTTTCTCAAAAATCAAAATTGTTTGCAGAACGGGTGGTGCGACCAGAAGTGATCTCCTGGGACACTGAGGCAGTGCGCCCGGCGTGGAGGGCGAAGGGGTAGGGGTTCCTGCCAGCGACGCTGGAGTTCCAGCTTCTTCAGGCGGTTGGGGAAATGGAGGGATAGGAAGAGGCGAAGGGAACTCAGTTAACTTCCAACAGGGGGTGGGGGGAAGTAAAGAAAAAAAGTGGCAGCGCACTGAACACCTACCTTCATGGCGAGGGGGAGGGGGCGCGGGGAGGAAGTCGCCACCCGAGCGAGCGCAGCCGAGGAATCCGAGCGGAGCGACCGGGTTAAGCCTGGGGGGACGGTCAGGAGCAGGGCTGCGGAGTCCTCCGGCGCGCGTCCGGCGGGCGCAGTGAACCGGAGCTGAAGCGGGCACTGGCGCCCGGGCCTGGACTCCCGAGTTGGGGCAGAGCTGGGATGCGCCCAGGAATGGAGGGGGCGCGGACGCGCGCGAGCCGGCAGCAAGGGCAGGGCCTGGTCGGGGCGCAACTAGGGAGCCGCCGGTCCGGCGAGGGCGCGCAGGCAACTGTTCCACGGAGAGGCGCTCCGTTTCCAACGTCCATCAGCGACGGCGGTAATTAGGGCTTTCCAACCCCAAATGTGGGCGTGATTGTGCAAAAGACCTTACGACAAATAATAATAAAAAGAAATTCTTCACAAGAGGGTGAAAAAAATGTACCACTACTCAACTGTGGCCCGGGGCGGGGGAAGGGGGGCGATCTGTGCGCCCAGGTGCCCCCAGTTCATTCACACCACAGATTCTGCAAACTCTTGGCGGCTCACGCCTCCTGATCTCCAGCTCCTCCTCTCTGGGTCTGTAGCCGAAACGTCTGCTTCCAGACGCTGATCCTGCAGCCGCGAGTTAGTGTGGACGTCTCTGTACACACACAGACACACACCCCAACACACACACCCCCGCTGCAGCTTTGGGGCCACAGAACAATCAGGCGCGCATGGCTTTTTCTCCGGGAGATGCCGCTGAAAACGCACAAGTCGCCATCTGAGCTGCAAGAGTCAGCCCCAAATTGTGTCCTTTCATTTTAGGGTTCGGCAAAAACGGGGAGCAAAATAGGTGAAAGTCGCCCCGGAACTTATTGCTGTGCGGTGAGCTGGAGGGGTGCGACTAACCCAGGGGAGACGCGGGCTCCCCCCCCCCACCACGTATCCCGTTCTTTCTCTCTTCGGGTTGATCTCTCTTTTCCCCGTTTTTCCAGGGCGAAGGGCGAAGAGCAGCGAGTGCACCGCGGGCGCGAGGCTGGGGAAGGGCGAGAGCTCGGAGCTCCGCGGCGGCGACTCAGCTCCGGCGGTCCATGGCCGGCGAAGCTGCCCACCTCCTCGTTTGGCGCCCGGGTCCGAGGGGCGGGAGAGCGGGCCGGCGGGAGGCGGGCGGTCCCGGGCACAACGGCGGCGGCGGAAGGGCTCGCTGGGCAGCTGCCGCACGGACCCCGGCTCTGGGCGGCGGAGGCGGCTCCGTGGAGCTCGCAGCAGATTTCCACGCGATCCTGTGCCCCGCAAACAGACTGACCGACCGCGGGGACGCGTCCCCCCCTCCCACCCCCCAGCCCTTCTGGCCAACTGCCTTACTCTCTCCCTCCCTCTCTCCAGACTCCTCTTTCCCCTGGTGTTCTCAGAAGGAAGAAAAAAAAAAAAAGAAAGAAAGAAAGAAAGAAAAAAGTTCTTTAAAGTTTCAGAACTAGGGGCGGCTGGAAAGAGAGAGGGAAGGGGGGGGAAGAAAGAAAAAACTCAACTTTGCTATGCGCATGCGTGGTGAGGCCGGCCTATGACAAACTCTGCAGGATTTTAAAGCCGTACTACGGGCTGGGGTGCCGGGAGGCGGGGTACACTCTCCTTGTCTCCCCTTCTCTAAGTTCCCCATCCCCCGCGGCATCTGCTGAAAGAGAGAGGTCCACTCCGCAGCCGCTGCCTGCCTGCCGCCTGGTTGTCTGCGCTCCTTCCAGAGCCACCGACCGGCGGGAGGCTGAACCCCAACTTCCCCGCCTGGACCCCTTGGCTCGCCCGCGTATCCCAGACCGCTCCCACTGGGGCTCCACGGAGACTGCTGCCTTGACATGGAACCTCATGGGGGACCTCCTCATTCTTACCTCTGGGGGAGGATACTTAAGCACTGGGGCTGATGGATAGGGTTAGGCGCTCACCTCCTGCAAAGTCCCCAGAGTAGTAGGGACTTGGGTAGTGGGATGCATGATTGCTCATCTGGCTCCGGCCCAGAGCATGAGGCGCGATGCGTGGTCCTGCCACGGAGATCTTGGCGGGTGCCCTCAGGTGAGGAGATTGCGAAGTTTGGCAAAACCGGGTTCCGGGCACCGGAATTTCTAGACGCTTCCAGATGCCCGTGGTTTTGGGGACTCCGGAGGGGCAGGGTTGGTGGATTTGTGTCCGCTACCTCCAGCACGCCGAGGGCCCCACCCCACAAACAGTGCCTCACACTGGAGCGTAATAGTTATTTTCCGCCGTCTGCATTCTCCAGCTGTCAAAGGTGAAGACACACACACGCGCGCACACACACACACACACACACACACACACACTATTCAATTTTCTCCGTCCATTGGCATGCACTTGACCTTAAGGCGAAAAATCCGTGGCCTAGGTGTTTTGGTGTGGTGGCTGTTTTGTTTTGTTCCTCCAGTCCTCCCCCACCTCCACCCCCACACCCCAGAGGGCGCAGGCCCAGGCTCCAGCGATGCCGTTCCACCCTCCACAGCCCCTTCCCATTCCTTAATTTTCCTAGCCGACTGGACCCTTCCCCAGCCCTGGCCTCCTTCCTGGCGCGCAAAGATGGCAGTGTGAACTTCCCACCAAGTGCCAGAGACAGATGCTCCTGCTTAGCACCTCCCGCCTCCCACCAACTTGCTTTCTTTCCCCCAGGGCGTGTGCGGCCTTAAGGAGAGGGAATCCAAGGTTCTCAAAGCTCCCCTTGGGACATCTCCCCTTTACCTCCTGAGTCTCCATTCCTCTAACCTTCTCCTCTGTAAACCTTGACCACTTCCCGACCTGTGGGCATTTTACAGTCTTCGAATCTAACCTGAGATCTGCCCACCTGAGGAGGGTGTCTGAAAAAGAGCGTCTCCGCCCGGCAAATCGCCCCCAGGCTGCGTCCCTCCGCCCTTCCCCCTCTCCCTTGCCGTTCTGCCCAGTGGCCGCAGACTGAGATTCCCTGGCTGCGGGAGAGCATGTGCCTCCTAGGCAGACACTCCAGCCCCGCCCCGCGGGCAGGGATCTCCGGGACCCACCTTACGTGCAGCAGCTCCAAGAAGTGGCAGGATATGAGCTGACTATGAAAGGGGCTGCCAAAGGGCGCTCCCGAAGAATGGAGAAACTAGCATCCCAGTGTCCCAGAGTCCAAGGCAGTTCGTGTAGAGGATCCTATTCTATGAAGAAAAGGGCCGTTAACCTGGGCATTTCCTCCACACATACAGCCAGTCTAGAAATACTGGCTACCCAACCACAAACCTTTATTTTTTAATGGCTATTTTCTGAGTTATCTGGATAATCACCTGCTTCTCTCCAATTGCCTTTGCTTGTATAGACACAGCCCAAACAGTGCTATTTCCTGTTCTGCAGTCTTTCCTCTAGTGGAAGTCGGTGTTGGTTAGTGGTTAAGAGTGCCAGCTGTGGAATCTGGAGTTCCAGTCCCTGCCCTGCCACTTTCCAGCTGTCACACCTTGTCTAGCCTCTCAGCCAGCACTTCAGAACCCTCTTACACACAACAACAGCAACAACAGCAGCAAGCAGAAATTTCATGATCTACCTTGCAGAAATGCATTGAGAATGAAATGAGATGAGCTTGAAAATCAGGGCAGTACTGAGAATGAAACACGATATCTAGGAATGCTCTTAGCATGGGTCAGGCCCTTACCTGGCACTCAATGCCTGCTCTTCTAGAAAAAAAGCAGCTCTGAAAACAGAGGTTTTCAAACTCCTGTGGTGGTAAAACTGGACCTCACATGACAAGACATAATCTTGATTTATTCCACTTGCTAGGAATACTCTTCACTGAATGAATACAAATGCATTTGGTTACTGGGTATTTCCCCAGACCTCACTGGGCTGCTTGCAAATTAATAGCAATATGCCCCATTTTATTTTCCCAAAATTTCCAACAAAACCGTCTAGTCCCAAGGACTTCAGATAAAGAGTTGTTTTATCTGATAATATTAATAATTAGTGTGCTGAGATTATGCCCCAGGAGCAATAAGCTTCATGTCAGCAGGACCTCATCTGCGGTTTTCATGGCTGGAACCCCAGTCCTCAGAACAATGCCTGGCACTTAGTAGGTGCTTAGAAGTAACAACCACACGAATGGGCGAATGGATGAAAGAATTATTTCAGAGGACGGTGTTAAGGAGAACCAACTTGAAATCCCTTTTGACCCTTCAATAGTGGGTAGGGGTGGGGACTGCCTTAGAAAGCCAGGCTCAGTTGTAAGCACCAGTCCCATGATGGTGTTGATTGGTTTGGCTGGGAAATGAGCAGACAGTTGGAAGGAGAGAAACCAATGCCTCTCCATCTGTGAGGGTTCATGTTCGACAGACCTCCAGTTTGTGGAACTTCATGTTTCCCCTTGCAAACCGTGTGTGCATTTGGGTGTGTGCCTCAGATTGAGTCATCCGAAGATATACTGGCAAGGCATCACCACACTCTGCTCATTAAAAATGCTTCTGAATCTGTGGAACAAATAAATCAATATTTTTGGCTGCTCTCCCAACCGGATTATTCACAAAGCAGAGTGCAAGATAAGGAATTTATGAACGACTGCATCCCTGTGCCGCCTTTCCCAGCAGGGGAAAGCAGGGCCTGGGTTGTCATTCTGGGAAAATCTACCCCCCTTTTATGCCCAGCAAATAATATTTTATGGCCCTGGGTTTATGGTGGTGTTTTAATGATCTGCTGTAGAAAGCGGTTTTCTCTCCAGTCACTAGAATTTGTCAAGAAAGCCTGGAGGCCATAAAAGAGGGATGGGCCCCAGGGGCAAACAGGCTCCATCTTCTGAAATAAACTAATAAAGAGCCCCAAGATGTTTACTCCTTCACCTCAGAGTCAAGACCAGCAGGGCTGTGTGAGCAGGGCCACAGATGGAGCCCTAAAGAAGACAAAGAGGCCGGAAAGGGGTCGGGGGCTTCCTCACAACCACATGGCCACCGTCAAAGTAATACCATCTCTTTGTGCTGCCACTGGCCTGTGGGGGGCAAAGGCTCCTTTGAAATTAGAGGACATTTTTGGATTCTGGGTTGACTCCAGGAGGCTCTTTGAGACTCTCAAGCTCTCCTTGCACTGATCACTCACTATGCCCTCCTAACTTACTTATGTGTTATATGCCAATTATCCCAGCACCATTTGTTGAATAGGGTGTCCTTTCCTTATATAACACTTATGTGTTATGTGTTATATGTTATATTGACTATGACCATTTCATAGTCAATGGTGCTTTGTGGCGGGGGGGCACTAAATGGATGCTTTAATTTTGTTTCATTTTAGGGAACCTGTGGGTCAGATGGATGTGAGTCTGAATCCCAGCTCTGCCTCTTGCTGACTGAGTGACCCTGTAGTGGTCACCTACCCTTTTGAGCCTCAATTTTCTCACCTCTACAGTGGAGATAGGAAACAAATATATTAGGATTGTTCTCATAATTGAGATAATGTACAAAAGACCTTGGTCCAGCTCTGCCTATGGAGATAGCTTGATGAATGGCAGCTACTGTGATTATTTCTGCACTGTAAATGTCTGTTCCTGGGTCCCCTGGTGGAATCTGGAGAAAAACGAGGAGCCTGAGGAGAGTAGAGGTAGGGGCTGGGAAGAGGAGAGGAATGTGGCAATTATAGGATCACCGGCCATGCCTATATGACAGAATTCAACAAAGATGGGGCAGGTATGTGTTGAGATAATAATCGGTAATAAACAATCATAATAATTGCTGGCAACACTTACTGAGCTCTATGTGCCAGATGCTAGCCCTGTCTAAACTCTTTACATTCATTGCCTTGTTTCATCCTCACTACTTTGTGAGATAGATCGTATTATTATCTGCATTGTGGAGAAAAGGAAGGTTCAAAGAGGTCCTGATTTTGATAAAACCAAGCTGTTTTAGGAGTTGCGAATCCTGACACCTTCTGATTTCACTCCACTGAACACCAGACGTGCACACAACCAGATTCAGCCACATCAGGAACGCCTGATTCAAGCTCAGCTCAATGGAACTGTCAAAGATTTGTTCTTATTTCATTAACTGGCTGGCTTTGACGTCTCTGCTTTTGCCCCGCCACCATCAAGAACGACACCATCCATACTCAGCAATTTACCTTGAATTCTTACCTTGTATTGGGCAGTGCCCTGGGAATTCCCTTCTCTCTGGAAAGAGCTTGTTATCCCCAAAGGAATGAATGAGGGCCTGAGGGCTGTCTCTCCCCAGTGCTGCTCAGGTCATGTCACATCTCTGCTTAAAGCCCTTCAGAGGCTCCCCAGAGTTTATCAGATAAAATCGAAACAAGTTAACCTGGACTTCAGGATAGCTTCATCCACATGCATCCTTTGTACTTATTCTTCCCTCTGCCTGCAACGCTGTCCCTTCTGACCAGTCACCCTCACTCCCTTGAAGTCACCTCCTCATTGTACACATCAGTCTCAAAGAAGCTGCTGTCTTTTCCCCATGATTCTCTACTCCCTTGCTTTGTCTGATTGTCTTATCCTGATCTAAAATTATTTTATTTACAAGTATATTTGTTTACTTGTCTGTCTTGTTTTCTCTCAATAGAAAATAAGCTCCAGGAGGGCAAGACCTGGTTGGCCTTGTTCATAGTTGTGACACAAACCCCTACTGACTCACACAGAGAACGTGTTCTAAATAAGTGAATGAAGGAATGATCTTACCTGTGGCCATGCCACTGCTGAGCAAAAGTTTGAACCCTGGTAATCTGACTTTAAATGTAAGGGACTTAATCACCACACTTTACCTATAAATAAAAACAAAACTATTTTTTAGAAGATATCTCTCTGGTTTCCCATATGTGTCCCCACTTTTTCCCTTGGCCTTACCCATATAAGGCTTGCCTTAGTGGAAAGAGTTTAATAAGAGAAATAGTTTTCATCCGAAGAAAGACGGTATCCCATTTACTCTCCCCTTGTGTCATATTGTTTCTTCTGAAAAGTTGTTTGCTCCTAAGTGGCATGTTTTATGAATGGCAGCTGGTATGTTCAGTCCTGTGACACAGCTCAGCATTTTCCATTGCGTATTCTATGTGGCCCGCTGATCATCTACATGCTGGGTTTAGAAGAATATAGATTAACCGGTTCTGGGGAATACAAGTCCCTTAACTTACATGGAAGAAGCAGACTTTTTTATCAAAGAGATAGGAGAAAATGCTGGGTTTGTATTTTGTTTTATTTTATTTATTTATTTTTGGAATTGTCAATATTATATGTCTAAATCTGTGGCATAGGGCTTTGGAAATCTGATTTGACTGTTCTCAATAATTACTTTTGTTCTTAAACAACTCAAACATGGCCATACTCCTGGGTATGTATTAATAAAAGCAGGTTTTTAAACTGCTCAGCTAAGTCCATTCTCCGGAAGGGAAATCTAGAAAAGTGGAGTGTTTTCAAAGTTTTCACATTGAGCATGCTGTGAAAACAGATGGCAGAAATATAAGAGCTCATTAGAAAGCAGCCAGCTAATGCTCAAGTTTGGTCCAAACTGGATTCAAACATATTAGGTTGGTACAAAAGTAATTGTGGTTTTTGCCATTACTTTTTTTCTTTTTTTTGATAGAGTCTCACTCTTGTCTCCCAGGCTGGAGTGCAGTGGTGCGATCTTAGCTCACTACAACCTCTGCCCCCCAGGTTCAAGTGATTCTCCTGCCTCAGCCTCCCAAGTAGCTGGGATTAAAGGCGCCTGCCACCACGCCTGGCTAATTTTTGCATTTTTAGTACAGACAGCGTTTCACCATGTTGGCCAGGCTGGTCTTGAACTCTTGACCTCATGATCCACCCACCTTGGCCTCCCAAAGTGCTGGGATTACAGGTGTGAGCCATGGCACCAGACCGCCATTACTTTTAATGGCAAAATTAAATAGACCAAATTCATCCCTTCCAGATAAGAAGCAACAAACAGTCCTCCTTTCATGGCCACCTGGAAAGCCTACCTGGGGACACATTTGGACAAGTGTTAGACTTTGGCCAAAGAATAAAAGTGCATCCTCAAATCTCAAGACTACCACATAACATAATTTTTTAAAATTTTTCTATAAATAAAATTGATTTATTTTTAATTGACAAAAATTGTACATACATCTGGTGTACAAAACAATGTTTTGAAACATGTATACTTTGTGAAAAGCCTAAATCAACTAATTATTATAACATATCCATTACCTCACATACTTGACATTCTTTTGTGATGAGCACATCGAAAATTTGTAGTCTTAGCAATTTTCAAGTACACAATACCTTGTTATTAACTATAGTCACCATATTATACAATAGATCTTTTGAACTTATTTCTCCTATCTAACTGAAAATTTGCATCATTTGACCAACATCTCCTTAGACCTCGTCCCTCTCCCTACTTTGGCAACCACCATTCTACTCTTGGCTTCTGTAAGTTCAACTTTTTTAGATTTTGTATGTAAGTGAGATCATGCAGCATTTGCCTCTCTGTGCCTCGCTTATTTTACTTAGCATAATCTCCTCTAGGTTCATTCATGTTGTCTCAAATGATAAGATTTTCTTCTTTTTTAAGACTGAATAGTATTCCATTGTGTATCTATGCCACATTTGCCTTATCAATTCCCATTGATGAACACTTAAGTTGATTCCATATCTCCATATTCATTGTAATAAATAATGCTGCAATGAACATTTGGGAGTGCAGGTACCTTTTTAATATACTGACCTCATTTCCTTTGAATATATACTTAGAAGTGGAATTACTGGATCATACGGTAGTTTTTAATTTTTAGCTTTCTAAGGAACCTCCATGCTGTTTTTCATAATGGCTGTATTAATTTACATTCCCACTGATAAATGTTACACAATTTTTAATATTAAACCAATGGCGAGAAAAATGGCAAGAGAGCTACACAATAGTTCAACATTTCTAAGTGAAAAGGACAGAGTTTAGTCATTTAGTAAGTTACTTGGTATTCCTGACATCAAGCTGTACACAAAACATCCAGGAAGCTGACTGCATTTTTTAACTTTTCAAGAATTTTCTGAAAAGTTAGAACATAGAAATTTTACGTTTTTTTGAATTTTAACATGTTACCCTAATGTGTTTTTTTCATTGTCAATATCCCCAACCCCCTTAAAAGGTACCTGATGTAATTCTAAACAGCAGAATTAAATCCCAAGTCCTTTTAATTTTGTATCTTTGCTGCTATAATCATCAATGGTGAATAAAATGACTCTGTTATGACTTCCCCAAAATCTCTCAATGAATCAGTGAATTTTGGATAAAAGCTTCTTTGCTCCACTCAGTTTAATCTTCAGTTCAGTGATCTATATGTGTCCATTAAGGTCAAATGACAATTCATTGGCTTTGAAAAATATCAGAAATATTCCCAGGGCAAAAGATCCCCATGTCATTGAATGTATTTAAGGTAAGTGGTTTTGACTTAAGCAAAGATTTCTACTTAACCCAGGAGAAAAGCAGTCACTCTTTGGAAATACCACAGAATTCAGGAAAGTGAAGTGAATAATAGCAAAGGATTAAATTTACCTATTCCGGCAGGTACATGTATCTACTGAGTATATACAGGAACGCGATGGCTCCACTCACGTGTCATTTGTGGACAACCCTCTTCTGCTCAACCCAGGAGCATGATCCTCCCCCTGTGGCCCTCAGTCCTTAGTCATGCAGCTATGTCATAACAGAGATTAGTGGGAACATAAGCGCCTTCCCTCTCTTGTTCAGCATGCATGCTCCATTCAAGGAGGTTTGAAAATCTCTCTTTGCTATTTGAAAATGGGATTCCATCCAGAGGATATCAACATCTATTTCAAAATTTGCCAACAGAAAATAAAAGCAAATCATAAATTTAGAGAGTCAGTTTATTGGGACTGAATTATAGCTACAAAAAATAAATCGAAGAGTAGCTTAAAGCTTATGGAAAGTAAGGGCCATAGACATGACTGATACGCTATGCATTCATTCATTCATCCCGTTGTTTGCTCCTTCAACAGATATTTACGGGTCACCTACTGTGGATCATCAACCATTCATTTAACAAGCATTTACGGCCCACCCATTCATTCATTTGTCGAATTAGTATTGTACGTGCCAGATCACACCGGTTTGTCCATTTTAATCAACAGATAATTACTGAGCACTTGCTGAGTGTCAGACTTGAACAGGATCTAGAAGACAGTCCCAAATGCATGGGTGAGGTGGGAGCCTCCTAAATATGTTTGTAAACATATCCTGGATGTTACTGCTGCATGGGCTGTCGTTAGGCCTGTGGCCTCTTAGCTCAGTAGTCCTGGAAGAGGGCTAAAGGGCTGAAAGCCCAAGTTCAACATTAGGGATTCCTCCTTGTGCTGGCTGGCTAACCCTAGAAATCTGTCCAAAGGGGGTCCAGCAAGCAAGTGAGTCACTCACCATTAGGAGACAAACACTCTGCAGTGGCCATTTCATTGGCAGGGCTTCCAAGCACTGTCATCCAACAGATGAGGCACTTTGGACTCTGGCTGGTTTGAGACAGGGAGAACTTAGAACTAACACAGTCTCTTGTTTACAATCCCCACTACCCCACAGCAAATACAATTTTCTTCTACTTCTCTTCAAATGCACTCCCTCTAGTCTGTGCTGAGCATTTTACATACATAATATCATTGAGCCTGACTGGAATATTAGTAATGCATATTAATATTCCAGTGTTACAGATGAGGAGAGTAAGCTCCAAAAGATGAAGCAACTTGCCCAAGGTCACATAGGCAGAATTTAAATGAGCCCTGTAAATCAAAAGCCGTGATTCCTGCAAAGGGCAAAAGCAGAGGGGAGCAGTAGAAAAATATGAGGAGAGATGGAGAGAGATAGAAGGGAAGAGCCAAGAGAGGTGGGAAGGATGGAAGAAAAGGATGGAGAAGGGAATTAGGAAGAAAGAAAGGTGCCAAGACAATTCTTCCAGAAGAGCAGTGAGAGAGAATTACATTTGTCCTCTACTTGTCATCTACAGAGGTTAAAATGAAATCCTGGCAGGATTTCAAATTACTGTATTCATGTTTAAGTCAAAATTGTATCCATTTGCCTGTTGTCATACATCTCATGAAGGGTTGACAAGGCCAAAATTAGGTGGCTTCTTTCTACTTGTTTTGTTTTGAACCCAGCAGTGCAGACTCATAATGGCACATTCTTCAGTTTGCTTCCAGGCATCTTCCTTATGTGACAGCCGTCACTGTTCATCATGGAGTTTTCACTTGAGCCTTAAGACCATGTTCATACCTTTGAACGGTGTCACCCATTCAGGGACTTGATTTCCAGGGGGATCATCAATTTCTTCCTTTTTGGAAAACTCATTAGATTATCTACTATGTATGTGCCAGGAATTATGCTAATCAGTGGGGATGGTGAACTAAATGAGCCGCGGCTCCCGCTCTCAAGGACTCACAATAAAGCAGAGTATCCAGGCCTGTACAATAAGGATGATGAGAGTAACACTGATTAATGCTACACAATGAGGTACGTGGGAGACACGAGGCATAGAGGAAAAGCAGACACACTACTGAAGAAAGAAGACAAAGGATTATGACAGCTACGGAGACAGAGCACCTAGTCGGAACACCTGTCCAGCATCAATTCTTTCTTCTGCTGTTAAGAGCACCTTTGACTCTCCTCTGAGGACTCACCTATACTCTCCTTCCAGGACAGATGATTTGGTGGGGCTAGCTCCACCCCCTGACTTAAGGTAGGGGCATGTGACTCAGGTCGGGCCCATCAGAAGAGTCACGTGACACAGACTAGATTAACAGAGATAGTCTCAGGATTTTTTTTTTCCCCAATAGAGACATAGGGGAGCCAACTTTCCTTTGAAATTTTTAACCTGTTTGGCTCTAAATGTGGAGTTTCTGGGTAAGGGTTGGGGGGCATCATATAACAAAAGCAACACTGAAAATGAAGGCAGTCTAGAAGTAAACAAAGCCCAGCAATGCCAAGAAAAATGAGACACTGGTCTTCTGACCTCGTTAGAGCCCTCGGGTCCAATTGTGCCTAAGGCCATTATCCTCCTTGTCTTCTTTCTCTATTTAGTGAAATCAAGGTTTATCCCTTGCAGTTGAAAGAGCTCTGACAATACAAAAATGCTTGGTTGTTTTAGGAAAATTAATGTTTAAGTAAAAAAGGCAAAGTCAGGTTTAGAGTTAAATGGAAGATACCTGTTCCCTGCTGGGATTTGGATAGCCTCACAGAGGTTACAGGAGTTTTGATCTTCTCTTGAGGCAGAATATCTTGTCGGGCTAGGAAGAAACCACGGGAAGTGAATGCTGATGAATTAATGGTGCAGAGTGGGAGGTGATTCCATGTGTGAGTAAAGCAAGCGGCTTGGGAGTACTCTGAGGACAAGTCCATGAATGCAAAGCGGGAAGACAGTAGGTGAGGAGTTTCTCTTAGAGACAGACCACTCTGAGGCTGACTGACAGAAGATGCAGCCTGTGACCTACACCTACACCTACAGGACATCTGGCTTTGACATATTTGGGACTATCAGTGGAAAAGTCACCAACTGTCTTTGAAAAGTACTCTTGATTTCCATGTTTTTTCTGATACTATTTCATTTGGAAACATAATTTAAATGGTTTAAGTAAACTAAATCCATTAGCGGTTGACTTTAAGTCTTAAAATCTAAATTTTCACAGGGGAGAAGAAAAGACCTTAGATGCCCTATGCCCATTAGAAATAAAATTTAAGGCCAGGCATGGTGGCTCACGCCTGTAATCCCAGCACTTTGGGAGGCCAAGGCAGGCAGATCATTTTAAGGTCAGGAGTTCGAGACCAGCCTGGCTAACATTGTGAAACCCCATCTCTATTAAAAATACAAAAATTAGCTGCACTTGGTGGCATGCGCCTGTAGTCCCAGCTACTTGGGAGGCTGAGGCAGGAGAATCAACTGAACCCAGGAGGCAGAGTCTGCAGTGAGCCGAGATAGAGCCACTGCACTCCAGCCTGGGCAACAGAACGAGACTCCATCCCCCCTCCAAAAAAAAAAAAAAATTAAATTAAATTAAATTAACTAGATTTTTCCTGTGGATTCAGCAATTTATCCCACAGTAAATACTTACTGTAAGCCTCCTGTGTACCAGGCAGGGCCACAGAGTTGGGCAAAAATTAGATAAAATTTCTGCCCTTCTGGAAATGAGAAAACAGGATTTACAGTGTTTACCATGAGTTTTTTTCTTAGTAAATGTCAGCTCTTCATAGCTACCCTGCAGGATTGCACCTGGAAAATCAAGAGCTTGGGCTAAATCAGTATTGACAGAAAAATATACTATGGGAATTTGCATAAATCCCTGACACAAAGTTATTTCCTTTTGATTTGCTATTTTCCTAAATCTAAAGGGCTCACAGAATGAGAATATTGTTAATGGATGGCCATGAATACCCAGGTTAAGCACAAGCTCTGATGAGTTAAGTTTTGGTTCACTAAGAACTAGCACTCATTATATTTCCTCATGACACTAGAAAATACGTGCAGTTACTATTACACATATTATTAATGTGGAAAATGCTTCCTGACAGCTTGTCATGTATTGGACATTGTGCTAAGCATAAAGGTAGCACAGGAACACTGAGTGATTTGCTTGGGGCTACTCAGCCAGGAAGTGGCAGAGACAGGGCTCAAACCTGTCTGTTTGACCCCAAAAGTCTATGAATTACTGAAGTAGAAATATTCTGAGTAATTCCCTGTGGCCATGAAATCATAGTTACTTCCTCAGAGCTTCGTGTACTATTTAGATAGAGGAGAAAGCCTGGTTTACCACAGGAGTTCCAGCACCAACAAAGAGAATCAGAGATTTCATAGTGATGACAAGTTCTGCTTTCAATAGAGGACTTTCCTTAGTTATAAAGAGGGAAAGAACATGACTCTGTAATAATGACTTCATTAAATGCAGCCTTACCCATCTATGGCCCTAAAACATTACCAACCAGAATCAAAAAAGAGGTAGAACGTTTTCTCTCTTGAGAATTTTCCAAGACTTTACAAACATGACCCCATTAATCCACTCAATACCCGGATGAGATAGGTAGTTGGAAGTTATTATTATTATCACTTTCAAGATAGAATATCTGAAGCCAAGAGAGATTAAGCAATTAGTTTGGGGTCAAATGGTGAGCCAGAGACAGGCCTGGGAATGAAACAATTATCTTCCGAAATTCCAATCAAATGCAGAAACTGATTGGCTGGCTACCACTATGTGCTAATATCCAGTTATATGCCCTCCTCCTTAAATGACTGGCCTTAAATGAGATTTCTGCAGCTGCATCGAACTGGATTGGTTCAACAGCAATGTCCAAACTGACATCAGATTTTTCTAAAGTATTGGCTAAAAAATAAAAAATGCAACTCCTTGCTCCAAATGTGGTATTCATTTTACCTAGTTCTTACATTTAATCAGACCTGTGCACGCACAGTTTTGGAGGATAAAGGGAGAATTGTTCTACAAAGAAGTGCTGGTTGTGTGTTCTTTTCTTTAGAGAATCTGTAGAACGTAGAAAGGTTTAGGGAGCATCTTGAAATTTCTCTGATGTTGAGACTGAGAAAAGATGAACATAAATGATCTTTGAATTGTACAAAATCTGGAATCCAATTACTCACCTTTGAGCTCATGTTCACTCGTCAGTCAAATACCCTTTACTCTTTTCATCTGTGTACTTTTAACAGTAGGTAAAGTTGTATAATCCAAAGTCATCAGTTAGGAAAAGAGAAGGCTTCCAGGTGGGCCAAGAGAAATCTATTCTTTGAGCTAATAACTCCAAGGGCATACGCAAAGAAAATTGGTCTGTTGGAGAAAATGCTATTAATGACCCCTCTTGTCCAATTTTGTAAAAGGCCCTGCCCCTCCAAATTCCTGAAGCAAATTTTTATTCCTTTCTGTCCACCTGAGTCTTTGGTGATTTAAAATAAATTACTCTGTTATCAATTTTGACTGGTTTGGGGCAAGGTGAGGTTTTGGTGAAATCGTTATTATCAAAAGGAAAATAAGGCCCCATTTAGTTAGATTGGTGGGAGGGCAACAACCCCTTTACAACTAGCCACACGTCATGCTATGAGCTTGTTCTTTAAGAATTCAGTGGCCACTTCTGGATTTGTTGGATTTCAGTTTCTTTGAGCAGCCAAATCAGACTCTTGGAGAAATTCTTCTCCCATGACTTCATAATTTCTGGAAGTACAGGAGATTTGGGACTGGTCACCTTAAGAAATTCCAATTCTGTCTCCTATCACTGCTCAATCTGTTCAATCTTTTTTCGACCCCTTTGGTCTTGTGCTGATGGGGTCAGCTCCTTTCAGAAAACACCAACTGTGACCCATGCCTACTGCAGGAATGCTAGCTTGCTAATGCACAGACATTGTGGGGAAACAATTTTAAAGCTTATCCATTTTCTTTCTTTTTTTCAAAAATCAAACACTTTTTGTGGAATCAAAAGTCAAGACAATTCCTTCCCTGCAACTTAGTTCCACCTTGTTTCTCTCAAGCTAAAAACATAATGTTCAGAAACCAGAACATCAACTAGAGTTTGGGACCCAAATCTGACACCTTGCAAAGAACTATCTTAAGCATTTCCAAATGGAGTTATAATGTCTTGATATTTCCAAAAGTCCTAGTAGGTTTCAGACATGGGATATTTTCATAGAACCCATTAAGCTACTATGTTTGAAGAATGTTGAACAGCATGGCAAAGAATCATGCTGTAAAATCAACTAAGACAGGCATTTTGTATTACAAAAGAAACATTGAAAACCACGGCTACGGATTTTGGACATAGGCAAAGGTACTGAGACCTAATCAACCCATGGCTAATCCTAAAGCCTTAAATTCTTATAGATGTGTGAATATGTAGCATTTGTGTGGGAAAGAGGAAATGGTCCTATTCAAACTGAAGGCTTATGGTGCTTATGCCATACTGGCATTAGGCCTTTTTCTGTTTTTCTAACCAGGCCCACATTTCTTATCACACAAGTTGGGCAGGTCTTTCCTGAATTTTTAAAACCTGGTGTTTTATTGTCCAAAACTCTTGCTCTCAACTTGAGTTCATGTGTCTTGTGGAAGTACAAGTGGTAATTATACAAGTCTTTCCTTCCCTGTCATTGGCAACAGTAACCAGGGAAATTTACAGCCCCCAATATCCAGATCTGGAAACTGGTTATTAAACGTGGTCAAGGAAAACCCTGACGTGGCAAATGGGATCTGAGCAAGGACCAGCTCAGCAGTGGTTCTTGTGAGAGAATGGCTGGGAGTCAGCAATCTTACTTGATTGAACATTTTTATTATTTGTGATTTTATTACTGGTAATAATACCTATCATTTCCATTTGTTCAGGATCTATTATGTGGTTGGCATTGTGTTAAATGACCATTTGATCCTTGTTAAAAAACAAAAACCCAAACCTTCTGGAGTTGTATTACAATTTTAGGATGAGGAAACAAACACAGAGAGACTGAATAACTGGCCAAGGATTACTTATTTGGCATGCTGTGGAGTCAGGATTTTAAGAGACTATAAACCCAGATGCACTCAGGGGTCAGGCAGGTTACACACAAGGGTGAAGTTGGCCAGGTGTAACATTTTAGAGTGAAGTGAGGACAAGAGAAATGGCAAGTATACCCAACACTTCCACAGGCTTGCAGGGCTCCAAGCCTACCACTACTGCACCATCAAAAAATTTTAGCCAGGTGCAGTGGCTCATGCCTATAATCCCAGCACTTTGGGAGGCTGAGATAGGAGGATAGCTTGAGGCCAGGAGTTCAAGACTGGCTTGGGCAATATAGTGAGACCTCAACTCCATAAAATAAAAAAATTAGCTGGGCATGGTAGTGCGTACCAATAGTCCCAGCTACCCAGAAGGCTGACACAGGAGGATTGCTTGAGCCCAGGCGTTGGAGGCTGCAGTGAGCTATGATTGCACTACTGCACTCCAGCTGCAGCAACAGAGCAAGACTCTGTCCCAAACAAACAAACGAACAAAAAACAGGAGTTAGAGAATAAATTTTGGGGCACGGTGGCTCACACCTGTAATTTCAGAACTTTGGGAGGCCAAGACAGGTGGATCACTTGAGGTCAGGAGTTCAAGACAAGCCTGGCCAATATGGAGAAACCCTGTCTCCACTAAAAATACAAAAATTAGCCAGACATGGTGGCACAGGCCTGTAATCTCAGCTACTCGGGTGGCTGAGGCAGGATTGCTTGAGCCTGGGAGGCGGAGGTTGCAGCAAGCCAAGATCATGCCACTGCACTCCAGCCTGAGCGACAGGGTGAGACTCTGTCTCAAAAAAATAAAAATAAAATAAAAAAAGAAAGAAAGAAAAGAAAGAAATTTTTAAGACATAGTGCCTGCCCCCAAAAAACAAAAACAAACAAACAGAAGAAACCCTGAAGCCTACATTTATTCCATAGGCCTTAGTTTTCCAACCCCTGTGATGTGAAACTGGATTAATGCTTGATGGCATTAAAATTTTTTAGGGTAAACCCCTTTTTTTTTTTTTTTGAGAAAAAAAATTGTTGCCCAAGCTGGAGCTCAATGGCGCGATATCGGCTCACCGCAACCTCTGCCCTCCCGGGTTCAAGCGATTCTCCTGCCTCACCCTCCCGAGTAGCTGAGATTACAGGCATGCACCACCATACCCGGCTCATTTTGTATTTTTAGTAGAGACGGGGTTTCTCCATGTTGGTCAGGCTGGTCTCAAACTCCCAACCTCAGGTGATCTGCCCACCTCGGCCTCCCAAATTGCTGGGATTACAGGCGTAAGCCACTGTGCCCGGCCTAGGCTAAACCTTTCAAATAAGATAAAACAGAGAGGTAGAAAAGTACACAAATTGTAAGTATATCACTTGATGAATTTTCACAAACTGAACATGATCATGTAATAAATTTCCAGGTCAAGAATCCCAACTCCTAACCCTATATATTAATTTTGTCTTTTTCTGAGCTTTATATAGATAGAATCACACAGTATGTCCTCTTTTGTACATCTGCTTTCACCCAGTAGGCTGTAAGATTTGTTCCTGTAGCAGCAGGAAGCAATGGTTCCTTCTGAAGAGCTTTTATTCTCAAATCTGGTGCTTGATTTATTCACCCGACATATTAGTTCATTCTAATGCTGCTATAAAGAACTGCCCAAGACTGGGTAATTTATAAAGGAAAGAGGTTTAATTGACTCACAGTTCAGCATGGCTCAGGAGGCCTCAGGAAACTTACTATCATGGTGGTAGGCAAAGGGGAAGCAAGGCACTTTCTTCACAAGGTGGCAGCAGGGAGAAGTGCAAGCAGGGGAAATGCCAGAGGCTTATAAAATCATCAGATCTCGTGAGAACTCACTATCATGAGAACAGCATGGGGGAAACCGCCCCACTGATCCGGTCACCTTCCACCAGATCCCTCCCGCGACATGTGGGGATTATGGGAACTACGGTTCAAGATGACATTTGGGTGGGAACATAGCCAAACCACTATCACCTGAGTATCTTATACCTATGCAAGGAAGGAGGAAGACTTCCTTCTCTGAATGTACATTCTAAAAATGAAAACAAGCGGCTCTAGGACTTTGTTAGAGTTGTGGAAGAGTTTTGCTATTAAAATGTGTTTTCTCATGAATTGCCTTGTTCTGTCCACTCACATCCCATATCAGGTAGTTGGGAGCTATGTTGTTCCCACTGATTATATTCAAAAACAGAGGTCACATGCAGTTACGTGACTGTATGCTTTTCCCAAGCACAGGTGTCGCAAAATGGTTAGACAACTGAGATTTTAGTTGAGGTATATTGATTACCAATCTGATGCTATTGTCACCTGAACACACACCCCTTAGCATGGTACCCAAGGCCCTCTCCCACCTCAGGGTTGGGGGGGATCTGTTCAGTCCTCTGTCACTCGGTGCTCCATCTGCAACCCCAAGGATGTTCAGGGATGCCTGTGAGGTGAGCTGGGCTGGTGCCCAGAGACTGAGGGCTTGGAAGAAATCCAAGAGGCCCGAGGGTAGCAAGGTTAAATACAGTGCACTGAGCTTTATCTAGGCTCTCCTTTTCCTTGTGTCTTGATTTCCCGTGGGAGCCACAGCCTTTCTGTGTGGTAGTCCATTCTCTTGTACTATTGGTTAACTATGGAAGTCAGTGATGAAGCCACCAGCCTCTTCAGGCCCTGTGTGCCATGTGGCCACGTTAGAGACCAAATGCATCCCAGAAACACTAAGTGGGATCTGAACCTCAGCCCCTAATGTCTCACTGGTCTGACCTGTGAGATACCTCAATACCTGCCCTAAGCAGAAGAGCCTGCTGGGCACTGGGTTCAAAGCCTGGCTCCACCACTTACTATCTGGGGGACCCTGGATGAGGTACGTAAACTCTGTAGGCCTTCTTTTCCTTGTCTGTAAAGTGAGGTCAATGATAGTGCCTGCCTCAAGGGATTCCTATGAGGATAAGAGTTCATGTAAGCAAAGCCTTTAGCACAACACTGGCATCAAATATACAATCTGGAATTGCATGCTGCTTCTGGTCATCTCTGTGGTGCTCCATTTCCTTCACTGTAAAATGTGGGTCATGACAGTATCTACCTCGTGGGACTGTTGTCAGGAATAAACAGAGTCTATCCACCTAAGTCCTTAGCATTGTGGCCAGGTTCTTAGCGAATGCTCAATAATGTTCAGTTATTTATTAGTAGTATGATTATTATTACAGATCAGTAATTCTATGAATTAGGATGTCTCTCCAATCTTTTGTAATGGCAGTCCACAGATATCAGATGCAGTCAAACCTCCAGAGTACCAAACTTAAGTCTATGTGCTTCCATGGAGCTAAAGGTACAGATGAACCTGCAGTTGGAGTCCAGCAGTGTGTCAGCCTGGTACCCTTCTTACCAAAAAGACCAACTTGTGGGTAAAGAAGCAAAGGTTCCATGTGGCCAGATGGGTTTACGTAGCCAGGCCTGAATGCCAGCTGCTGCTTCAGGAAATTCTAGGAGGCAAGAAATTCTTGTCCAGCAAGAAGTTCTCTTTCTATAAAAAGGCAACAGAATGGAAAGGGCCAACAACTTTGCACGTCCCCCCAAAAGTACCCAACTTTGAGGGAAGGTCACATGTGGTGGCTTTGAGCCCAGAAATGTTTCTTTGAGTACAGAAACAAAATGATATTTCCCCCATGTTGTTAAGGGGCAGCTGGAGGGAGGTTTTGTTCCTTCCTCTCCTTCTCAAAGAGCTTCAGGGACACATCTTCCTGTTTCAAGAGCTCTGAGGACAGTCTTGGTTTGCCATGAACTTACCATGTATGTGTGGATCAGTCACTTCTGACTTGGCCTCAGTTTCTCCATCTGGTAAAATGAAGATGTTGGATTACATGACATCTAACATACTTTCTAGCTCTGACAATCAATTACTCAGTGATTTCAGCCATGGTAAGAATTGGAAATTCATCCCCTGGCATATAAATCAAACCATTAAAGGAACCAGGGGCTGGTTCTGCAGGCTAAAAAAGGACAGCTAGCAATGAGGTTCTTCACTGATCCACAGACACGCTGTGAAGGCTGGTGAGCCCTTGCATGGACGATTGTGTGTGTATCCAAGTGGTGGCAGGGCTAGCTAGTATTTTTGCCTGCCTAGCTTTCTTGTCCCTCTCTTCTAGAATAGAATCCATTTTCCCTTGTTGGAAACTGCTCCCCCCACCCCCACCAGTGAGGCTGTCAACCACATGGCCTTGAAAAAGGTAATTGTTTGCATGATCCAAAAAAGAATCACCAAGTGTCCCTTTAGGGGACAGATGTAGATGTAGCTCAGAGAGTTAGTCTCTCCTCTAAAAATCAAAAGTACTCAAAGCTGTTGGAAGTCATCTTTACAACCAAGTGGAGAGAGCTTACCAGAGTCCAAAGCCAACCCAATAGAAAGTGCAGAGGGAAACAGGGAGAGAAGAAGGAGGGGAAAGGGAGAAGAAGGGGAGAGGGAGGGAGAGACAAGAAAAGGGAGAAAGAAAAAGGGAAGAGACAAAAGATGAGAAGGAGGAAGAGAGGGAGGGATCAGGAGAGACAGAGGAAGAGATTGAGAGAGTGAGAAAGAGAAAGGTAAAAAGAGAAAGGAAAGAAGAAAGGAAGAAGGGAGACAATGACAGTAACTTAAATTTCCTAATGTGAACTTCTGATTTTCTAATTTGAACCTCTAGATCCAGTTGTACATAAAGGAAGACTTACGTCTTTGCCTTTCCAGTTAAATGAGCCAATGACTTCCCTTTTTACTTAAGTCCATAGGGTTCTTCAAATGGGGATCCATGACCCTCAAAATGTTAGAAACTGCACAATTGGAGCATTTATTAGAGATAGAATGAACTCACTTCAGAAAGAAACAAGGTTTATTTGATGAATATAAATAAGGCGATCAGCACAAAGTACTTCTCATACACATGACAACAAATTTATGAACTGTACATACCTTGTACATTGTTCTACTAGACACGAGGTTACAATGACTGGCTAATACATGCCCACTGGTAGTTTCCAGGGTTCCTTAGTTTTATTTATTTATTTTTCATATCGATGTCCATAATCACATGGTCAATATCACAACCCACATGCCACTCACTTGAAGAAATATTACAAGAAGCACTATCAAACGAGGGTCTCGGGGAATTAGATACACTGACCCTGGGCAGCATTCAATCGCCACTCTACACAAAAACATTGCAGATAGAGCTTACGTCAACACATCTGAGGTCTCGTCATAAACACTGTTTAAAAAGTAAATTGAAACCCACTTTCAAATGAAAGTTGACACGCTGTTAACGTGCATACTGGATACACAAAAATCATTAAATACAAAATTGAGACTGTACATCGAAATCAAATGGGGTATAAAGCACAAGCCTGCTTTTGCACAAAGTAAGACCAACTTCTCCTAAATGTTAGCCCAAACTTCTTTTTTCAACTATGTTATGATTAGAAGAAAACCTGTTAAAGTTTGCGCAAAGGAAATAGCTTCCCAACATCACAGTGTTTGTTGTAAACCCAGAGACTATTCTTAATATGTGAAAAAGGGATATTTTTGGTAACCCCCAAACATCAGAGAATATTACACGAAATGGGAAAGGTTGTTATGTTAGAGAGAATTTAATTTTTAAGGGACTAAATTATACGACCTCATAAAGGTAAGATCAGTAATATTTTAACCAATGAAAGTTGGGCAGAAAATGATCCCTCCAAACAAGAGCTGTGACAAAATTGGCACATACATAGAAATAGCTAGCTATACATGGGTTGGTTTTTTTTTTCTGTTTCAAGGACCCTATTTTCCCTACTGGATTTCCTACTTCCTACTTCAAGTATTCAGTTGCAGAGTTCAGGTCAAGACCTGGTTGTAGGAGGCAGTGAGAACCACTTCTTTGAGGACATCCAAACTGTTCACTGGGACACATTTGTGGCCTGGGTTTTCAGTGCAACATTGTGTCAAAATGTGCTAAATAAGCTTGCAAAGAACTCTGCTTACTTCTCTAACCAAGACCTAGATCCCTCTGATAGTTAAAGGACAAACTTTTAAAACATGAATGCATTTGGATTGTTTATGCAACACATAAGCATTACATAGTTTGTTATACTTACTGATGACAAGAACAAAGCCAGAAGCAAGAAACCTGCTTGAGTATCTTAACCGCGAATGCACCAAGAAAGAATGGTGCAACTCAGGGACGGTTTCATCTTCCCCGACAAATAAGGTGTTTGTCTTTTAAATATCTCTATGGCTCACAAGAGAGGTCCAGAGTTAATTGCACCAACATTTTAAAAAGTAATAATAATGACTAAATTCAATGCAAGACTTCAGGGACATCTGTTTAGAATCCTTTCCACAGCAGCAAAGAAAGACAACTATATTTATTAAGGCCACTCATGCTTAAATTCACTGTTTGTCCTTTAAAAATGCAGGTTTTCATCTCCCACTTGCATACACGTGGAAGGGTTTCTTCCATTGACAAGAAAATGGAGCAATACAAGAGTTGCACATGTTTGCCAGACTCAGTCATGAGTTTTATGAAGTTATAACAATTTAAATTGTTTCTTAATATTCAGAGGAAGCAGTAGGAGTTTAATTCTCCTTAGTACCATATCACTGTATGTAAAAGACCTCAAAATTTGGTCTTTTTCCCTGGCATGTGCTTTAAATAATGACTGTATCCACATACATGTTGTGTAGAGCTATATACAGAGACACAGCTTTTGTGATTGTTCCTCATTCATCAATGTTTTCATGTTTGATGCTGAAAATGCTTTGGAATCCATGTTGCAGACACATTTTCTTTAAAAAAAAAAAAAAAGAGAAATGACCCTTCATTTACAGAAAATCTAAGCTTACACTGTTTGCACAGCATTTGGATCTTGAAATGTGAATGAGTCCCAGCTTCTTCATGGAGACCTGCATGCACCGGGATGGTAAGAGTCTGAGGCTTGGTGGCGTCCCCACCGTGGGGATGTGCAGAACACAGGGACTAGAGATATGCAGGTGCCTCAGACTTTTGCCACTCTCCAGTACATGACTGGGTAGATAAAATTATGAATGATCAATTTAGATGTGCCACGCATTGTCAGAGACACACACCATGTTCTCATAAGGCGATTTCTTGGCAAGCATTAGTGGTTTAAAAAATTGATTTCTTTTCCAACCTGGCCCAGAGGTGACTACTGGTTACACCCTCAAAATGCGGTTCTTCAAACAACAGATTAAAGAAATAGAGGAGGGTAAAGGCTCGCAATTTTTGGTGTTTTTTGTTTCTTCGTCAAACACTCCATGCATCATGGTATACAAACACTGCCAACACCACTCACTCACAGCGAATTTATACTTTTTGATAATCTAATGCATTAGGAATGACCAATTAGAGTGAACCAGCAGGATACTGGAGATGAGGCTAGTTGTCCAACAGAAGCTGAATCCACAGATAAAATCCCATGGAGTTCAAATTTATCCAATGATGTTTAAGTAACATAAACAAAATGTTATCAAATAATGACATTCAGCAAAGATGATCACATTCAAAATGCCCGCATCCCAACAAAAATGGAGGATCTGTCACTTTTCTCCTCCTCTGCATTCTTCCTTTCCATCATAACCAAATCCATGAGAAATGACATGAGGTGGTGAAGGAAATATCAAGTAGAACAGAATCACGCTCAATAAGGTAAGTGAAAACTCCCCTTCAGTTCTGATGAGCCGCTCCAGGTGGTGGTGGACAGTGATGTGAGCCGCACTGCAATACATTATCAGAATATTGCTGCAGAGCTGCATGTTCCCTTTATTCAGCCCTTCTAATAGCTGCAACAAGAAAGCACATAATTTAGCAGGGGAAGAAACTGGCAACAATATCTGAGATAATCCTGGCAGAACGTTTCCCACTCTTCACCCCTACAACAGCCTCTCCACCACTCTCAATGGTTGGGGTTGGGTGGGAGTGGGGAGGGGGTAAGGGGAAGAAACACAGAGGAAGGACAAAGGAAACAGAAAGATAAACTACGTCCTGCAAGTGCATCTGAGAAGAGGCCTCTTTCAAAATATGTCACGTATATGTATAAATGTCTCTTGATATACAAAAAAGGAAATTGAAGGGAAATATGCCAAAATGTTCCAGTGATTATTTCCACATAATCGGACTATATGTCAACTTTTATTCTCTCTACGCTTTTCTACAATGATGATGTTTTTAAAATTATTTTTTAACTTGATTTTATGGAGATTAAAGAATTAAAGGTGGTTAAGATATCAGAGAACTTAGCATGCACTTAAAAACCAACCAAACATAAATGTGACAGTCATCCATTTGTCTATTTACTGCCCTGGGGAACAGGTATCCAGAAGCACCCCAAGGTTTCTCACTGTCCCAGTGAGGGGCCCAGAGTGTGGATACAACTGCATCCTGGGAAGCAATAGTGCAATGAGTGAGAAGGGGGATCCCTCCCACACTACTGCTTCAGATGAGGACTTTCTTCCCTGCTGATGCTCAACTTTGTGTGCCTGTGCCATTATCATTCACATATGGCCTGTGAGTGCTTCTGGGTTTCCAGCCACATGAGCTCAGCTATCTGGGAAATATGGCAGGGAGAGGAAAGATCAAACATACACACACACACTCGTGTACACACAAGTCACCTTGTATATATATCCTGAGCTGTCTCATTTGGTGGTTGATATGCAGCATTTTTCGAGTCACGCCGACTAACAAGAATGCCAAAGATCCCAGTGTCTGCACAGGTAGCCAGCTATTTCAAGCCATCGTTAAGTAGTGCAAATGAAATATGTGGCTTGGATGAACTCTGCTAATTCATACTCTGAGGACTTTGGTGTAACCCTTCTGGTTAAGAAACTTGAATCGGGGCAAAAAAATGACTTTTGCAGAGCCAGAAAGTTAGGGAGTTCCTAGAGCAGATCATATTACTCATTCTGGCACATAAACTCTCTGCAAACTTTGTATGAAAATTGTAAGTCAGAGCACGCTTTCTGTTTCATGAGCTGTGCATAGCTCTAATTCTTTTGTGCATTAAGCATTTCTTAATCATCCTTTTAAAGGGCTGACCAATATATTAAAAGGCCACATGATTAAAAGGTAAAGAGAAACCCTAAGTAGTATTAAAATGCACCAGTCTTTTGTTTTGTTTTGTTTTACAGATGAAAAATAATTACAGTGAATGTCTGATGTCCTTGATGTTTTTCCAAGATAAAGTAGCAAAGAACAGTCATTTATTCAGTTGTGAGAAAGATTTCCAGCTGGGCAGCAGGTCACAAGGCAGAATACAATGCCCCACAATTGCAGCAAACTGCTTTTGGGTAAGGTTTATGCTGGAGACAAGAGAATTCTCAAAAAGTGTAGCCATTCTTTCAATCGAACAATCCATTCACCAGGAGGCCTAAATGGCTTTAAGGAAAAAAAGAAAAACAACAAGGAAACCTCAAGTGACACCGCCAGCATTTAGAAATGCAGATGATCCCTTCTGGGGGGGCAAAGAAGCATATGCTTTAAAAATAAAAATAAAAAACGAATCCTGGCTTCCAGCAATGAGCCAATCTGGGCTGCCACCCACTGTGAGATGATCCCTGGCCAGTCCTCCCTCACCTGGACAGTCACAGCGGCCCTTACCCTTCTCCAGCTTCCTCTTACAGCACCCAACTCTGCGCTTTCAACGCAGCAGCCAACAACAGCGCCATTTCAATGGTGACATCCAGTCCATAGTGCATTCCCGTTTACAGTTTACAACTCCTGTTTACAACCCTGTTTATAATCCCGTTGCCCTGAGAATGCAGGACTGATGGACTCCTGGCCATACTGGCGAGGCCCCATCTGGCCTCTCTCTCTGCAGTCCTGTACTTAACGCTGACATTCCACTCTTTATGTTCCACCAAAGCTGAGCTTGCTTCTGCAGCCCTAAAAATTTATTTTCTCCCCCTCTCACAAGCGTGTCTCTCTATCTAACATGATTTACACCAGCTCTTTATCTGATCGATCCCTGTTTATTCCTCAGTTTCAGCTTGGATGTCATGTCTTCCCAAGAAGCCTTTCTTGACCCTCTCGGATGTGATATAGAGTGGGAAGTCTCACATATACTGCAGAGTCCCCTTCTGATGAATTGTCTAGACTTGTACATCCAATAGAGCGTGTGTGCATGTATGTATATATATATATACATATCTTTTATTTTAAGGCAGGGTCTTGCTGTGTCACCCAGGCTGGAGTGCAGTGGTGTGATCATGGCTCACAGCAGCCTCGACCTCCTGGAATCAAGCAATCCTCCTAGCTCAGCCCCTCAAGGAGCTAGGACTACAGGCACATGCCACCATGTCTGGCTAATTTTTGTATTTTTTTACAGAGATGTGTTCTCACTATGTTGCCCAGGCTCGTCTCAAACTCTTGGGCTCAAGTGATCCACCTGCCTCAGGCTCCCAAAGTGCTGGGATTACAGGAATGAGCCACTAAACCCAGCCTACCAGTTTAGAGAGTACCTCAGGTAGGCAGAATCCTTAAATCTACTCCTTATCCAAGATTCCCTATCCGAATCCCTGGCACAGGGAGTGAGAACGTTTCAGACCACGTTTACTATAAAGTTACCTTACAGATGTAGTTACTAATCAGTTGACTTCAAATTAGTCTAAAGGGAGATTATCAACTAAGCGAGGTGGCACATGCCTGTAATCCTAGCACTTTGTGAGGCTGAGGTGGGTGGATATTTTGAGCCCAGAAATTGGAGACCAACCTGGGCAACATGGCAAAAACCCGTCTCCACAAAAAAAGTTAAAAATTAGCTGGGTGTGGTGGATGCCCCTTTGGTACCAGCTATTTGAGAAGCTGAGGTGGGAGGATCAACTGAACTGGGGAGGTCGAGGCTGCAGTAAGCCGTGATTGTGCCACTCCAGCCTGCCAATCCAGTAAGCTGGGATTGTGCCACTCCAGCCGTGATTGTGCCACTCCAGACAAGAGTAAGACCTTGTCTAAAATAAAAAATAAAATTTTTTAAAAAAGGGTGGATCTGAGTGGACCTAATTTAATGACAGACGCCCTTTAATAGCAGAGACTTTTATTTGCTGTAGCAGAAGAGAAAGTTAGGGAAATCTGAAACCAGAGGGATTGGCTGTGCTGTGATGGAGGGAGCCAGGGGCAAGGACCTGAGAGCTTCCTATAGGATGTGAGAATGTCACCCAGGTGACTGTCAGCAAGGGAACAGGGACCACAGACCTACAACCACGAGGAAATGAATTCTGCCAAAAACCCGAAGGAGCTTGAAGGTGGATGCTTCCTGGAGCCTTCAGATTAAAGTCCAGCTAAGTCCACCTTGACTTTGGCTTTATGAGATCCTAAGCAGAGAACCCAGTTGAGCCCATCTGGACTTCTGACCTATGCACAAAACTGTAAGCTAATAAATGGGTGCTATTTTCACCACCATATTTATGGTAATTTGCTATGTAGCCAAAGAAGACTAATGCAGCACCACGCTGGGTCAGGCAGTGTGCTTGATGCCAGGAATATAATAGTGAGAAAAACAGACAAGGTCCATGCTTTCATGGAGCCTGTATTCTTGGGAGGAAGACAGAAACAAATAGACACACAGATCAATAAATGAATGAGAATGTAAACATTTGCACCATGAAGAAAAGGAACGGGGAACTGTGATAGGGATGCCTAAGATTTATTAAGTGACTGATGACAATTATGACGTCAATCTTTATTTTCTTTTGATAGGAAAAGATGTCCGTCCACAACTTTTCAGTGGAAAAAGCAGATTACCATTTTATATGCATAGCTTCATCTCATTTTTGCATCAACATGCACATAAACAAACATTTGCAAGTGTATACATTAGAATATTATTAATATTTATCTCTGGGTGGTGGTTTTAAACTTTTCCCCTGTATTTAATTTTTATTTATTTATTTATTTTGAGATGGAGTCTCTCTCTGTTGTCCAGGCTGGAGTGCAGTGGCGCAATCTCGGCTCACTGCAACCTCTGTCTCCCTGGTTCAAGCGATTCTCCTGCCTCAGCCTCCCAAGTAGCTGGGACTACGGGCATGAGCCATGGTGCCCAGCCGTTAAAATTTTCTCCTTCAGACTTTTTTTTTTTTTGCTCTTTTTGGATTTTTTTAAACCTAAGAATGTATAAATAGTATCATACTAAAATATAAAGCTATTTTCTTTGTGGGGAGAAACCAGTATTGGGTGGGACTGCTGCTCTTGACTTGGTTCTAGGTGGGGGTGTGTGAGGGGCGGGGTGGGTGACTGAGCACAGCAGTAAGATTCCGCCCCAGGACAGACGCCCCAGGGAGAGCAGGCTATAAACGTGTGGTGTCTCACAAATATTCCTTCAGACTGTTTTTCTTTGGAATAAAGACACCTGCCCGATTATGGCTTTCTTCTCCTGCCCTTTCAGTAGTGATTTGCAGAAACAGGCTGGGAGAAAGGGGTCTTTGGTAAACACGGAGGGGTTAAAGGGGAAACTGTTTAATAACAGTAGTAAAACGCAGGCTATTTTTGACATCTGGGTTAATGTCCATTATGTTCCATGTGCTTTCCAAATGTGTGCAGTGTGCCCCCAGGTACAAAAACAGACACCCATTCACGACGGCTTCAGATGCCCCTAACACGCTGCACGTGGTGCCCACATAAAAGGCAAGCCCCTGATAGACTAATTAACAACGGTTGGAGGAGAAGAGCTGCTCCTTCTGGGGGCAGCGGGCATCCTGCAGAACAGCTCCATGAAGCCACTCTGCTCACAGGAAAACCCAATAGAGTCGTTTCTGCTAAAAAAAAAAAAACAAACAAAAAACCAAAACTATAACTACATCTGTGTTATTACTTAACATCTTTAAAAACGGGGTGGAATGGGTTTCCCGTTTTCCTCATGAAGATTTATTTATTATTGTTGTGATCAAAGTGGCAACAAATTATGTTAAATCATTTAATTTTCTTGATAGAAGCAACCACCTTGAAACCATAATTCAAAAAATATGAGTGGAGAGCAACATTTTACCTTGAGAGTGGACTCCTACAGCTCCACGGGGCAATAAAATGTAACACTTCAGAACCCAAAGGGCTGGGGGCTGGGATGGGGGTGGGGCGGGGCCAGCCCTGTGCTCAGAATTGCACACTGCTGTTAGGGATGACGGAGTTTGCTGGGAGGAGGCAGTGGAGGGACTTGGTATTTCAACTTTGGTTTCTGTGCACGGGGTATAACTCATCCATAACGTTTTAAATGAAGGGATTCAAATGAATATAGGCTGTGTACATCAAAATGGCAGCACAGACTGCTATGTCTCCGTAGGATTTATTTTTGTCATTATTATTGTGGTCAGAATTATTAACAGGTACCATTTGTTGCGTGCTATCTGCCACCACCCTCTGTGTTTTGCATTAATTATCTGAAACCAGCTCGATAGCACTGAGGTACTGATGCAGTTGGTTAATAGCCCCTCATGCAGATGAGGAAACGAAAGCTTAGAAGAACTGGATGCTTTTGGTAAAATTCCCCAGCTCCCTGGGGCCTCATTTGAATCCAGGTCTTTTGGACTCCAGCGACCATTCTCTCCAGAGACCACTGCCTCCTTGAGGCAAGCATTTCCTAAACCTGTCTTTTGTGTCCTACTTTTCCCATTTTTGTAACCTCTCCACAATACCTGTGATATGTAACTAACATTTTTTTAAAAATTATCTAAAAACTGGCCGGGTGCAATGGCTCACGCCTGTAACCTCAGCACTTCGGGAGGCAGAGGCGGGCGGATCACTTGAGTCCAGGAGTTCAAGACCAGCCTAGCCAACATGGTGAAACCCCGTCTCCACTAAAAATACAAAAATTAGCCAGGCGTAATGGCGGGCACCTGTAATCCCAGCTACTAGGGAAGCTGTGGCAGGAGAATCGCTTGAACCAGGAAGGTGGAGGTGGAGGTTGCAGTGAGCCAAGATTGTGCCACTACACTCCAGCCTGGGTGACGGAGTAAGACTCCGTCTCAAAAAAAAAAAAAAAAAAAAAAAATTATCAAAAACCTAAATGTTTCCTTTTTAAAGAAATATTTATTTTGCTGCCATAATAGAACCATTATCTGTCTAATATGCACTATGATAATTGCATGGCTATTAAAGTAAAAGTGCTTGTTCACAGAACACCTAAAACTATCTCCTGGATATGCTCTCCTTGCCTTCAATCAGCCTTGCCTGCAAGATGGTTCCCAGCGCCCAGCCATGGCCTTCTCCCCACTGGCAGAACCAGGCACGAGTCGGCTGGTCTTGCATATACTCTGGCCACCGGCCAGCCCCAGCACCACCCTAGTCTACATTTTGGGCTTTTGTCTTCTCAAGGGCAGAAAGCAGTGAAATAAAAGATCAGATATCTGCCATTTAACACAAGCATTAGGTACTCTATGCACTTTTTAAAGCATTGGTTGAGTAGAAATGTATTTGATTGTTTTTCCTCAAAAGAATACCTTCTTTAACAGGAGAGACTGCCCATGGCCAAAGGTCTTTGTCACTCTACTCCAAGGTTTCTCCATCTTGGTACTACGGCCATGTGGGGCTGGATGATTCTTTGCTGTGGGGGCTGCCCTGTGCATGGTAGGATGTTTAGCAGCATGCCAAGCCACTGCCCACTAGATGCCAGCAGCACTGCCCCTCTCCCAGTCATGCAATCAAAAATGTCTCAGGACATGGCCAAATATCCCTGGGAGATAAAATTGCTCCACTTGACAACCACTGGCCTAGTCAATTGTTACTGTACACAATTGGTTGACTGTGCTGTTTTAAGCAGTGATATGTTGGTAGATATGTACAGTATATGCATACATGCATCTACCAACCTATATAAGATATGAACACTTTTGGAGAAATAAAGATTAATTTCTAAGCTGCTTTCATATTATTTCAGAAACAGTTGCATAGATTGAAAAGTCCTGTGGAAATAGGTAGGTACAACCTCAGTAATAAAAATAATGAAAATGTACAACTTTTCTGACATAAAAACAGAAATGCTACAATCCTGAGATAGCGAGACACCTAAGACACTTGCTGAGTTAAGTGAAAAGGTGAAATCTAGTTTAAATTTATAGCATTCCTTCAGTGTCCCTCTAGGAGTTTGGCATTTTGCCAAGCTTCCTTGTTAAAAATTTGTTAAACGTGTTTGGCATTAATGCAAACACAAAGTGGTCATTTGTTACAAATTCTATTGGAATGCATTCATTTAAGGCAATGAAGTAGTTACTAGAAAAGAAAAAAAAAGTTCATTAAGTACATTTTAAAAATACAATGATGTATGCAGTGTGTAACTGTGGCGCCCTGGTGGCTATATAAATCGCTGACAGAATAACCACACGTTGTGTTTAGTTTGAAATTGGAATCTTTTAAACACAACCGATAGAACAAAAACTGGTTTTGTTTGTTGTCAAAACTAATGATAGTCTTTCTTTTCTGAACTAGTTAAAATAACCAAAGGTTTGGAATACAATTTCTAACATCTCAAATCAGTGTAACATACAGGTTAAAAGAATGCTTTGGGAATCTTTGCGGGTGCCACTACTGACATCAGAGATGGGGGCTGATCCAACAAACAGAACACCTGCACTCTGGAAAGAGGGGGATGTCCGAGTCATCCTGGAGAACCCCACTTGGGTAGCGCCGGTACCTCTGCTCTCTGAGCTGCCTGAGGTTATTAGGTTACCTGCAGAGGGAAAACTGTGGCTTTCATCACAGAGACAATGGTATCCTATGAACAAATATCCTAAGCCTGTGTCTAGAACTCCCACTCCCTGTCCTGCCCTAAACTGTTCACACAAAGGAATTATTGCTGAGTAATAGTGATTCCTGAGCTTGCTGAAGAAACAGTTCTGAAGCTCAGCTCCATGAGAAAGGGGATACTTGACATCATCTGAAATGTAGCCCTGCCACATGGCTGGCTATGGATGTTAATGTGGAATACCTCATCCCAGGGCCCATTGATGCTGGCTAAAAATCATTGTTAAAGGTGAATGAAAAAACTCACCATTTCCAAGAAGTATTCAGAAATGATTTACTACTTTCTTCTTCCCTTTCTCTCTCACACGCTGACATATTTAATACTTAGTACCATGAAAGTGTCCAGATAATAGAATTCCAGTGGTCCTGAGACCCTGGGACCAGATCAAATTCCCATGGCTCCCAAACTTCCTTATATTGATCTCTTCTGCCATCTGGGTTTGATATTATCTAGGCTGCCCTTGAAGCAGATGGATCCAGGATCTCTTGATCCCAATCTCTGGAAACATTCTCCTAGTTAAGGGTAAATTTAGGCTGGACATCATGGTTCATGCCTGTAATCCCAGAGCTTTGGGAGACTGAGGTGGGTGGATTGCTTGCCCAGGAGTTTGAAACCAGCCTGGGAAACATGACGAAACCAGCCTGGGAAACACGACAAAACCTCATCTTTACAAGAAATACAAAAAATTACCCAGGTGTGGTGGCAGGTGCCTGTAGTCCCAGCTACTTGGTAGGCTAAGGTGGGAGGATTGATTGAGCCCAGGAGGTCAAGGCTGCAGTGAGCCATGATTATGCCACTGCACCCCAGCCTGGGTGATAGAGTGAGACCCAGTCTCCAAAAAAAAAGGAAAAAAAAGGATAAAATTAGACAAAACCTTGCACCCTGTATGTGGCCTGGAAAAGTTTACCGTACCCTTCACAAATGCCAAACAGGCTCAAGAAACAAAAAGGCAGCCAGGCGCAGTGGCACACACCTGTAATCCTAGCACTTTGGGAGGGCAAGGGGGACAGATGGCCTGAGAGCCTGGCCAACGTGGTGAAACCCTGTCTCTACTAAAAATAAAAAAATTAGCCGGGCATGGTGGCAGGTGCCTGTAATCCCAGCTACTCAGGAGGGTGAGGCATGAGAATTGTTTGAACCCAGGAGGCCGAGGTTGCAGTGAGCCGAGATCGTGCCACTGCACTCCAGCCTGGGAGACAGTGAGACTCTGTCTCAAAAAAAAAAAAAAAAAAATCTAAGAAGAGAGAAAATACTTATCTCCAGAAGCAACAAGAACACATGATAGGAAAGGGAGAAACACACCTTGAATACTGTGGAACACATCTTGGTTTTGTGTGGCCTAAAGTTCGTACCATTTTAGAGGCCTTCTTTCAGAAAAAGAATACATAAATAATTGACTATTTCAAGCTTGATAAAAAGATACGGCCTTGTGAACATTTCACTGGGGCACCTCCCAGGGCCTTGGAAAAGTCAGCTTACCTGAGGTGCTCCAAACGTAAGCTCCATTATCTTCATGATAATAAGCCCTGTTATCTTATTTTTGAGATGGCATTTTCAAATTCCAATGAAAATAAAGTAAAACACTGTTAAAAAGCCCTTTACTGAAAAGAACTTGGTTTTAAGATGAGCCTGCCATAGCATATACAAGTCACAGGAAGACATCTCCCTAAACTGGATCTTAAGAAAGCTGTCATGTTCGGGAAAGAGATGCCCCCTCCTAGAAAAGGAGCCAGAGAGAGGCATTCTGGAGAATTTGAAACATGAAGGAACAATTTGATATCTCAAGTTTACTGACCAGAAGTGGCTCCAATGACAAGTGTTTACAACAGGATCTTCATAGAGCCAATAATGGCAATTAGTCTCCAGGATTTGAAGGCGCCCTTCCCGCCTCACTGAGGTGGAATGCCATTTACTCTTGGGCTGGTGACTAATTAGGGGTCTCGTTTGAAGATCAAGGTTTTGCGATTCCTGCTTCTTAATAACATGGTTTGCCTGTCGGCCACCTGGGTCCAGGCGAGACCTCCCTTTCCCTCTCCCCACACAGCAAGCACTGCCTTAGGCCAGAGCAAGTGTGGGCAGGAAACCACAGATCCAGCCTTTTGAGCAATTTAACCTCTTCACCGCCAAGATCCTACAACCCAGTGCTTGATTCAGCTGTGCAAAAATGGAGGCATTTGACCTTGTTTCTCAGGCAGGGCTGAAGGCTTGCCTGTGGTGCAAAGAAACCACCTTGGAGGTGAAATGCTATGCAGCATACTTTCTTGGAGAAGAAGAGAGAGAGAAAGACTCCACTTTTCCAGGTGAGTAGCTCATCAAGAGGCTGTCTGCATTTGCTTCAGGCTGGGCCATTTCCAGAACGCCTAATAGAAGTGACTGGCAAAAGAAGGGGGTAGGCAGAGCCCTGATGTAACTGCTCATGAGACCAAAGAGGCTGAGGTGCCTGCATCTTCAGACATCTTGCCAGGACCCCGTGGCCTTGCTATGTGAGGCTGGGCTGGGGCTACACTTTCTAAGACATGGTGGGGGAGAAGCCAAAACAGCAGGAAAAGTAAGCTGCAAAGAATTAAGCTTGTAACAACTTGGGCAAAGCACAAACAGTGACTGAGGTTGCTCCTTTGGCTGTTGACACACGCTGGCCTGGGTCGGTTGTGGTCACTAAACCCATTAGCGTTCCAATGTGGCAACAGCTAATGCAGCAAGTTCAATGTGTTTTTGTTTAATTTCTAAATGCTGGGTGTATGCCTGCAAGGATGGCCTGCTGAAGACAGACAACTCCACTGCCATAAACACAGTCATCATTGTCAGTGATCTGAAATTCATTTTTTAAACTATTTATTTCTTGGCAGATAGGGGCTAAATGGAGTTTTGCATTTCATGAACTATTTTTTAACTTCAACTTGCTACACACTTCTATGTGTTTTCTAAGCAACCACCAATTCAGAGTTTCCCCGCAACAAAAGGAAATAGTCTTCTCTGGGGGGAGGGGACCATTTTTGGTAGGGGAGAAGGGAAAAGGGAAACATAAACACAAACCAGCAACCAGCTGGGTGAAGTCAGGCCTTTTAACGATATGCTGCCTCTCTGGGCCCTAATCCTCACCTGCAAACAAAGGAACAGGAAGAATGCTACCTCGTTTTGGTCTGCAGAGTTGAAAGTGAAGTGGGTTCTTAAATGAGATACAAAGGCAGATTCAGTCTGGATTTTATATTGTCTTCAATCTTTGTTTATGAAAACTACAGGAATCCTTCCTTCCTTTCTCCTTTCCTTCCCACCCTCCCTTGCCCAACAGACCACCTTAAAGGGAAACAATAACATTCCCCTCCAAAGAATGAGGAGTTTGAGAAAAGCAAGCAGAGGTTATTTCAGTGGGAATCTGAGGCCAGTCACATTTGCACAGTGCCAAAAAGCAGACATACTCTCTGGTTTGAACTTATATTTAAATCCCATGCCAAAGCCTGCCCTTGTAGGTCTGCATGAAGCACAAGGGCCCAGGGCTGAAACCCTTGGTCTCCCATCTCCAGCTCCCACTCAGGGATATAAGTGAACTCTGTAAATGTCTCCACGTGTAACTGGGAGAGCTGTAACAATGGGCCTCCAAGATGGGCCCATTCTCCCATCTGTTATGGGGCTTCCAGCTATCATACATGTTTCCAACTTAGATGTAGACGTACCCTGAGAGGGAATTTCTGTGCTGCTTTTGTCCCTGGTCACTTTGAAGATTAAAGAGAGGAAAATGTGTTTTCATAATATGTGAACTGGCTGGAAGTTTCCCTATTAAATCCCAAAGTCCTGGCAGGCAGGGTTCAGGCTTAACTCCTCTAAGACTGGGTTGGCATCCAGGACTGAAGGCTAGGAAATGCCTTTGGGCAGACCTGGGCCAGAGACCAAGGGACTGGGGCATGACAAAGTGGTCACCTGAGGCATAATGCCAGTGGGTTCCGGGGGCACCCTTGAAGCCACTGCCAAAGCCCAATGCAGCAGGACTGCAGAGTCCCCTGGAAGACCCATGGATATACCAGTGGCCTCAGCTTTGCTACGGAGAACTTGCTTGGGAGCTAGTCCCTTGAGTGATATTGCAAAACTCTACAGAGATGTATGAAATTCCTGATCCGGGGTGCCAATCCATGAACAGAGATTCCTACTGCTGGAGGAGGCACATGGCTGGGTCTTCCTTCAGAGCTTTTGCATAGGTGTTCCCTCTCACTTGGGCACTTTCCCCATCATCCTTTATCTGGCTACCTTCTGCTTATCCTTGGATGTCAGCTTCAATACCACTTCTTCAGGGGAGCCTTCCTGACTTCCCTTCCTGGTCCAATCCTCTTGCCAAACACCGTCTTGACAATTTCTCCCCCCTCTCCCCATATGCACTCCTGCTTCTGGGCAACTTGGCATCAGACATTTGTGTTAGGATCTGATTAATGCCTGACTGCATCCTAGGCTGCGTTCATGAGGACAGGCTATGTGTGTCTTGCTCACTGAAGTGTTTCTTGTGTTCCTGCCACACAGTGGGCATGCAATAAATATTGAAGTAGGTGAAGAAGAGAGCTAACTAAGTTCATTGATGGTAACACACATTTATCAAATGCTGACTGTGTGCCAGGAATAGCCCCAAATGCTTCTGCAGCAGTGATTTTCAACCTCAGCACTACTGACATTTTGGACTAGATAATTTGTTGCTGCCATAAGCACTAAAAGTGAGAGCCGGAGACAGGGCCTAACAGGAGCTTCGTATGTGTAGACTACCTATTACTCCTTCCCCTTTCCATTTTGCTGACTTCAGGTAAGTCACTTAACCTCTCTGAGCCTCAGTTTTCTCATCTCCAAAGTGAAGATAGTAACTCTAACCTCTCCAGGTGGTTGAGAACATAAAACAAAATGAACTCTGCCTATAAAGTCCCTTACTAATGGCTGGCATATAACAGGAGTGCAATGAGAAGTAGTCCTTATTATCTCCCCCTCTATACTCGCCCATACAGCAGAGAGCTGGGCAATAGGACCAGCTTGATCCTGAGTGCAGAAATAACCACAGTGGGGTGTTCATGCCCAGGTTATGTATGGGCTTGGTCATCTTCATGAAAAGATGTGTGCACAGTAAAGAGAGAACACATCACTGGGGCCAGGAAGGAACAGTGGTAGAAGGAACCCCAAGCTTCCCCAAAACTGCAAATTCCCTGCCTCCAACCTGGGGCACCTCTGGCAGCCAGCCACGTTGGCAGCCTCGTACTTTCTCTTGGGCTCTTCCTGTTGGCATAGCCCACCCTGTTTTACAAAGCTCCAGTGGTTTTTTTTTTTTTTTTTTTTCATGGCTCCAGCTGTTAGATAAACTTTCAAGGATATTTCTGTGGCAGGTACAAACCTGGACAGGAAGACTTGGGAAGAAATCCTAAATTAATTATATGTCAACATTTAAGCCACAAGAAGGAGCAGTTGTCATAAATTTTTGGAAGGTTAAAATCCAATTTTAGTTGTAAATGTGAGCAAGCTCACTGACTCACTTGTGAACGGGTGCCAACAAAATGATATATTTTACATTCTTTCACAGCTTGTTTTGGCTAAACACAATGAAAAAAGAGAGAGAGAGAGGAATTACAGTTTTTATTCTTCAGTGGGCTGAGGTGTTCAATCATGCACAAAAGCTACATGTGCCAAAGCAGAAGAAATTAGCTGAGTTTATCCATATTTTTGGGTGCCTTCCACCTTTATAGAGAAAGGAAATGGAGCTGAAAACTCAAAAGACGGCCACAGGTACCGCAGTTGGTCATCGTTAGTGCTGATGGCCCAAGGCTGGACATTCCTGATGACAAATCAAGACTCCTCCAGGAACTACCCTCATGGTTTATCCTCAGTCCTGACCAAACCCTGGCACACTAACAATTTCTAAAGCATCATTTCTCTGAGTATTGGCTTGGGTTGAATGCAATGGTAGGGTGTCAAGAGCAGGAAGGCAGAAGAATTTCCTTTAATTTTCACAAAATTAGGAAGGTGGCTGGGATACAGTTATAATTTTTGCCTATTTTCTCATTCATTCATGCATTCATTCAGTTCTTCAATTCAACAAGCAATCATTTTTGCCAGCCATGGGCCAGGACTGGGGATTTGAGGGGGAGTAGGACATAAACCCTAATCTGGGAGACTTGCAGCCAGGTCAGGGGCACAGATGGGTAAGAAGACAACTGAAATACAATGTGATGTGTGAGTTCATGGGGGCCCAGGATGCCCCGAGACACCTCATATGGTGTCAGAGAGGGCCAGCAAACATTCCTCATAGAAGATGACTTCCAGGTTGAGATGTGAGGGGTGGTGAGTAGGAGCTACCGAGTGGAAGAGGGAAGAGAGGAACCATCTGAGCAGAAAGCAGCATGTGGTAAGGCCTGAAATAGAGCCAGGCCAAAGCTGACCCAGTGAACCTCAAGCACCAAGGACACAACATGGAATGGGAAGGGGGGAGTAGCAGAGTCAGGGCAGAGATGCAAGCAAGGCCAGGCCACGTGGGACTTTATGGCTACATTAAGGAGACTAGATGCTGCCTTCAGGCAGTGGGACACCATGGAAGGGGAGTGACCTGGCCAGATGTGTGACTTCAGGGCAAAGTGGAAGCTGGGTGGAGGCAGGTGGGGACTACATAACCTTTCCTTAAGGGAAGAACAATTCCTTGGGTGGTGTCAGTTGAACTCTGTCCCCTAAAAAGATATTTTCAAGTCCTAACCGCTAGTAAATGTGAATGTGACCTTGTTTGGAAATAGGGTCTTTGCAGATATATTTGAATTAAGATAAGGTTATACTGAATTAGGATAGGCCTTAATCCAATGACTGGTGTTCTTAGAAGAGGAAAAATTGGACACAGAGACACAGAATACATACAGGGAGAAGGCCATGGGGTGATGGAAGCAGAGGGTGGAGCAATGCATCTATAAACCAAGGAATGCCAAGGGTACCAGCAACCACCAGAAGCTCGGAAGAGGCAAGGAAGGGTCTCCCCTAGAGGCTTCGAAGAGGGAATGGCCCTGCCAGCACCTTGATTTTGGACTTCTGGCCTCCAGAACCATGAAAGAATAAATTTCTGTTGTTTTAAGCCAACCAGTTTGTGGTACTTTGTTACAGAACCCCTAGGAAACTAATACAGGAGTCATGGTGGAGTTCTGCTGCACTGCTCCCAATAAAACTGAAACTCCAGGCAGCCTTGGTGCTGAAACCATGGGGGTCCATTTGGGAGAGGGTCATCTGAGATCCAAGAAGCATCTCCTCTTGCTTCTGTCTCCCTTTGACCTGGTTGAGCAACTTGTGCTCAAAGGCCCGCGTCGTGGCTCTCCCAAGGGTGGCTGTCCGTGAGAGAGTTAGCACCAAAAGTCAATATTTGTCCACAGGCAACAGTTGTGTTTGCACTATGAAAGCCCCAACAGGTTTTTTCAGAGATTTCAATTGGCCATGAAGTAACTCTGTCCCAAGGAAACCCCTGAAGATGAGCCAGGAGGGACAAAAGTCCCAAACAGTAGGCTCTGGCAGGCAGCATCACAGGAAGCACGAGGGGACTCGTCCCCGGGCCAGGGTCTTCACGGGGCCTTGGTGCACAATCGCTGTGCTTGTGCTGCTGCTGGGGTTGGACTTCCTCATGCAGCTCAGCCAAAGCCTCCTGGCCCTCCCTTGGTGCTGATCAGCTGTTCCCAGCTGGAAGCAGCAATGTCATCCTCTTCCCAGGACTCCAGCTGACACAGCTGATGGGTCTGCAGGCCAGCAGGAGCACACGTGTCTCCACACCTCCTTTGGGAGGAAGGGATGTCCTGGCCACCCCAGTTCTGGCCTGGATGGGGGCAGGAGAGTCAGGAAGTATCCACATGGCTATTCAGTGCCTAGCACAGTGCCTGGCACTAGGAGGTTCTTAATAAATGAATCAGTGAATGAATGAAGACCTTGGGCTCTTTAATCCAACTGAATTTGAGTCCAATCGTGGCTTAGCCCATGATTAGCTATGCAACCTTGAACAAGAAACTGCACTTTTCTGGGCCTCCACTGCCCCATCTGTCAGACGGAGATAGTAAAAATATCTAAAGCATAGAGGTGTTGAGAGAAATAGCATAGACCAGACATGTTAGTGCTTAGTGGGGGGCCTCACAGTCTTAAGGGCTCAATAAATATTAGTCAATATGACTATCATTTTTATTGTGGAGTTGTATGCCAGTGTAAAAGAAGTGTTCATATTTGCCAGCTCTAGACTTGGGGGAAAAGGATGAGAGAAGAGAACGTAGCGAAATCCTCTTAAGACTCCAGTTCACAAACCCTTTGCTATTACCTTGATCTCAACTGACCGTCATGACAACTCTGTGACATAGGGCAAGGGTTGTCATCTCCACTTCTGATAAGAGAATCTGAAGTTCAGGGCAATTAAGTAACTTAGGCAAACACTTTTCAGTGATAAGTAGCAGAGCAAAACCCCAACCCAGAAGTCTTCCCATGACATCACAACAAAGTACAGAGGCATGCCATACCTCCTCCTGGAATGAATGAATGAATGAGAAACTCAATCGCAAAATGATTCTCAGGTATAGGTGGGAAAGAAAATAAGAGCTAAAAACTATAGGATGGAAGCATCAGAGACTTGGGCACTATTTCATGCGTGGGTTTGGGCAGTCAACTCCCCTTTTCTGATCTCTGTCTCTCAATCTCTTCTAGTTCTCAAATCCTAGGAGGAGGCAATAGGGTAGAGTCAGGGTAGAGTCAGAGGCCACTCCTCAGCTGTGATTTAATGTCCTGAGCCTCAGTTTCCTTACCTGTCCAATAAAGATAGTAACACCCCACAGGCTTCCTTGGAGGATCAGGGGTAATATGTACATGAAAGGGCTTCATAAGCAGCACTGATATTAAAAAGGATGAAGCAAAATATGATGGCAGATTGGAAAAAAGAACCTGAAGGAAATGGCCCAAGATAAAAATGCATTAATATTAACCAACAGGTTCCTTTAGAACAACAAAGCAATGAAACAATAATTTTAGAGAAACAAAACCCTGCCTAGGAACAGCCTGCCAGAGGGAGCGGAAATGAAGGCACAACCAAGTGGCCCTTGGCTTACCTATCTGGAAAATAACAAGATGAAAAAGATTCTTTGTAAACTAATATTTGTAAAAGCCCCACTGGGCTTTCTGCCTGCACAGACTGCCTATTATCTTGGCAAAGGATGAAAACAAGTGAATTCTTATTTAAAATGAGTATGAAGCAAATTCAGGTAAATGTTATCGGCATCATCATGAGCTGCCATTCGCTGAATACCTACTATGTGCTGGGCACTGAGCCAGGGACTGTGCATAGATACTTTATTTGACAAAAAAAAAAATTTTAGCACTCTCACAAGGCAGGCATAATATTCAATCATTCATATATTCATAAATGTTCATGTTTCTTTGTTCAACAGATATTTCTTGAGCATCCATTGTGTGCAGGTATGGTACTGTCTGGTACAGACACAAGGATAAACAAGGTCTAGTCCTTTTCTGTAAGACAAGTCATTTCTGACTTGTTGAGATTATTCTTTATTTAAGAATTCCTTGTGGGGTCTGCTCTATGAATTACAGGATGTTTAGCAACATCCCTGGCCTCCACCCACTCAGATGCCAGTAGTACCCTAGTTTGATAACGAAAAATGTCTCCAGACCTTGCCAAATGTCCCTGGGGGTGGGGAGGGATATGGGGATGGGGTTGCTCCCGGTTGAGAACTGCTGACTTAGATCTTAATTTCCACATCTTTTAAGATGAAGACAGTGGATCTCAGAGAGGCTAAATCCAAGGTTGCAATCAAGTATGGGATTCTGCCATATGAAGCAGAAACCAGAGCTGACCTTTGAAGTTGATAGGGTTTTGTTTCTGCATGTTGAGTTCCAGGAGATGGGAGTCCCCAGGCCATAGCCCTGGGATTCTGTCTCATTTACTATCAATGCATATCCACCCTTCAAGTCTACCTTTGGATTCTTTTTTTCTCTCCAAATCTGCCAAATCTTAACCATCATAAACATTTAATTATTGAAAGTTGAAGGAAACTCTAGCTAATCCACATTCTGAACCCAAGACATCCCTGCATATTGCTATGAATGTGAGTCAATTTTCCAGTGAGCTCCTGGATTGACTATGGAGCACAGTTCACGTTTTGACTCCTTAAACAGTAAGTCAGTGAGGGTGTACGGAAACTCTTAGAGGAAAGAGAACTGGGATTATTACATTCCCAAAATATCTTGGAATTTTTAAACTTCAAAGTTGTATTGCAGTTCCAAGAGTAGCCTAACCTTTACAAAGGTTACTTTGCAAATATATGCAAGATAAAGAATTCCCTGGAAGAATGTCCACCAGGATCCTAAGCCTACATTTATATTTAATTTATAATCACCCTGAAAAAAATGGGTTCCTCTTTCAAGGAGCTCGCATTACCCTTGGACTGACATTGTGCAAAGGAGTGACAGGTGCAATTTACGTGAATAATCACCATAATCAGCCACACTTAAGAACAAACCAGAGACGTGCTCTTCAGGGGGAGAAACTGCTGCATCACACAGTCAACTACTGCTCCCTCAAATGGTGCCCAGGCCACTGGCTGCTATTGACAATCAAATGCAGAAGACACAGGAGAAGTAATATGGCTGACTACTGTGATTCAAGTACTCTGGCCTGGGAGACCTGAGTTCTAGTCCCAATATTGCCAAACTCATTGTATGGTCTGGAAGACTTTTTCTTCACTGGGCCTCAGTTTCCCCATTTTCAAGATTAGGTCATTGGTCTAGATGGAATAAAGGCTCCTCTTTATTCTCTTCCTAAAGCAAGAGGAATAAAGGATTCCTCTTTGGAGATGATGTCACTGGTAGCAGTAATATCTCACAGTAGGCATTTCATGAATGAATGAATCAACAAATGAGTGGAGTTTTCCTGCAACTGCAATGCTGAGCTGCCTCTGCCATCTTATTTAATTCAAAACCAAGGATACCTTATTCTGGGGAATAAATGATGTTTAGGTTTATGAAAACCATGCTATGGACCAGGGATTGGTAAGATAGCAAAGGGCCAGACAGTAAATGTGCTAGGCTTTGCAGGTCTTATGATCCTGTCACAGCTACTCAATTCTGCAATCGTGGCAGGAAAGCAGTCACAGACAATAAGTACATGAATGGGTGTGGCTGTGATCCAGTAAAACAAAAACAGGAGGCAGGCTGGATTTGGCTGTGGGCTGCAGTCGGCTGGCTCCTGGTATGGCTTGAAACGTCTGACCTGACATGTTCTCTCCATCTTGATCAGTCCCTGGTGCTCAGGGCCTGGAGAGCAGCACAGCAGCTTCCCAAGATATCTGCAATAATTATAGCCCCATCTCTCCCTCAGCTCATCTCCTATGGTTGGAGCCTACAAAAATCTCCCTGCGAGAACCTCCTTTTCAGCTCAGGAACAAGTATCTCCAAGATTATTGGCATCAAAAGCCATACTTTCTCCATGCGTTAGGCTGGGGCCTCAAGAGCTGGGAAATCAGAAGGAAGAAATGGTTGGAAATAGAGCACCTGTGCACAGGAACTTGGCCCACCACTGTCACTTGCTCATCACTGGGAAATCAAATCCAAGTGTTAAGTGTTACGAAGCCTAATTATTACAAGCAGCAGTCAGAGGTGGGGGTGGGCATCCCCCCTCCACCAGAACACCTTTCCATCTCACACAGGAGCACGGTTTGGATTCTAACAGGACTATGAAGGAATAATTTGATCGGGAGGTCATCGCACAGGGCTCCAGAGCCCAACTGACCTTTTGAAGTCTGCTCAGGGAACCTCATTATGTTGCATTTTGGAGTCGATCCCTTCTCTGATTTTTTTCCAAGTCTTTTTGCCCTTTCATTCCTTTGATGGTTAGATTTTTGCTTGATAGAGAGGCACAGGCTGAGGGGAGGGAGAGCCATGGAAGGAACCAGGAGGAAAGACTTGATTATTAAGTGAATGATCCACTCTAGGGGCCTTGGCCTGCTACTCCTTGGGCTTGACTTGCTGGCTAGGATGTCTTTAAGGAGCTGTAATTCTCCAGAAGGCAAGACTCCCATTGGTTACCAACACAATTTGGAATGAATTGATGCAACCCTCAAGTCACAAGCAGGAGCCCTTGCCAAAGCAAGCACAGTTTCCCTTCTTGTAAAGCAGTAATTGGGAGTAACTTCTAGGAAAAGGAAGCTGATCCTTCCCCATGACAAGCCACCCCTCCCTTGCCCCTGAACATTAATGTGTTTGCTCAGCCCACTGTCTGCCCCTGATGTGCATTTGTGTCCTTGCTGCCATTTTTCATGCTAATGACTCCTGACTTCCTGCTAGCAGAATGTCAGAGCACAGAGAAGTCCCCAAAGATTCCTGGTTCCCTTTTAAAAGATGATGAAAGGTGACCTGGTGTATAACCACATGCACAAATCACAGATACTCACGATCTCATCAGGAAAGGAGGTCATTCTCCCTCTGATTTCAACCTGCTGATGGGAACCCTCAGCCAGGCCCAGGATTTCAGCTCAGCGATAGAAATGAATTCCCCTTCCTGGCTGCCTTTGTCGAATGGTTTGCCTTTCCCTGGGCCACCACTGGCAATGACAGGACATAATCCTCCTCTTCTCTCCTTCCCACCTCAACATATTTGAAGAGTTTTAAGGCACATAGCAAACCTGGTGAAGGGGCTCATCTCACTTGCTTGAATGAAAGCCTTGGCAGTTTCGCAGTCATTAATCATGGCTGTAAAAAGACTGGCAAATAAAACTCAAGGAACTGTCCTCGGCTTCAGCCTTCCATGCTGATATTCCAGATTCAAGGCTGCTTTATACCAAGACTACGCAAATAGAGCTACACAAGATCTTTGGCTTGAGCTACATCACCCTTTTCATAGGATTTCTGGATCTCCTTGGTGGCATAAAGATATCAAGGGCCATTTCAAAGTAACTCTGACTAGGAGAATTCCCTGCATGAATGGGAAGACCATAGAGCTGACTTCTAGTTCAGGCTAGACCTGCATCCTTGTCCCAGCTTTAACATGAACACAGAGGGTGACCTGGGTTGAGCTGCTCAACGTTTCACTGCCTTGATCAGAGCTCCCCAGCTATATAGGTCTCTTCCTCTGAATCTAAGGACCGACACAATATGATTGCTTTCATTTTATGATTACAAACAACACCAGCAACAGGGACTAAGCTGGGGCTTGTCATGGGGTACAAAACTCAGTGAGATTCATCCCTGCCCTCAAACAAACAAGCAAACAAACCTCTATGTCCAGTGATATCTCAAGTATGTAATAATGATGACGATACTTTTTGAGCATGAACCAGGTGTCAAGTACAGTTTCTAAGGCTGTTTACATATATTAACGCACTCAATTCTCCCCAAGTCCCTTTTCAATACATACTCTTTTTATTCTCATTTAGAGATGAGAACACAGAGGACTGAACAGGTCAGGACCATTGTTCAGGGCCACAAAGTTATTAAGTGGTACAGCCAGGACCAAACCCAGCCTGGCCACTGGGCCCTAGTAAGCTGCACCCCCATCTCATGGACATAAAGGTACTATCAGGCTCCTTCTTTACTTGTGCTGTGTTCTCAGTTAATCGGTTCACTTTTACATTTATTCCAAAATATTTTAATAAACTCTTGGTAGAGCCTGACCCAAGGCTGGGTGCTGGGATGATAGCAGCAACTGAGAAAGACAAGGTCCCTGGCTCTCACAGGGCTTTCAACGGAACAGGAAAAAAACAAACAAACAAAAACTGCCTGAAACCCTTCTTCTCTGGTGAGGGCCCTTGGCCCCTAAAATCCTGGGGCATGAGTCAGAAAATGTCTTCCTAGCTGTCAGGACTGGCTAACCTGCAAAGACAGGGTCAACACTGGAAGGACCACAGGGTAAGGCCTCATTTTACCAAAATATGCTTCTCGCCTAAGGGATTTTCACAGGGTTAGCAAATCCTGTGTCCGTCAGGGGACAGAGTGAGATCTGGCAGGAGTGTCACAGATGGGAGAGGCCAGGCTGTGGCAGAGGCCTCCTGGCAACAGAGGCTGAGTCCAAGAAGGGCTCAGGGTGCTTGGGTGAGAGACGGGGCAGAGGGAGAAGAACATGACTAACCATTCTAACCAGGGCTCATGACCGTTCAAAGGTTCCCTCATCTCCCTCTGTGTCCGGAATGATACTGACAGTATTCACACGAATCACCTTAGGAACCAACGTTTGCTGCATGCCCTGTACCAGGCTTGACACTAAGCACACAGCATGTCTTTTGGCATTTAATCCACACTACCTCCCTGTAAGGGGAGTGATCATAGTTCCATCCAAACCCCGAGTCCACTCCCTCAGGCAAAAGGAGCAAAGAAGCCAAAGAGTAGAAGACTGCCAAGAAGAGAGGAGGTGAGAAAGGAAGGTGATGGGGTGAGGGCAGTGGGTAGGAGACCCAGAGGCGGCTCAGGCCACTGGGGCTGGTGTGGAGAGATCAGGATGCCAGCAAACCAAACAGCAACACACGTGTGCTGCTCCTGGGGAGATGCTTCCATGGGAGTCTCAGACCCGCTCCTTGCTCTCCTGACTCTCACATGCCCGCACTTCACCCAGGACAGCTCTGCATTTTCTCCCTTCCAGATGCTGAGGTTCCTTATAACATTTCCTTCGAATTCAAGATTTCATATTATTTTGATGATGCAGAGACAGTGAAGCCCAGCGAGGGGCAGGTCACCCAGGGAGTGAGTGGTAGCGTGGCGAGCTGGATAAGAATGCAGCCCCTACAATTGGACAGGTCAGGATGGAATCCCAGCTTGGCCACTTACTGGTCATGTGCCTTGGGCAAGCGACATCCTCTCCGAAAGCCCAGCTTCATCCTCAGGAAAAGGATAACAGGAACTCCACACTGGATGGATGTGAAGATGTGATGAGATCCTGTACTGAAGAACTTAGCACAGTGGGGTGCAGTGGCTCATGGCCATAATGCCAGCACTTTGGAAGGCCAAGGTAGGAGGATTGCTTGAGTCCAGCAGTTCAAGACCAGCCTGAGCAACATAACAAGACCTCATCTTAACAAAAAGAATAAAAATAAATTAGCCTTAGCCAGGCGTGGTGGCATATGGCTGTGGTCCCAGGTACTTGGGAGGCTGAGATGGGAGGACTGCTGCAATCATACCAACGTACTCCAACCTGGATGACAGAGTGAGACCCTGTCAAAAAAAAAAAAAAAAGGCCAGGCTTGGTGGCTCCCGCCTGTAATCCCAGCACTTTAGGAGGCCAAGATGGGTGGATCACTTGAGCCCAGGAGTCTCAGAACAGCCTGGGCAACATGACGAAAGCCTGCCTCTACAAAAAAATTACAAAAATTAACAGCATGTAGTAGCACACGCCTGTAGTCCCACCTACTTGGGAGGCTGAGGTGGGAGGATCAATCGAGCCTGGGAAGTCGAGGCTGCAGTGAGCTGAGATTACGTCACTGCACTCCAGCCTGGGCAACAGACCTCGTGTCAAAAAAAGAGAAGGACCTAGTACAGGACCTGGTGCAAAATAATAGCTCAATAAATAGTAGTGAGTATTATTTTCAGTCCTATTCAAATTCTTCCCTTTTCTTGGGGTCAAGCTGCAATCTGAAGGAGCACAAGGTGATGACAGGAGGTTCCCCAGTCATTTCAAAACCAGGACCCAAACAGAACAGTGATGGCCCCCATGGTTTTGAGAGGAAATGGCTGAGCATCATGGTCAATGGAAGACATAACGGTGAAGAGGCAGCATCTGCACAAAGAATCCAGTGGCTGAAGTCTAGCAGCTGAAACAGCCAGGGACACAAGTCACTCGACCATCAACCATCAGTCACTGTGGCCATTTCCACCAGGGTTCCTGCTGTGGCCATGACTCATCCCAGGTGTATCCAGGATGTAGTATTTCATGGTGTGTGAGTTCAGTATGTTATTTCAGTGGCTCAGAGCTTCATTTCCCAACCAGCTTTCCAAGTGGGGCTGAAACATGTTCCCCTTCATCTTGCCTGACTTGTAGTTTCTTCAGCTCCTCTTCTAAGTGACAGGAGAAATATCCTCTGGAATATTGGAAAGCAGGAAACTACTGTACAAAAATAAATGGGTACCTTAAGCCAACTTGCTGGAATTCCACTGCATGACTGCCTTCCAAATTCAACTAAGGCCCAGAGCTTGTGTGAGTGCCAGCAGGTCCAGGAATATTATTTTTAGAGAGAAAGGCTGTGGGTGGGTTTTGGGGAGAGAAGGTGGAAGTCTATTCTAAGCCACAATTGAGGGGTGTTGCCAGAGCAAAAGATTTATACCCAGGAGACAAATGTTTGGAGAAACTGAGGTTCTGATGACTGGTGTGAGCCACCGGCAGCAGATAACAGTGGAAAAGGTGGGAGTAAAATAGAGGTAAGGCTCACACCCATGAATGGGGCTGTCTGTACCCTCTTCCTAAAGCATGACCTGTGAAAGGGGCTAGGACCATCTCCCCCATCCTATGTGGACCTTCTTCCATTCCTTATATTAAAACAACACAGGCTGGGCGTGGTCGCCTATTATCCCAGCACTTTGGGAGGCCAAGGTGGGCGGATCACCTGAAGTCAGGAGTTTAAGACCAGCCTGGCCAACATGGCGAAATTCTGTCTCTACTAAAAATACAAAAATTAGCCGGACATGGTGGCGGGTGCCTGTAATCCCAGCTACTCAGGAGGCTGAGACAGGGAGGGAGAATTGCTTGAACCTGGGAGGCGGAGGTTGCAGTGAGCCGAGATCACACCACTGCACTCCAGCCTGGGCAACGAGAGCAAAACTCCATCTCAAAAACAAAACAACAACAACAACAAAAAAACAATAGTTTTAAGTCTCAAATTCTAATCCCATTGTCTCTGATGTGCCCAGAGTAAACTTTCTAAAACATACAAATTGGCATAAGTCCCTTTGGTAGCTCCTTACTGTTCTAAGGAAATACCCACAAGACCAAGTCACCTCCTTAAGCTTCTTCCATCTTCCCAGCTGCCTCCACTCTCTGATTTAGCTTTCTCCTGTCCTCCTTCACTGGACAAACTCAAACTCACTGTCCAGACCTCAGGTTAGACAACACTGCCTCTGGGAAGCCCTCCCTGAGCCCTGGTCTGAGTTAGATGATTGTTGCCCTTGCTTCCAAGGCCCCGTACCTCCCCAACCCTGAGACTTCCCAGACGTAGCTGTGCGGTCCTCCCAGCTGGGCTGTGAGCTCCATGGAGACAGGGATCCTGCCTACTCGGTCTGCCACTGTGGCCCTAGCACTGTGCCTGATACAGAGTATGTGCCCAATAAGCACATATTGTATTGATTGGCTGAGCTGACTTGATGCAGGGCCTGGAGTAAGGTCTTGCAGGACCCAAGTTTGTTAGTCTCTGTCAAAGGAGTTGAAGTCATAAATTGAGAAATTGTGAAACATAAAAATTGAAACTTATTTAAAGAGTTTCGTAGTAATAAATCTGAACTTCCTGGCCCCTGCTAAGGGGCTACACTAAACAAACGGGTGTGGGAAATAACTGAAGGGTAGGAGCCCCTACCATCTTACTCAGATATCAAGACAACCTACCAGAAGTGGGGCAAACCCTAGATCACTCTCAGAATGCTGATGGCCTCCCAGCCCCCTCGGCCCAGTGCCTCAACCCCGTCCTACAGGAAGGGACTGTGAAACCTCAAGCTTTTGCCTTGAAATTAGAGGCATCTAAACCTGTCACCTAAGAACTTTCGCCACATATAATTATTGACCTGAGACATCAGTCACATTAAAAAATTCAATGCTGACAGAGGGCAAAAGAAAAGCGTCTAGAATATCAAAAGGTAAAGGGTCCAGATTAAAAAGAGAGATGCAAGGAGGGCTTTTCCCAAGTCACAGCCTTTAATTGACTCCAGTCTCTGCTGAACACCTTGGCGTCCTTTGCCAGCATGCTGGGAGGCCGCATGGGCTCCACCGACACCGGTAACTCACTGCAGACCAGCGGGGCTGGCCGGCCACATTTCCACAAGAAGTCTCCCCTCACAGCCATGCTGGGTGCCACAAGCAATCAATGTCTGCAAATGACAAGTTTGCTGAAAGAACAGTCTTAGAAACCAGGATAGGTTTGGAGCATAGAGGTGGAAGACGATGGTTTCCCCCCCTGAAGTGACAGACTCCAGAAAAGCATCTAGAATATCAAAGGGTGAGATACCAGGCCTGAGACTTAACGAAGTCTGGTCCAAAGGGAGGCTGGCTGGTGTTTTTCATTCAAAGGTCAGTTGAGTAAATGTTATAGTCAGCTAGCTGATTTCTTTGGATCCTAGCTTACCCATCTGTGAAGTGATTCTAGAAAAATGATCGGTGTCTCTGCTCCCCGACTCGCACTTTAGAGCAGAGGCATACTTTTAAATTAAAAAGCTCTCCCCGCTTACAAAGGCTGCATACTCTGGGTCAACCTCTAGTTTAGTACAAATGCAGCTTTCCACTCTTTCAGATACAAAGAAATCATAAGCTGTCTTGGAAGGAAATTAAAAAGACAAACCAGGGTAATTCTTGTAGAGAGCCTTAGAAACCAAAGTCCTGCTTACTCTGCATGGAGGACACAGGTCATGAGGACACATTTCAACATCTTTCCCTTTTGAAAAAAGTTTCATTAGCATCTTAGTTTTCTGCAAAGAAGTCCAAAAATGGACCAAAGGGCTTCTGAACCACAAATGAAGGCTGTGCCTATTACTCTATTAGAACACTGCATCCCCTTCCCCCAATTGCGGACGAGCCCACCACCCTCCAATTGTCTCTCTGGTAGGTGTGTGGGAGGCGGTGGGGAGGAGATTGTATGATCAGCATGTCAAATCCTTTGAGGTCATTTAGGATAAAACTGGTATCAAAAGGAATGTCAAGCAGAGAAATCTAAATAATTAAAATCTGTTAGTAGCTATAGACCATCATCTCTTCCTGTTTGGGGTTTTTGTCCCTGGCCTTTTCTTTTTATCTGAATTTCACATCAACCCGTGAGATTTTGCTGGGCAAAACCAGCTTTCCTCCAGTTGCTGGGCTGTGCTTATTAAATGTGGATGAATGTCAATGTCACCCATCTCATTAATAATTGATTTCCAGCCCTGTCTCTATTTGCAGAGCAGAAGCCACTTACAGAGTCTATTATTCCAACTCTGTGTGTGGGTCACAGGGCCAAAGGGGTTCCACCAGGGGTAACCTTTGTTGGCAGCAATCACCATGACAACACCACACATCTCCAGCCTCAACTCGGATGCCGAGAAGGTGCTGAGTCCTGTCCCACACTGGGGACTGGGTTGGAGTTTGCTGCGCTAAATGGCTGTGTGAGCAAAGCTGCTGGCAAAATGGGATTTTTCCATTTTAATTTTTAGTCTTTGTTGAACGGCATTGCGTGCTTTAACGAACGCTTTTGGAAACCACCATGGAAAAGGGCATTTTTGGATTCACAAAACAAAACCCTGTTTTTCTTTCTGTCTCCTCAGGCAAAAAATAAAGACAAGGTAAATCCCTCTCTGGCTGCTTTTAGGTCATTTTAAGTCAATGAAACCTATATAATCCCGGAATAACCGATTGTTTCTTTTCCACCCGACCAAAGACTGCAAGCTTAGATGGGAAGAATTACTGTTTTGCTTTTAACCGCCTATTAATATTTTGTCCTACCAGCCACGCTTCCTCTATCCCTCTATCCCTTCTTTGAAGATTTCCCCCCATTAAATTAATGTTTAACAATTAAATGAAGCCAACGGAGAGTTTTGAAAGATCCACACAATTGTGGATTGGGTGGGCGTACAGAGCCTTTAATTTAAGTGGGAAATGTTTCCCAAATTATGGCCTGAGACCTCACAGCTAATTACATAATTTTCTGCATCTGAAAAAACATAAGCTGAGAAAATACAAACAGAATCACACTGATAATAAGAGAGAAAAACCTGGAAGTGGGTCCATTCATTATTTTAGAAAACAGAGCTACTAGGCATGAAAGAAGCACAATGTTAGAGTATATTAACGAAGGGTGCATAAAAGCCCAATGCTGGAACTTCGCATGGCTTCAGAGATCATCTGCCCCATGTTCATCAGGTTGAGGCTGGACACTGAATTGAACAAATCCACTTGGTCAAATACATCTGAGAAATAGCATATATTTTATCCATGCTTGGAGATTTTCTAAGACGTATTTTCTTTTCTTTTATTTTCTTTTTTCTTTCTCTCTCTCTCTCTTTTTTTCTTTCTTTTTTTTTTTTTTTTTTTTTTTTTTTGATGGAGTCTTGCTCTGTCGCCCAGACTGGAGTGCAGTGGTGCGATCTCAGCTCACTGCACGCTGCACCTCCCAGGTTCACACCATTCTCCTGCCTCAGCCTCCCGAGTAGTTGGGACTACAGACGCCTGCCACCATACCAGGCTGATTTGTTTTTTTGTAATTTTAGTAGAGACAGGGTTTCACCATGTTAGCCAGGATGGTCTTGATCTCCTGACCTCGTGATCTGCCTGCCTCGGCCTCCCAAAGTGCTGGGATTACAGGCGTGAGCCACTGCGCCCCACCCTAAGACACATTTTCACACTGAAAGCTCTAAGTCCTGCAATAAAAACAATATATTTAATGTTGTTTAGCCCAGAATTGGCCAAATGTTTGTGATTATAGATTTTTTAAAAGAATACTTATTTCAGTAATGTTTATTAAAATAATAAAAATATTTTAAATGCTCATTGTAAATAATACTAATTTAATATATCCTGTGGGGATTTTTTTTTTTTTTTTGTAAACTTTTTACAGTTCTATGGAACCAGTGTTTATCAGAATATATTTGGGAAATGCCAACTGGATCCCATGCCTTATAAACAAAGATACTGAGGCCTAGAGAGGAAAGGATTTGTTCAGGATCCCAAGGGCATCTTAGGGAGTTCTTGGGAGATAAGGATCCTGGATCGCTGCATTTCCAGGCTAATGCCTGTGGATTAAACCTCATTTATGCCCTACCTGAGGTTATATCCTACCTGACAATACAGACTAGATGCTCTTTAAGATCAGGATAAGTCAATGTGCCATTCTGTGACATCTTTAAAAGACTGTGATTTTTAAGGGAGAAAACAGAATGCACTTGGGGAACTGGGGAGCAAGTTCATCAGAATAGGTGCCCACTGAGAATTCACATAGATCATTTCACACCTTACTCTTCTACTTTGGGCAACAACTTGTTGTGGTGAGAATGTTCCAGACTGAGAACTAGGGGACTAAGCCAGTATTATTTAAGGCTGATCTTTTCTGCAAAGTATGGATGCTGAGATGGCTAGGGAATAGAGGTAAGAAATGGTCTATGCTCATTTGGGAGAAGAAAATCCAAGATTTAATGAAAGCTCAGCCACTGAGTTGCTCTCTGAGCTCAGGATGGTGCCTTCTTGTCCGGGATCTTAGTCTCCCCATCTGTAAAACGAAGGAGGTGAACCAGAGTATTTTGGAGGCCCCTCCCAGCTTTAACGTTCTTTATCCCACTCTCCTGGGAGTGACACTCAAAGCCACATTCACACAATGACTGTACCATGAATAGCTGCTTTTAAAGTCAAAATTCTCTTATCTGGGAAAGAAATGTCTTTGTTCCTTTCAAGAGCAAGGTCAGTTCGGACCGGCACCCCACAGACCAAATGCTTATGCAAAGCTTATGCCATTTCTGGGAGGCACCTAGGGCAGTCCTGGAAGGGTTGGCTGTTCCTTACTTCCCAGTCACTGCAAGACCCTCAGATAACAGCTTCTCTTATTATAGTCTGGCTCCCACTCCCTATGAAGAAAGTGAGAGGTGCAGATGTGCAGGAGCCAACAAGTATATATATAAACATCAAAGTTTTCTTTGGAAGGGAATTTCAGAAACTCAAGAAAAGTCAGATCCAAACTTTGGGTTCAGCTCAGGTCTTCCTCCTTAACAAAAGCCCCATTCCTGAAATGCTATCTGAGAAAAAACAATTTCATTCAGGACATCAAGCCGTGAAGTCATCAAGTCTTGAAAAACATCAACCTCCCAGACCACCATCTGTTATGCAAGCTACATGCAATGTACAAGGTTGCTAATTTTTTTGGCCAGAACTTCAAATTCCATGCTTTTAAAAATTAAGATGACAAACAACTTGGTTTTACAAAGACGCTGAAACAGCCAAAAACAGTCTGGCTCCCCCTTAGGTCCCAGAAAAGCCACAGCTTTGATGAAAGGCCTTAGGTTGTCAAATCACGCCATTGGTGCTCGCTGGGGTTTAGACCCCGTAGCCTACATGACAAGAGCCCTGGTGGTAGGGTTGACTTTCCATTGTAAATAAAAGCCATTGGCTTTCCATTGCAAATAAATGCTAGGAATGGTCATTCCCATTCTTGGCTCTTATCTGGCTTGTGCATCTGACTATCTCTGACTATCTCTGGTAGGGAAAGTTCATGGGAAGGTTTAACAATTCATCAAGAGCAGCTTTCACAATCTTTATGTTGTCTTCTCCAACATAAAAATTGGCCATTCCTAAGCACATACTATACACAGAATCCAAAAATTGTGAGGCTAAGTGTCTACACAAAATGGATTGTCTAGAAAGCCAGGCGAGGACTGTCATGAGACTCCAGATAGTAATCCAAGCAGGAATGTTTTGCCCTGGTTAGTTTTACAAACGTTGAATATAGACAGGTCAATGTGTTAATATGCCAAGTCAATGTTTTTTGAACCAATTCAGCCAAAAACATATTAAGGCAAGTTGCTAGACTTGAAAGAGTCTTAAGAATTTTCACAATTTTTGCCAAACTACCCCTTATTGAGCATTTTCCAAGCGCTGTGAAAAGCAATGACATATAGCATCTTTAATCTTCATAGTAATTCTGCAGAGTTGACGTTTTAAACCCATTTTACTGTTGAGAAAATTGAGACAGAAAATCTAAGAATCTATCTAAGATCGCAGGATTTATATAGGATGAAGCCAGGAACCAACCAAATGTACACAGATAAGTTCTTTTCCCTATATCCTACAGAAGAGGTCAGTTCTTTTTCTTTTCAGTACAGCTATGGTGGAGGTCACCACTCCCTTGTGCCACGTTAATCCCCCAATGCTGAGATCATTGAAGATTGTATCAAAAATGGGAACATTGCCCAAGATGGTAAATACATCTCATCTAGAATGTTATTAAGACAGGCTTGCCATGGCTGCCTGGAGAACCATACTCACTGTGGCTCTGTGAAAAGAGTGCAGAAGGTATTGGTTAAGCCAGCCTTGGGACTGGAGAGTAGTGGCACCTGTATTACAGATTTCTGACTCTGAACTATGGATATTAATACTGTCAGGACCAAAACTCATCTCTCTCTCTCTTTCTCATGCCTTGAAAAAGCAACACGTTGAGTCCGTAACTCATGGCACCAAACTTGACTTCCCCCAAAACTTACTCTGGCAGTGAAATATCTGAGAACAGAAAAAAGGAATATGAAAAGATGGGACAGATCTTTCATGAAAAAATGAAGAGCTTTGAGTGTCTTTCAGATTATTTCCCCTTTCTCCCCTTCTCATTGACAGCAGCTCTGGGTAACCTTTTTCATCCAAATTTTTGTCTACTTCAAGGTTACCCATAGCTTCCCTAACAGCAGACTAGTTACCTCTTGACTAAAAGACAAAAGGAATAGTCAAAACTTCTCTAAGCCTTCTAATGGATTCCATAGTGGCCAATACTTGTCTTCCTTCTGCTTTCTATTTCCACCCAGAAAGGTTCAGGTCTTCCTAAAACAACCACTCTCAGCTTCTACCCCTTAGAGAAGGGAATCCTCTGCAGGGATTCCTCCTGGGCTGTTACCACTGGGATGATCTGCTAGGTCCCACATCTGCTCAAAGCCTCCATATCTCTGGTGTTTCACTGCAAGTCCATGAGTCTCCCTTCTCCTGGCCTGCCTTCCTGCCTTCCTGCACCCGCTGTGTTTAATCTGTCCTTCCATCTATCCCTGAACTCCATCAGACCTCGTCTCTGGGGGAGTGGAGGAGTAAGGCTGAAATAACAGGGGCTGTGGAGGAGCTGTCTCGGATGGGGGCAGCAGCAAAAGGCTGTCCACGTGTAAGCAGTCAAATATCTGCACTTGGAGGGAGAGCTACAGGGAGACAGGGTTACATCAGCCAGTAACATCGAGGGCCAGAGCTTAGACTAATAGGAAGAAATAAAGAATGGAAATGTTTCGGCCGGACATCAAGAAAAACATCCCGATGAAAAAGGAAGGCTCCCACGTGGGGGATGTTCTCATAAAGATGAGTGAGTGGCCAGGTCACTGCAGCGCTCTCCCCAGCCTGGCTCCAGTGCGGTCACAAACGAGGCCTAGTGGCCTCAGGCGGGTTAGCGGTTGGCCTCCCTCCAGTTTCCCTTCCCTTGGAGAAGACCACAGAGATGGTTCATGCAGATGACATGGTGTGTGGTCACCTTCACCCTGTAAGTCTCTCTTAGTTGTAAGAATGAAGGAGGCACTTAAGCTAAATCAAGAGAACGGGAGCTTGGCTGGGGACGGATTCACCCAGTCCATAGGATCTGGAGGAGGGTCAGGAGCTGGGGCAGCATGGATCTCCTCGTTCCTGCTGCGCTGTCTCTGTGTGCCATTTGCTTCTCTCTACGTCCCTCTTCTCTGGTTCCTCGGAACTACAGCTTGCATGTCATGGCTGCCCTGGCCACTCTCCCACTCTCTCTCGAAGCCTTACCTCTCACCACTAATCAACTCCACCTCCCCACGATCCTCAATTCAGATTCTCAAGAACAAGAACCTGCCTGGCCTATTTCATCCGTTCAGGGAGGCCGATTCACAGGAGTCCATCCAGATGATGAGGTGGCTGCTGTTGGTCCCAGTGCTCAGCCCTCATCCAATCAACCATGGCTGGGGCAGGGCAGCATGGGACTAAGCAAGGCTGCCCAGGCAGGAGAGGCTACCGATGGGGATGAGAGTGATGTGGGCCTTTAGATACCTCTGGGCCTGTCTGGGACGCTCCCTATTCCCCTCTTCAAGCACCTAAGTCTAGGCCTCCAAGCTTCAGGTCTCAGCCTCCCAATTAGAGTTATACTCCTCCTTGAGCTCCAGGGCCCTGCTGCTTGGGTTGGGCAAGTGTTCGACAGACAGAAAAGGGCTGTCCTCCCACTCACACATGTGGCCCAGTGATGGGCTACTGGGTTTATTAGGCCTCAACGACAGCATTTTATTAGTGACTGATGTGCCATTTGGCCTCCATTCCTTACCTCCCACCCCCAGCTCTATCACATCCACCCTTTGTCTCTGGCTGGAAAGAGGCCAAATCCTTCTCCACCTAAGAAGTTCTCCACCTCCCCCACCCCATATCAGTGGGGGAGGATGACGGGGCAGTCCTTCTAGGAATTGTCCCCTGGGGCATTATTTGGTTTCCTCTCACTTACCAGAGTCACTTAGGATAAATCTGAATTCTGAGTTGTTTGCCAAATGCTGGATCCTCGCTGGATACTCCTTGGATTCCTTGAAGAATTCAGCATAATATAAAACAGCTTAAAGTCAAGAAGCCCCTTCTGAGACCCTTACCAAGGGAGGCAGGAGGAGGGACAAAATACAACAATCACTATCATTCCACACAACCATATACAAATCATCATAGCAATGGATGCTGCCTGTTACGTGCCTGACTCCGTGCTAGGGCTGTTACCTCATCATATCCTCAAACAACAAAGGAAGAATTACATCTCACAAAGTGTAAATTCTTTGCCAAAGGGTCCTGTGACCAATGTCAGACAAGAGATTTGACATCCATATCTTTGCTAAAGGTGTCTACTTCTGTGGTTATCATTGTGACGTTTCCTTCATGTAATGCAAAATAGCCCCTACTTTCCACATCTACTGAACTGCACCTTCATCTGTATTGTCAGTCATCATTTTCCTGGCTGTATAAGTGCTTTCTCCAAAAGACTTCTCTCCCATCTCATCAATCACCAAACCCTGATGCTTTTATTCTTTAGAATATCTCTGGAAACCAGTGCCCATTCTCCATCCTCACTCCACCACGGCCACATCTCTCTTCTAGATTCTTGCCATAGTTTGCTAATAGAACTCCCTGCGTCAACATCCTCCAGCCCATCCATACTCCAAACTCCAAATGGCAACCAGAGAGCTCCTTCTAAGACGCAAATCCAATTACATGACTCCACTGGGGAGGGATCAGAAGGATGGAGTGGTAAGAAGCAGTGAGCCACCAGGACACGCAGTGAACACTGATGTCCTACTGCATTTCTGCAGAGCGGCGGAAGGTGTGGGCTGCTGTGCGTCGGATCACGTGGGAATGCATGGGATCAGGTAGAATGGATGGGTCACAGGAGTGCCAGGCATTGTAAATGGGGAAGAGTTGAACATCTCAGTAACTGAGGAACAATTTATCCTTTCAGTGGGACTCTTAGGGGTAATCTGCTTCCATTGGAGACACTCCAAGAAGCACTCACAGAAAACCTCTGCCCTCCAGTCAGGAGTTTCTGTGTGTGTCATATGGAGCAGACAGAGTACACCAACACTGCAAAGAACAGGACAGGAGGAGACTTAAAAGAGGCAAAGAGAGGATGGCCAGCTGTGCTCATAGTTGCTGTGCCAGGGGGTACCCACTGGGCCGGGTCCTCCTGCCAGGGTTGTGAGTTCTTGGGTGTGGTTCAGAGCATGGCTGGGCTGGACAGCCGGCAGCCTCTGCTGCTAAAGGAACCCAAGGGGCGGGGGAACTAGAGAATCCCATTTGGAGGTCTTGGGTCCCGTTACCCTGTTTTTGGTGCCTTCCTTAGGGTCCCTGAGCGCATACAGGGTTACTCAGTAATGCTGTGAGAAGAGAATACATGGACGGAAAGGAGAGCAGAAAGTGAGGACCCAGTGGTCAGGAGCCAGAGAGCATCATCCTGACCTATGCAGTATGGGATAAGCTAGGAAAAGCTTCAGACTGGGGAGGAGGGTCCAGACATCTGGCTCTGTGGTTAATACAATGAAAAGAAGAATAACGGCGACAGCAGCTACCCAGGAGGCAGAGGCTCTGCTCGGCACTTCCTGGGCCTCTTCATTCTGTCCGGCCTCCCTGCTGGTCCTTCACAGACTAGGCTGGCTCCTACCTCCAGGCCTTTGCCTTCCCTATGCCCTCCTCCGGGAGCACTGTCCCCTCAGCCCTGGCAAGACTTTGTTTAAATCATTTCCCAGTGAGACCCTCCTTGAGCACCCTATTAACCCTGTTCCATGCTGCACCCCCACCCCTTCTCTGGGATTCATTTTTCTTCAAGTGACTGACATCATTTTCTGACATGCAGCCTCATTTCCTTGTTTATCATATTCACTGTCCATCTCCACATTAGAATCCAGGTTCTGTAAGGGCAGGGATTTTGGTCTGTTTTGTTCACTGCTACATCTCCAAGGCCAAGCACAGTGCCAGGCACTAGAAGCTGTTCAATAATGTGTGTTGAATGAATCCTATTTCACCATCACAGTGACACCAATCAAAACGAGGTGTTGAGGCTCCTCCCATTTCATGAATGAGAAAACTGAGGTTCGGTGAGGGTAGGGAACTGTCTATGCACAGCCAGCCAGTAAGGAGTGAGGAAGGAAGATGTGTGCAAGCGCAGGCCTCTCCGGTACCAGAGAGCTGTCTCCTCCCCACCCCTAACCCAGCCACTTACAACTTATGTGGGAAACGAGGAGTTTGGGCTCAATGATTTATTGCCGAGGCTCTCTCTCCTGAGGTCTGAAGCTCAGTTCAAGTCCATAACCATTTCCTCATAGGAGGCGGAGTCGCAGGTGGTTTGGGGCACTTTCTCTGGAACAGAGTTTAAGTCCCATTTTTCCCACTCAGCCCTGGGACTTTGAGACAACTTCTCAACATCTCTGAGCCTCCCTTTCTTTCGTTTGCTGGCTGCAAAACGAGAATGGTAATAGCGTATCTCTGTAGGGGCGTTAGCAAAGACAGCAGGGGATGCGTGTAAAGGGCTTCTTACAGTGCCTGGCACACGGCACCTGTGAGCTGCTGTCTTGGCACTCTGCTGATGCCCAGGGCTGTCCTCGACTTGCCCCAGCCGGGCCCACCACCACTGAATCTCCCGGGGTGAGGAAGCACCCCTGGCTCCTTTCATCCTCTACATCGGCCAGGTCTGGATAGTTCAGCCTCTGGGAGGCAGGGTAGGGCCCAGCGGGCCATGTTTGCAGCCCAGCAAATGTTCCTGGAGCCTTGTTTTTTGTTCTGTTGCTGGGCCATTTGTTTTTATAGCTTATCGTTTCTGCAGGGGGGCTTTGAAAGGCTGCCATTGCTCCAGTGGACGTTTCCGGTGCGCCTCCATCAAGCCACATTTAATGAAAACCAGTTTAAGGTCTTCTTTCTCATAAAATGTCTCATTGTTGCTCCGGCAGCTCCTCTTTAGAATAATGAAGATGAACGCTTCCTCCGTGGGGTAGCACACAAAACCCCCAGCCGTAGGAGAGCTTTGCTCAGTCCCCAGGAAGTCTCAGAGACCAGGGGAGAAATAAAAAGCTAGTGCAGTTTCTATTAGGGAGGAGGAGAGGTGGGGGCTTAGGAACCCTCAGTGCTGCAAATATAGGGAATGAAGCTTGGGTTCCTCATCCTCTCTGAAGGAATTGTCAAATGAAAGAATTTTGCTACTAAAAGCGTTTTATAAGACCCTCAACAAACACTTGTGGTCCAAAGAAGGGAAGCAGCAGACGTAAGGTCACACAGCAGAGCTGGACTAGTTGGGGTAGAGCTGGGGAGACAAGCAGTTTTCCTGGGTCCCCATCCAGACCTCCTTCTGCTCCAGAGGACCCCCATGAGACAGGGCCAGGGGGCCTTCTTCAGGCTGTCAGGTCTAGCCCGGAGTTGAAGATGCCTGATGAGGATCTGGCTGGTCCACAATAGGGGCTGGGGAAGCAGCTGGTGGCCAGTTTCACAGACAGCAGGAGGTCTCCTCCAAATAAAAATCACAAGGATTTTAGATGCACTTGTTGAATGCCAGGCTGAAGTGACCTGTGGCCCCTACATTCCAGGGGTTACCAGCTGATGTGAATGCCTGTGGGTGAGATCTAGTCCTCCCAAAACATGCCACATGGGCAATGCCCTCCATAGCAGTTGTTTGAAAAGGACCTAGTGCTCGTCTCCCAACGATACATTAATTTTTCTCCTTTCAGATTAAATTTAAATAAATCATTTTGGAATTACTCTACTAATTGACTATTTGGTCAGTTGTTACAGGAGATGTAAATAGTGTGGCTTGATCTGGGTTTTTTGCAAATGAGACATGGCCTTTTCCCCTCTAAATGTGTCTACACAGTTACTCTTAATTTGCCCATTCATTGCCCCATGTGCCACACTTGCTCTCACTTAAGTCCCTATCTTCTGGGCTAGAAAACAAGGGCAGGGAAAAACCCCAGCCACACAGACATACGTGTGTCAGCAAGGAGCTAAGCATGGCCAAGGGCGGGGCTGGAGAGAAGGCATCCAAATTCTCTGTCTACCCCAGTTCTGACAATCAAAAGCTGGGTGTCCTTCGATGGGCCACTTGGCTTCTCTGGAACTCAGTTTTTCTACTTTAATAACGTGGGTGGCTTAGATGAGGGGTCCCAAATGTGCACTGTTCACATGGGTACCAGGCAGGCTTCTTAGGAGTAGAAGGCATGGTGGCAGGCAAACTGGGAGAGTTCCTGGGTCAACTAAAGAGACAGCCACCACCTCTCCCTCCAGCCAATGTTGTTTTTCAGAAATGGAGATCTCCAGCAGCCAGATCCTTCATTTCTCAAAAGAGAAACCCCAAACCTAGAGTTTTATGTGAACTACCAAATTCCTACATCTTGGCAACAAAATCAGATGTGTAAGACACCGTGCTATGCAGGTCAAACAAAATGCATCTGTTGATCTCTAAAGTAACTCCGGTTTTAAAACCCCATAATCCATACTTATTTATTACAGAAAAAGAGTGTGTATTAAACAGAGAACTGAATTTGGCTGCATAAGACAGGAGTTAGAGTCCTGGATTCACCACTGACTCAAAGAACCTATCACCTCGAGCATCTGATCTTTCTATGAAATGGTGTTTGCAATACCTGTCCTATGGTTCCACCAGTAGCCTGTGAGGACGAAATGAGGTCCCTCCTGCAAAAAAAAAGGCCTCTATGAAGGGTAGAATACCATGTCCTGGTTATTCTTATTATCCAGAAATTCTTCTCTTCACCACTGGGGACCCTGAGGCCTAAACCTGGAACTTAAGCAGCTGTCTCCCAGGCAGCTCTCCGAACACAAAATGCCTGAGACAATATGGAAACCAGATGCGGAGCAAATGCCGCCTTACCTTTTTTTTTTTTTTTTTTTTCCTGTGCTTTTGTACGTTTTCAAAGCCTTTCCACATTCATGGGCTCTGATATCAATAAACTCACAGCTGCTCTGCAAGGCTGTTATATCAGGTATTATTCTATTCCAGATGAGGAAACGGAGGCTCAGAGCTAAGAATGATTGGGTCAAGGTGCCAGAGAAAGTACATGGCACAAGATGGAAGCCCTGTGGCCTAGACTGCTGTCTGCTGGCAGTCCTCTCTGGGTGGTTGCCTGCTTTCAAAAGATGAACTTTCTAAATATAGGCTTAATGCACAGGGCCCTGTCCTCAGCGAGCTTTGCAGCAGCTGAAGCATCCTAGTACATGGTTTTGGTAGTGAGGATGGTAAAAACAGCAACAGCAGCTGCTTCTGGTCACCACCACCTCCTTTCTCTCTCTCTCTCTGCCCCCAACCCCCCTCCCCGACACACACAAGAGAGAGAGAGAGAGAGAGAGAGAGAGACAGAGAGAGAGAGAGAGGGGAAATACTATGTTAATAGGACACTTTTCTGTGGCTTCTTACTGCACATTGTCTGGACCATACTCTTTGACAGGACTTCCCACCTGGTCTAGCCTGGTCCTGTGCACCTTTGCCCTTTGCAACCTTCCCTGGGCTCATGCTCCCTCCCTCTCTGCTGAACCTTCTTGCAGTAATACTTGCCTCATTCCCTCCCTCTTTAAGGCCTTTGCACCACCTGTTTCCCCTCAGCTCAAGTGTCACTGCCTCCAGGAAGCCCTCCCTGAAGCCTCCATTCTTGGTCATATTCATCTCTCATAAAATCATGGTCCTTTCCTTCAAAGCCCTTATTCCCATTTGTGCTTGTATGTTTGGGTGTGTGATTATCTCACTTAGTTCCATCTCTTTCACTGAAATGTAAGCTGCTTGAGGGCAGGGCAATCAGCCCTTTGTATTCAATGTCACAACTCCAGCACCAGGGATGATGTGCAGTAACTATTTGTTGAACCAATGCATAAATAAATATGTGAATTAGGTAACATCTACCTCATGTAATTCTCTCCACACCCAATGAGATATTATGAATTGTTATTCATAATATGGATTCATAACAATGGATGTTATGAATTGTTCCTTGTTGCAGGGGATGGGGAGAAGACTGAGAGTCTGAGATGGTCAGTGGCTTGTCCAAGGTCACACAGCTAGTAAGAGATGGGGGAAGATTTGACTACAGGTCTGCCCGATTTCCAAATTTTCAAACAGATATAATTTAAGAAATAGGGGCCGGGCGCAGTGGCTCACGCCTATAATCCCAGCACTTTGGGAGGCCAAGGCGGGCAGATCACGAGGTCAGGAGATCGAGACCATCCTGGCTAACACGGTGAAACCCCATCTCTACTAAAAATACAAAAAATTAGCCGGGCGTGGTGGTGGGTGCCTGTAGTCCCAGCTACTCGGGAGGCTGAGGCAGAAGAATGGCGTGAACCTGGGAGGCAGATCTTGTAGTGAGCTGAGATCGCGCCACTGCACTCCAGCCTGGGTGACAAAGCAAGACTCCGTCTCAAAAAAAAAAAAAAAAGAAAGAAAGAAATAACATGATAAGCCTCTGTGTTAGCCATGGTTTTCCAGAGAAACAGAACCAACAGTATGTGTGTGTGTGTATATGTGTATAGATATACACACACATACATATATACACACATATATATACACATGAATATATACACACATACATACACACACATATATATATTATGGAGGGAGAGAGATTTATCTCAGGAAATTGGCTGCTGGGCACGGTGGCTCATGCCTGTAATCCCAGCACTTTGGGAGGCAGAGGCGGGTGGATCACCTGAGGTCAGGAGTTCGAGACCAGCCTGGTCAACATGGTGAAACCGCGTCTCTACTGAAAATACAAAAACTAGCCAGGCGTGGTTGTGGGTGCCTGTAATCCCAGCTACTCGGGAGGCTAAGCCAGGAGAATTGGTTGAACCCAGAAGATGGAGGTTGCAGTGAGTTTTCACGGTGCCACTGCACTCCAGCCTTGGAGACAGAGTGCGATTCCGTCTCAAAAAAACAAAAAACAAAAAACAAAAACAAAAACAAAAAGAAATTGGCTCACGTGTTTAGAGGTAAATCCAAAATCTGATGGGGTAGGCTGGCAGGCTGAAGACCCAGGGAAACATTTAAATTCAAAGGCAGTCCACTGGCAGGGTTCCTCCCTAGTCTCTGTTCAATGAAGGCCTCAACTGATTGGATGAAGCCCAGCACATTCTGGAGGGTAATCAGCTTTACTCAAAGTCCTCCGATTTAAATGCTAAACTCGTCCAAAAAAATATCCTCACAGAAACATCCAGAATAACGTTTGACCAACTATCTGGGCACTGTAGCCCAGTCAAGTTGACACATAAAATTAAACATCACAACTTCTGTATACCCATCACTCAGATTCAGCCATTATCAATGAAATTGCTACATTTGCTCCAGCTGGCCCCCTTCTTTTCTTTTTTTCTGTTGGTGAAGTGTTTTGAAACATACCCCAGGCCCTATATCCTTCTATCCCAACCTACTTTATAAGTCAAGCTATCCAACTGCAAGGCATGCCCATAGAACCCCGCACCTCTAAGAGCTAGCTCGGTCCTCAACTGTGAGAAACCTGGCCTCTCAGAGTGCAGAGAGGAGGCTTCCTGATGTGTAGGCCCAATCGGCATGCCCAAAAGGTGAGGTCTGATTTGTGAGACAATTTCCACAGTCTTAGAAAGAAGTTTCCTCTATGCCCCAGCCACGTCTGTTTATAACTTGACCTTGGCCAGGGGTGGGGTTGGGGGCAGGGAAAAAGACTTGCACGTTCCACTCCAGCAAAGCGCTCTCTGTTTTTCCATGGCCATACATTGTTTTCATTTTCATGTTGCACCCGCCTGCTCCCCATCCATTTATTGCTTTCTCCTCCTTCTCTTTTCCCTTCTTCCTCCCCCTCATTCTTCCTCCCTGGCTTTGAGGCGTCTGGACTTTTGCACACCAGAGAAAGAAACCTATTTAATCTACCATGTTTACAAGCTGCGTAAACAAGGTACAGTGAGTGAATCATGGAAAAAATGCACTTTATGTGAAAAAGTTCATTATATGACTTTGTTCTATTAAAACAGCCGGGTGTAACTAACCCCAACCAGAGAATTTGGAAAAAAGGAAAAAAAAAAAAGGAGAAAAGAAAGGAACCCCTGAAAATGCCCTGTTAGCATTTATATCTTACAATTTCACATTAGCATTCATATAATTTCTGCTGGTTTAAGAACATTTAAATGGAGTTCTCCTCTAGGGAGAAGATATAGGGACTCATTTTCTGTTGCTTTCTAATAATCTCTTCCTTAAAAATATATACATATATTTTTTAAAATTGTCCCAGTGGATTTAAGGAAATAGGGTTAAAAACCAACCGACTGAATTAGTTCTTTTCTTGAGTTGTTGAGTAATTGGTCATCATTCTTCTACCTTACTCTCATTTTGTTTGGGTCTTCTAACTTAATAATTTCTGTGTCGTTATTATTGTGGGGCTTCCAGATTTTTTTTTTTTTTTTTTTTTTTTTTTTGAGATGGAGTCTCATTCTGTCACCCAGGCTGGAGTGCAGTGGTGCAATCTCGGCTCACTGCAGCCTCCACCTCCCAGGTTCAAGTGATGCTCCTGCCTCAGCCTCCTGAGTAGCTTGGACTACAGGCACACACCACCATGCCCAGCTAATTTTTGTATTTTTAGTAGAGACGGGGTTTCATCATATTGGCCATGCTGGTCTTGAACTTCTGACCTTGTGATCCACCTGCCTCAGCCTCCCAAAGTGCTGGGATTACAGACATCAGCCACCACGTCAGGTCCAGATTTTTCTATTTTTCTTATGATGATAACAATAGCAAGTTATTAAAATGCACTGGCACTATGCTGAACACCCCACATTAAGAATTTTATTTAATCTTCACAAGAGCCCCATGAGAATATGGAGGTATTGTGGGGTTAAGGAACTGGCCCCAGTTCATGGTTAAGAAATGGTAGCACTGGCTGGGCACGGTGGCTCACCCCTGTAATCCCAGCACTTTGGGAGGCCGAGGCGGGCAGATCATGAGGTCAGGAGATCGAGACCATCCTGGCTAACATGGTGAAACCCTGTCTCTACTAAAAATACAAAAAATTAGCTGGGCGTAGTGGCGGGCACCGGTAGTCCCAGCTACTGGGGAGGCTGAGGCAGGAGAATGGCGTGAACCCGGGAGGTGGAGCTTGCCGTGAGTCAAGATCGCGCCACTGCTCTCCAGCCTGGGTGACAGAGTGAGACTCCGTCTCAAAAAAAAAAGAAATGGCAGCACTGAGGCTTAAGCCTCACAGCCAAGCATCGGCATCATTCAAGTCTAATTTTCTAAGTAAGAAAAGCCAATTGGAAACAATGACTATGTTAATAGTCATAGAACTAACTTTAGGACGTGGGAATATGAGTGACTTTTAGTTTCTTCTTCAAATTTTATTAAAATTTCCAAATTTTCCATAGTGAATTATGGAATAGTGCCTTTAGAACTGTTTCATGGAGGAAATAATGTAATCCTGCCTAGGCTTAACTAGGGAAAACAATGTCTTTTATGAAGTATCTAAATACATCTGAGAGGAAATAATACACATCTTTGCATAATTCTTTGCATATACTGAGGTAGAATGCGGTGTTCTAGGGTGTAGACGACCTGGACTATCTTACCATCCATGAAGGCAAGCGCTTTCCCTTTCCTGGGCCCCAGTTGTTCCATCTGTAAAGTGAGACTCATAGACTGAAATGGCTTTAAAAGGCTTTTTCATAAACTTCTTTGTTTATGAAAAAACCTCTTTGAGACCAAAGATGGCCTCTTTGTCACCAAATATTCAAAGATACTGCTTTATGGGAGCTGATGACATCCTTAACAAGTAGAAAGGCCTTTCAGGCATTTTCCGTCCTTCCATTTTGTCTGTTGCTTTCAAGACAGAGGTGCAGACGGGACCTGAAGGAGTGAGTAGCCAGGCTGAAGCCGGACTCCTAGGAACTCTGACAAGAGACACAGGCCTGTTTTTAGGAGACACCAAATGGATGATACCCTCTCCTGGGGTGTGGATGGTCTCAGGCTGCTGTGAATGGCCTTTTCCTCTTCTTCAGAAACAGCTTCAAAACCTTCCTTAATGACAAAACAAAGACATTTGCAAACTGCATGGTTCAGAGTCCTCTCTGCTGCTTCCCAGGGGGCTGGGTTCCCATGCATGTGTCCCTTCCCCCCTCCCCCCTTCCCCGTGCTGCAAGCTGCCCTTGTTTTAAACCAAGAGTTAGGGCTCAGCCTAGGGGCACTGTCAGCCTCATCTCAGAGCACCTGGGTTCTCAAGGCTGGCAAATATCTCTCTTCCCAGGCCCCAAGAGAGGATGCAGCTGCTCTGCCCGCTAAGCTTTCAGCTTACCCCAGCCTCTGGAAAGGAAGGAGGGGGCCTTGGGCTGCCTGTGAGGTGGGGCCCAAAGCCAGCCCAGAGCCCTGGCTCTCAGACAGAAACTTCACCAGCGATTCTGAGGATCCCATTTCCCACCACCACGCCCAGCCACCTTGGGGAAGTCAGCACCGAGAGCAGTGGAAACAAAATCAAAATGCAGGCACAAATAAGATGAATAATCCTAATAATTTGAGACATGCCGCCCTTGCTAAAAGGACCATAAAGGGCATTTGTTTCTAATTAAACACCAAAACCCTAAACCTTTCAACTCTGCATCCACAACTACTGTAAATGTTTATGAAAAACGGGAAATTCTCGTTTAATTCAAACCATGCCAGAAATGCATTTTCGTTGTCTTGACCGGTGGAGAAACCCTATCGGCCCCAGCTTGAGCACATCTGAGCTTTAAATTGAGAAAGGCAACAGGCCTGCAAGTGAAGCTGAGTCCTGAGCAAGACCTGGGTGAGGAAACAGCATCTCCTCATCATGGCCAACTCTCAAATGACACCAGAGCAAATGCTTGGAGCGTCTTCCAGAAAGAGAAATGGGTACCAGGGCCGCTTGCAATGTTAGGGGGAGGGTCACAGACGTCTCAGAAATAAATTAGGCTGCCCAGCAAAATGGTTAAAAGCAGAAGTTGTAGAGTCACACAACTTGGTTGGATCAACCTCTTACCACTGGGGTGATGTGGGCAAAATAGTTAAACTTTCTGTCTTGGGTTCTTCAAGAATCATTGCCACAGTTAAGTGAGATGAAGCCTTTAGTGTGACGGCAAGTGAACCTGCAAGGCCCCTGCCTTCATGAAGCTGACGGGCCAGGCAGAGAAGCAGATTAATCAGCAACCTGTGCTCAGCTCTAGAGTGTCTCCAGGTAGCTTTTCCAGTGCCCTCTCTACCTGTGGAGTTGCTGAAATCCGCGCTGCTCGCTCAGAAAACGGGTCACCGAGGAAAGATTTCAGCAGGAAAGAGCAGCCCATTCAATAATTCCAAAGTGACTGTACCCAGGGACTTGAGGAACCTTAAATGCCTATCCCCCAAGCCCCACGACTGAGCTCACAGCACCCAGAGACCATCACAATGAAAAGTACACTGGGCTGTGGAAACTCCCGGGGCAGGAGGAAGCTCTGCCTCCTTAATCAGAGGATGGAAGCCCTCCCTTGGAAACAAACATTTCAATTTGGCTGAGAAGGACACAGCAGGGAAAAAGCCTCCAGGACTCACGTGACTGCATTTCCTAACTCTTCATCCAGCTTTAAAAATCAGGGGATTTCCTTTGCTAGTCTTTGGGGAGGAGGGTTAGGACCTAAAATCTAGGCCTGAGTACCCTTTCTCTCACTGCATGGATATTTCCACTCTAACAATGTCAACAGCAGCCTTTCAAAAGCAAAGAGCTACAGCCTCTCAGTGCCCCACATGGAGTCACGTTACTGCCTGCTAGGCACGGGGTTTTGCTCCACAGCCCCCATTCACCTTACTTCCAGGAAGACAGACCAAGTTCCCACCTCCTCCACTTTCTGTCCAGAAGCTCCCACCACCCCCATAAGCTCCAGACATAGAGCATATGACTCAACTTGGCCAATCACAGCATCACATTCTCTGGCCTGCAGTGATTCAATCAAATCCAGTGAGAGGAGCTGAGAATTTTGCTGAACTACTGCAGGAAAGGCACCTGCTCTTTGCTTGTGGATCTGAATCTGGAAGGATGATGGCTGGCAGCCATTTGCTACCAACAGAGCCTGAGGAGGTAACCAACACACGCAGGACAGGAGAGACTCAGGGTGGAGACAAATAGCTCCTGACCACATCATCTGAGCCCCTGGGACCCACCATGCATGAAGGCGGGTCTCAATCTTCTAATTCCACAAGCCAATAAATCTTCTCATTTGCTTAAGTGATTTTGAGCTGGTTTTTCTTTTTGCTTGCAAATGAAAGAGTTGAAAAAGGGAAGAGCTGAATAGGGGATAGAGAAGAGGCAAAGGCTATGAGTAAGATCAAACAATTATTTACTGCAAGTCTACTACATGCCTGGCACTGCACTCTGTTCACTATGGGATACCAGACACACACATAGACCCAGAGTTTACAATCTTTTAGGAGAGATGAGACATGAGTTTGAGTGACTGTAATATAAAGAAAAAATATGACAAATGCTGTGAGCAGGGAATAAAAAGTTCTGCTGACACACAAGGAGTGAGAGCCTTCTTCTGGCTTTAGGCCAGGAAAAGGATTCATGGAGATGGCTCGTAGCACTGCTTTGAAGAGGGCTGGAATTTGACAAGCAGAATTTGGGGTGGAAAGTGGCAGATGGCCCCCCCAGTGGAGGGGACAGTGTGAGCAAAGGTGAGAGAGACATGTTCTAGAATGGCAGACATCGTGTTGACAGACAAGCACCAGGGGAAACAAAGGGCAGACATCAGGAATTCTGCAGGGTCCTGGCCAGGGCCCTCCCTTCCTCTCAGGGAACCTCAAATGTCTTTGTCTCTATACTGCAGCCATATTCTGGCTGAAGTTCTGTCATCTTGGGTTGCTGAGGGAAGGGTTTTCTACAACAGATATCAGCCTGCAAAGGATTCTAGCTTTTGCTTCTCCTGGCCACCCCTTGGGGGAATCCTTTATATATTAAGTAGTTGCCATGTGAGATCTACTGCCACTCAAAGTTAAACAGCTCAGTTGGCACTCTCCAAAGTCTGCTTCCAGCATAAACCCATGCCACATGGGCAAAAATCCATTTGGGAAAAGACTGGGAGGAGCACTCCAGTCAAAACCTTACATGGTCTGATCCCTGCCAACCTCTTCTCACTCCATGGCCCCCTCTGCTTTCTGCATTCCCTATGGCTTCCAGCCACAGGACCTTTGCACATGCTGTTCTCTCTGTCTGGAACACCACCCTTTTACCTAAGCAACTCCAACTTATCTCTTAGATCACAACTCAATTGCCACTTCATCATAGAAGCCTTTGCTCGTGGCCCTCCAGGGCTCAAGGCCTCCCAGTACAGGAGTTAAAGACAAGGGTTCCAGAGTCAGAATGCCTGCGTTGAAATTCTGGCTCCAGTGCTTACTAGTTTTATGACCTTTCTGTGCCTCTGTTTTCTGATCTGTAATATTGGCTAATTAACGGAGAGGCTTGATAATGGCAATAGTGTTGGCAGATAACACTGAATGAACATGAGCTACCATCATATGATTTCAGAGCAACTTGTCCTGCCTCTCTGCCTAGTCACAGTTGCAAGTTAATGCATTCATGTGATCCTTTGATTAACGTCTGTCTTTGCCAATTGACTAAATGCCCTACTATTAATAGGTAGAACAATGTCTGGTTTTGCCCACCTCTAGCACTTAGTATCCTGCCTGGCACGTAATAGATGGCTTAAAAATATTTCAGAAATGCAGGTATGAATAAAAGAACCCAGAGTGGGGAAAATAAGGTCCCAAATATTCTTATATTTGCAGAAACCCTGACCTCAAAACGTCACTCCAAATAACCAAGGAGCAAGACCTCAAAAGTTGCAAACATCTGTGGTTTCAAAGATGAATAAAACAAGTTCCAAAAGATGCTCCAGCCACTGAATTCCTCTTTAGCAATTCATTTCCTGAAAAGTGGACATGAGGCTGGAGTAAATGTGGCCAGCCAACCAGATGCAATGCTCTGAAGTTAACAGAAGTTTGTCTGATGTGCATCAAATGACTATAATTCCTTTTCTAGTATCCCTAACAGTTACAGAGAGGTTTCTGTGAGTGTGGCCTTTGGCCCAGATTTTAAATAATATTATGCTTTGCTGCAATGCTGTTTTCTGAGAGTTTACATCTTTGGGGTATGTTTTTAATATGCGCCTCATAATGGGCCAAATTCTCCTCTGAGATCCAAGCTAGATCTCCCAAGTACAGACTATGTTATAGATCTAGGGGTAAACAGTGGTTTCCATGTCAAACTTTTGATCCATCATTATTCTGTGATCCTCCAGGAAGAAGGGCTCAGATGCAGATGACCAAAAGTGGGTACAGTTTGCAGGGAGGCATTAGTATTTCCCTTTGCAAAACATGTTAGTCCCACAGCAAGGTCTGGAGACACAGTTGGGCAGGCTGAGAGAGCAGGAGACCCAGATGCTGGAGCCCTCACCTTGGGATTTACCAAGGCATGTGGCTCCAACTGGGTATTGGTTTTCCCTGGAGCAGGGCATGGCCTTTTAACCAGTTTTCCCTTTTTCATGCTCCCTTAAACCAGTCCAGCATCTCCCTATGGGCCTGGACCACAGAGATGCCTTTCTTCCTGACTCCTGAGCCTTCTGAAAGTTTTTCCACATTTTTCTCCTTCCAAGAAAGCAATGGTTCTCCAACTCAGAGGTTCTGATTTCAGGAAGCATCTGTGGAGTGTAGCTCTGAGAAGAAAGCACCCAAAGTGGTGAAGAGTAGTGTGTGCATGCACTTAAGGCCCATGCCCTCCTAGGGCAGGACTGAAGCCATAGCTCCAGGTGCCTGTAAAATCCAGAACTCACAACCTCAGGGTTCCTACCTCTCTACCTCATTTTAGGTCTCAATAGCTATCTGTTTAGCAACTAAGTTGTTGGTTTCCACCATGCTACAAATCAAATTAGTGACATCAGACAACACATGTGTCCCCAAGAGACCTGGCCCATGAAGTAAGACTGGAAGTCCCCAATGGATGGGGCCTGGGCACTGTGCTGGGCTAGACTGTCAGGGGTGCAACCTAGATCCCTGCAAAACTCCCCATGGAGCGGCCTCAGAGGACAACACCCTCAGTCTATCCATCAATGTCCTCCTTGCCTTTGGCCTCTCTCCACTGGAGATGTGAACAAAGAGAGAACAAGAGAGATTAATTTCTTTTTAATCCTTCCTTTCTAGCAAGGGCTTGACCTCAGGCTTTGGCCTGTTTCAGCTTCTCCCCAGGCAAGACCATATTTCACGCTGAATCATCAGTTTCTGGGGAAACAGAGCGCTAGCCCACAGCGTACGGATGGCCATGCTATCTTGAAGGAGCCCACAGGGGCTGCTCAGACATTATCTCATCCATCCCTACCCTTGGAGCAAGGTGGGAGCAAGGAGCCGTTATCTTGGTTGGGCTGCTGAAGGAACTTTAGCCCAGAGACAAGGTACTTCTCCGGAGTAGTGCAGTACCAGGCCCTTCCTAGCTCCAGGAAAACCCTCAGCAGCCCCTTGCTTCTTGGGCCAGAGGAAAGCATGGTGGTGAGGAACCCTGCAGACCTTGACTACTCAGCTCTGCCACTATGTCTCAAGAGCAGCCATAGGTCAGTGAACAGGTGTGGCTGTGTTCCAATAAAACTTTACTTAAAAAAACAGGCAGTGGGCTGACATTGGCTCACAGGCCACATTTTGCTGAACTTTGCCCCTAGTATAAGGCTATTTCTTGCTCAAGAAATGATCTTAGAATGTCAGGTTGGAGCAAGGTTTCTCAACTGCAGTACTATTGACATTTTAAGCCTGATAATTGTTGTAGGGGTCTGTCCCATGCACCTTGGTCTCCTGGAGCCCTAAGCTGCCATGTAAGAAATTGCACTACCCAGAGAGAAACCACAGGAGAGGCTCTGAGAGTACATGGAGAAGAGGGTCCCAGAGGTGCCCAGCCTGCAGCTGACCCCACCAAGGCCCTTGGCATGTGACTACAGCCATCTTGGATGCTCCAACCCAGGACAGCCACCAGCTAAGTATCACTGAGGGACCACACTCCGTGTCCACATGGAGTCAAACTTCCCAGCTTAGTGCTGATGGAATTCCTGACCCATAAAATTCTGATATGTAAGAAAATGGTTGTTTAAGCCACCAAGTTTTGGGGGCATTTGTTATACAACAAGAGGTAACTGGATACATTTCAGCGAAGAATGAGAAAAATCTGTCATTTAGCCAAAAATCTTACCAACCTAGGTTAGAAATCTGATCAAAGGGGAACTAAATGATCAGAAACCCACTGTGGTGGCAGAATATTAGGTCACTGTCTTGGCAGATTATTGGCCCAGTAAGCCCCTAATATTCCTTTAGTGAGTACACGGAACCTCTTCTCCCAACAAGACTCGGCCTTTTTGGGGAGGGCCCTCCACACCTCCTCTTCATGGCTTGGGAAACCTGAAAGACTGGCTCATCAATATATCGATGGCCAAAGGCAAACATGGCTTCACCAGTTCAGGCAGAAGCTTTAGATGATGTCGGCACAGTCACAGCAGAAAGCTCACCAAACTACTGCTGCTTTTCTTTAAAAAAAAAAAAAAATTAAGAGCAAGAAGAAAAACTTTGGGCTAGAAATCAGACATCTTGGGATTTCTATCACCATGGAAGATGACAAGCTATATGACCTTTGGCAAATTTCTTTACTTCCCTGGTTTTTCATTTTTTCCGTGTGTCCATTATGGCTTTGGACAAGCTCAGAGGTTTTCATATCTACTTTTTGGAAGCCCACAGAAACCCCTCAGAGGCTGTGGGTGCATTTCTGTGGGTTAGAGGGTAGGTAAGAGGGAAGACTTGGCAAACGGGGCTCCAAGTCCTCTAGCTTCATTTCACTCAAAGGCATTTATGGGCATTTGTCAGAACTTAATTTGAAACTGAAAGCTAAACCATGCCTGCACATCACTGGTCTTCACAGTTTGTAAGGTCCTTCTAGAATCCTCATCCCTAAATTCTCTGCCCCTAATTTTGATGGGGAATGAATGTGGCATTTTTGTGTATCTATTTTCCCCACTGCCCTTTTCAGAAAGGTAGGCATGGTGGGCTACTCGCTTTTTTTCTTGCCCTGTATCCATCCTCCCTTCTAATAATAGCACCCCCAATTTACTCTGGGAAACTATCCAAGGTCTACTCTCAGTCCATGACCCATCTGAGTGGGAGCATGTGAGCAGACCTGGTCTATTAAAATGCAGCATCCCCTTGGCCATGCCATATTATTAAGTCATGAATGGGCACAGAACCTAAGCCAGCCCAATGAGAGTCTGCCCTGAATTTTCACTGGAACCATCATAAAAGTGGCTATCTCTTTGTGGAATTGTAGAATGCTAGCCTGGAGTTGACAGAAGCCATCCTGCCACCTCAATGTGAAAGGCAGTTTAAGAATGAATCCCACCTAAAGGAGTGGAAAGCCAAGTGAAGAAGAAAATACAGCATCTTGATAGCATCGCCTGGGCTGCTGGATTGAGCTATACCTCAAGGCAATAGGTCCTTGGATTTTCTAGTTCTTTAAGCTGAAAAATTCTCCCGCTGCCTTCTTTTTCTTTTTTGAGACGGAGTTTTGCTCTCGTTTCCCAGGCTGGAGTGCAATGGTGTGATCCCTGCTCACTGCAACCTCCACCTTCCTGGGTTCAAGCGATTCTCTTGCCTCAGCCTCCCGAGTAGCTGGGATTACAGTTGCCCGCCACCATGCCCAGCTAATTTTTGTATTTTTAGTAGAGACGGGGTTTCACCATGTTGGCCAGGCTGGTCTCAAACCCCTGATCTCAGGTGTTCCAACTCCCTAGGCCTCCCAAAGTGCTGGGATTACAGGCATGAGCCACTGTGCCTGGCCCGCTGCCTTCTTTTTTAATTAAGCTAATTTGAGTTGAGTATTTGTCACTTGAAACTAAGTATCTTAGCTAATAGAAGAAGTAAATACAGTTTAATTGAGTCTGGGATGCCATATAAGAAAAGTCCAAGTGTTTTGCATACTCTGCTTGCAAAGAAAACAACCTCCCAGGTTGGTGGCCTGAGGGTTTGTGCAACACCAAAGAACACCAAGCTCAGCCAGCCCAATTGCCCTCCCATCCCTTTTCTTTTTTTTTCATTTCTTTCCAGCTGCACGGTCTTTTATGGAGCCCATCTTTCTAAGACATTCAAAATGACATGCTATTGGAAGACATTTCTGTCCATGCTAATACCTGTGTTTAAATTTTTTTGTTGTTGTTTAAAAAAAAAGATCATGATATGATAGCAAATGAATGTTGGCAAATTGCCAACTGACAGGTGTAAAATTTTATGAACATGCACATTCCAAAGGAATGTGGAAATAAGCCATCCACTGTAGTCCAGTTTGGCAGAAATATTACAAAAATATAAGTTTGGCATATATTGTAATTCATTTAAAGATGCTTAAAAACCCATCCATCAACCTTGCACAGAAGGTCAAAGAAACACATGAATCCCAAATAAACAGCAACTGATGTACAAGGAAAAGGCCTGAATATCAGCTCCAGATACCAGAGAGACTGTACACATATGAAGAGGATGAAGGTGCTGTTTGGAAGGCTGAGCTTCTAAAACCTTCATTGGTGTTTAAAAAGAAATAATAATCATTTCTTAGCAGTAAGTAAGGTGGACTGTTGCCCTCTGCGTGGCCATCAGAATTCTGCTCCTCTGGGAGAATTTTGCTGAAGAATTGGTGAGTATGCATCCTGAGTGTCTTTCCTTTTTTTTTTTTTTTTTTACTTCAAGGACCATATCTGCAATAATCAATTGCTCTCACGTATTTGGTACCTGGACACTCTTCACTTTGTCACAAGCATGAAGAAACTAACTTACTTCTTCCCAGCCCCAGGATGGGCTCCCAACTGGGACTTGGCCAGTGTGATTACTCAACCTCTGGTCACAGTGATGGGTTCAAGGTTGGGTAAGTGCTCCATTTGAGTCTTCCATGAGATCTGATAAGAGAACACTGAGAGAGAGAGACAGAGACAGTGACAGAGGATCCCTTCAGAATCCAAAGCAGAAAGGGCCACGGAACGTGGAGAAATTTCTATCTTTCCCCCAGCCATCTAAAGGGAGCTTCCTGTAGAAGGGAATGAGTCCAACATGCAGAGAGAAGCAGAGAAGAGAGATGAATGCAACAGGGGTGGGAGAGATGGAAAGATAGAGAGATAGACAGAGACAGAGGCAGAGAGATCTGAGAACCAGCTGTGCCTGCCAACAGAGCCACTCCTGCCTGGGCTCCTCAGTAACATTAGCCAATAAATATTCTTTTCAGCTTCGTTTAGTTTTGAGCTGGGCTTCTGCCACTTGGAACTGAACTAATTTTCACTGATACAGTTACCCACAATATTTGCAGCGTGATCAAGACCATAAGAGAAGTTGGATACAGGAGGAGGATGACACGGTTCTTACTTCAAAGGAATTCACAATCTAATTTGTGTTCAGTTTGGTAATGGTTTGCTAAGCATCTATTCTGTTCTAAGGCGCGGTATCTGGTGACTCCAAGATCAGGATGACACAGATCTCATCCTATAGGATTTCCCTGCTGAGCAATGGGGTGGATGTCTGCCTGATGTTTTGAAGACGGAGAGATCTGTTATTATTTGGAACTAGGAAGGCACCATTCTGCTGGAGAGGAAGGTGAACAAAGTCTAGAGGAAATGAAAAAGCTTGGAGGATATAAACTTGGAAGTCTAGTTAGAGTATTTCATACCGTGGAAAATTATTTAAAAGAGATTGCAAAATATTCATGCTTCCCTGATGCCCTCTAGTCCCCAAATTCTAAATGGCTTTTTTCCACCCATAATTTAACCAGTTGTGAAACTGAGGTGCGCTTTATCATAAGTTGTTTAAATGCTTGAGATTGAGCTTCCCTGACTGTAATATGGGAATAATACTCACATTGCAGGATTCTTGTGACAGAGACACTGCCAGCTGTCCACTCCACTAAGTACACCGTCCTTCTTAGTTATAGAGTTTGTTACTTTCAGATGGACACACAGCTATTAGAATAATGACTACATTTCCCAGGCTCTGTCACAGCTCTGTATAGCCATCTGTCTAAATTCTGACTAATGAAATATAAGCAGAGGGACTGCAAATAGTTTCTAAGAAGTGTCCACAGAAAGACCCTCCCTCTTTGACCCATCCCCATTCGTGTGGCCAAAATACAGCCACTAAGGCTGGAGCTTGCGAGCAACCATTTTGACTCAGAAGGCAGAATCCATGTCCTAGGACAGGGATCAGCAAATGTTTTCCATAAAGGGTCAGACAGTAAGGATTTCTGGCTTTGCTGGCCATATGTTCTCCGTGGCAGTACTCAACTCTGCTGCTGGAATACGAAAGCAACCATGCATAATATGTAAACGAACGAGTGTGGCTGTGTTCCAATAACACTTCACTTATAAACTCAGGCAGTGGGCTGCAGGCCATAGTTTGCTGACCCCTTTCTCTAGGATGGGAGAGCAGCAGGTTAAAGGAACCTGGGACCCTGATGACATTGTAACACCCATCACCCAGACATGGACTGCCTCCCACCAGATTTATATCATATAAGAAAAAAAGAAGTTTCACAATTATTTTAGCATTTTCTGTCATGCGAAGCCAAACTTAATTCTAATTAAAATAGTTGTTTAAGGAAAGAATAAGTGATGTATATAAAATATCCAACATAAATATTAGAAACAAATGGATATTGAATAAAATAGGTATTTCATAATAATAACCAGATAGCTGTATTCAGAAAAGCTTTAACCCACCTCTAAGTTAAGAACATAGTGGCTGACGGGTACTGGAAGCCTGCTGGGAAGAGAGGAGAGAGGTCCAGGCCACAGGCAGAGTGTCCCCTTTCTGCCCTTTGCCGTGCACTTGTCTAGAGGGGTCAGTGAATCCACGTTCCACCTCTGCATTTCCCTCTAATATATCAGCATGGTACTCCTTCCCAGCCTGCTGAGATGCTACCATCAGGACTATCATAAACCACTCAGAAAAAAAAAAAGTGCTAAACTTTATTAAACATCATAAAAAAAATGTGATGGCCTAGATCCATGTAGGCTCACTTGGGTTAGAGTGCCCAGGCTTGGCCGTAAGTCACTCTTTGGCAACCAAAACCACATGAAACATCGTGTTGAAAACTTGCTAAATCATTTGTCACTCAAAGGCTTTTAAAATAAAATACTTTCAGAAATAATCATTTGATTTCAGACTCTGAACTGCAGGCTGCCCTGAGATGGATGTAAATACTCTGTCTGCACAGGCACATTCAATAGCAACTGAAAGCAGGGCGAGTCAAAAGTCTTTTGCTGCTAAGTTTCAAATCCAAAACTACACTTCTCTCAAATTCCAAATTTCTTCTTCCTTATATCTCAAATGAAATTGTTGCACCCAGCAAGGAGGCAGAGTGGTCTCTTAGCTTGGGGGGAAATGTCTTAGCCACTGAGTATTCTGGCTCTGGATGGAGTAGCTTGACTTTCACTCTATGATGGACTCCATTCATTGAACTTCCTATGGTATATCAAGAGCATCTACTTGGTCCTAACAGTGTGAGTTCAAATCCTGGTTTCACCACTTACCAATTGTGGGACTTTGAGCAAACCCATAATGTCCTATCTGCGATTGTATAGGTACATGAAGAATTAAATCCATTCATTCATTCACCATGAAAAATGTTTTTACACACGTACTAAGTGCCAGGTACTATTTGATGCGCAAGGAACAAAGTAGGCAAATAGCCTGCATGTATCAGGCCTGGTGCAAAGTAATTATTCAATGAATGCTTGCTGTTACTATGCTGGTAATTCTATTTATTTATTTATTTATTTATTTATTTATTTATGATGGAGTCTCGCTCTGTTGCCCAGGTTGAACAGGTTGGAGTGCAATGGTACAATCTCCACTCACTGCTACCTCCACCTCCTGGGTTTAAGGGATTCTCCTATCTCAGCCTTCTGAGTAGCTGAGATTACAGGTCTGTGCCACCACCCCTGTTTAAGTTTTGTATTTTTGTAGAAACAAGGTTTCACCATGTTGGCCAGGTTAAATTCCTGACCTCAAGTGATCCACTCGCCTCAGCCTCCCAAAGTGCTGGGATTACAGGCATGAGCCACCGTGCAACAGATTGTTGTTCTATTACCCAGGCTGGAGTGCAGTGGTGCAATCTTGGCTCACTGAAACCTCTGCCTCCTGGGTTTAAGCAATCCTCTCACCTTAGCCTCCTGAGCAGTTAGGATTACAGGTGTATGTCACCATGCCCAGCTAATTGTTTTGTATTTTTAGTAGAGACAAGGTTTCACCATGCTGGCCAGGCTAGTCTGGAACTCCTGACATCAAGTGATCTGCCTGCCTTGGCCTCCCAAAGTGTTGGGATTACAGGCATAAGCCACTGTGCCTGACCGATAATTAATTTTCAAAATGTATATATATATATATCAGACCATATTCCAAGTGCTGGAAATCCAGAGCGAAATAAGAGAAGACCATATTCTCATAGTACTTGCATATGGAGGGGAGGGCAGGCAATATACAAATATGCAAACAAGATCCTTCCCTATGGTTTATTGCCATGAAAGCAACTAGCCAGGGTTATGTGATGGCAAGCAATCAATGATGGAGTGGTGAGGAGAGTTGTGAGTTGGAGAAACTGCTTGAACCACCATGTGACAATCTGGAGGTAAGCACTCCAGGCAGAGCAATAGACCTGCGCAAAGGCCCTGAGGCCAGAATGTTGGGAAAGAGACAGGAGGCCAGTTAAACAAAGGGAAGAGTGAAATAAGGCAAGGTTGGAAAGGTGGGTAGGTACCTTATGGGACATGGAAGTCCTCATAAGTCATTTGGATTGCATCCAAATAAAATGAGATTCCACTGGAGGGTTTTTAGGGAGAGCTTGATCTGATTTTCATTTCAAAAACTGGTCCTTCTGAGCGTATAGAGACTACGGTGGAAGCAGGACTCAGCTGGGAGGTGATGGTGGCCTGGAGTGGGTGGTGAATGGTGAGATGGTAAGAAAGGGACAGTGGTGAGGCTGACAGGAGGTGAGAGAGGAGGGAGAGGTGAGGATGATGCCAAGGTTTTTCAGGAGGAGGACTGCATCTGGAGTGAGGGTGAGAAGGCACTGAGAAGGAGATTTCCCAGTGGCCAATGGAAGCAGGATCCGGGGCCCTGATCAGGGCTTTAGAGTCATCACCCATGAAGCCAGGGGGAGGGATGAGGTCACCACGGTGATTAGTGAAGTAACAGACAGCAGCCTGGAAAATTTCCTTCCGGCCTTTTCTCTCATAACTGTTTTATCACTATCTGGTGAGTTTCACTCCTGGTGATGGCTTCCCTCTTTGGGCCCTTCTAATCTGTTTCCTTTTAGAAGGTGGCTGTTTTCAGTGGTTTTTCATTTCTTTCTCTGGACTAATTTTATTGCTCATAGGCTTCTCTTCAGCTGCCTTGGCAGGGAGATGCTGTATATTAAAATAGTTATTATTTTATTTTATAGCTCAGTTGAATCTATATTCTGCTCATTACAAGTGTATAGGCCTCACTAGCCAAGTACATTTCATAATGGCAAACTCTTATTGAGACAGAAATCTCATGTTCTCTCAGTGTCTCCCAGGAGGTTGCCCTCTGAATTGTGATGAGTGGTATGTGGGCACGAGGAGCCCACGGGTTGGATCAGTGCTAGTTAAATCATTGCCCTGGTTCAACTTGGCCGGGGACCCATGTGGTCTAAGCTCAGAGTGATGAGGAGGTAGAAGAGGAGTCATCCAGCAAGCAATAGTTAGCAGGCATCTCAAAATTAATATGTCCAAACCTGAGCTCCGGAACATCATCATTTGGCTTCTCCTGTAATCTTCCCCATTCTGGATGGCGGCAGCCTCACTCTTCTGGCTGCTCAGCCCAAAACTCTGGAGCCATCTTTGGCTCCTCTTTCCTTCATGTTCCACATCCAATATTTCAGCAAATACTATTACCTTTCACTTGAAAACCCATCCAAAATCCAACTGCTTCCCTCCATCTCCACTGCCATCACCTTGGTCCAAACCATCAAACGTCTGTTTTCTGTATTACTTCAATAGCCTTCCTGCCTTTGCCCCCATCCTGTTTATTCTCACAGAGAGAAATAGCCAGAGAAATCCCATTCAGATGAAGCCAGCTCAGGACCAACATCTGCCACCATCTTCTGGTGACTTCCCTCCTCGTTCACAGTGAAAGCAAAAGCCTTCACTGTGACCCATGAGACCCTACACAGTCTGACCTGCTCCCCCTCTGACACGTCCCTGACTGCTCTACCTATCCTCGCTCCACTCATGTCACGTGTCATGAACACGTGCTAGGCACAGTCTCACCTCAGGGGCTTTGCATGTGCTCTTCTCACTGCCAGGAAAGCCCCGCCCCTAGATATCACCAAAACTCGCTCCCTCACCTTCTTCAGGCCTTCACTCAAATATGACATTCTCACGGAAGCATTCCCTTGGGCCTATACAAGGAACTTCCAGGTAATGTGGTTGAGGGGGAGGGGCTGCACATTACCTTTGAACCCACTTCAAGGAAATAGCACCAAAACTCTAGAAGTCATCACCCTCAGGGAGAAAGAATGCTTATCTATAAGAAGCCTAGCACACAACAGCTTCCCAACCTATCTGATTAAACAAATACACATGAAGACCGCATTTGGCGGCAAGAAAGGATTAAAAAAAACTCCTCCAAGATTATCTTGGGCTAAATCTGAAGAAGGAATCTGCACTCCTTCCATTCCGATGGCATGTTTAAGTTCAGTGGCTGAAAAATCTGCAGAACCAGTTGGGTCCCTATGCCGAAGGGGCAGGGAAGAGGCATGCGCTGCTCTGCCAATGGGGAGGAAAAAAATTTAACGAGGGCAAGATAAGAGCCAGACGTGTGGAAATATTTCTCTTTGAGGATATTCTTTGTACCAATTACTCTTCAAAGATATCATGTTAGCATTTTTGGCACAACTTGACAATTAAATTAGACGAATCGTTTTCAGTGTTTTTGCATTTGATGTGCCTGAAACTCCTCTTAAGCTAAAATGTTCAGCCTGTCACACACATTTTTTTAAACTTTGGCAAGTCACATCAACACTGATTTCAATTAAGTCAAGAATTTAAAAACATTTCACTACTCATCTTTTTAAAAAATTACATGACATATAATTAATTGGGTTTGATGATCATTTCGTGGTGTCCAAAGTTTGGGGATAGAAAGAAACACAGTCAATAAATTTCTATTTTGGAGATGACTTCATTTCTATTTTTTTTTTTTTTTTTTTTGAGACAGAGTTTATTACTCAGGCTGGAGTGCAGTGGTGCAATCTCAGTTCACTGCAACCTCCACCTCCCGGGTTCAAGCGATTTCTCCTGCCTCAGCCTCCCAAGTAACTGAGATTACAGGTGTGTACCACCATGCCTGGCTAGCTTTTTGTATTTTTAGTAGAGACGGGATTTTATCATGTTGGCCAGGCTGGTCTTGAACTTTTGATCTCAAGTGATCTGCCTGCCTCCGCCTCCCAAAGTGTTGGGATTACAGGTTTGAGTCATCATGCCCGACCCCCCATTTCTTATATTCATTGAGTCTCTCCATTTCTCCCAGGAGCCAATGGGGCTTTAAATCTCCCACCCGTCTCAATTTCATGCTCCAAAATTGGTTCTTGTCCTGGTACTTCTGGTCCCAGCTCAGTCATAGGCAGGGTAGGGCAGCACGAGAGGCTGTGCTGAACGCTGGAAAGGCCCCCAATCACAGCATGGTCACGGTAGGAAGTTCGGCCAGAAGAGAGGCGAAGTCCACATCTTATCTCCATGGTTGGAGTTTTCCTCTTGCTGATGTGACAAAGTAACCTGACGAGATAATGATTTCCAGGTTGGTTCCAAATGGTCTGGGATGAGGTGAGTGCAGAGGGAGGGCCAGGGGGAGCTGCAGCCGGATGATGCATGGGGCTGTTCTGCAGGACATCTCTCCCAGGAGTTCAAAGGGTTCTGACGATATTCTCTAACTCACCACTGGCATGCCCGGGGAAGAACAGATGGTCTGTGGTCAGATAAACCACCTAGACTGGGATGTGATTAGGGTGGTCAAGGAAAATTACAAAACCTTGGAGCTTCCCTTTCCTTCCCCAACTTCTGGCCTCTGCCCTTACACAAGTCTTGTTTTGTTTTGCTTTGTTTTCCTTGCTTTTGACAGGCTCCAATTTTTCATTTTAGTTTAGTCCATTTTGACCAGCATTAATAATGAGAAGTGGGCCGGGCGCAGTGGCTCACGCCTGTAATCCCAGCACTTTGGGAGGCTGAGGCGGGCGGATCACGAGGTCAAGAGATCGAGACCATCCTGGCCAACATGGGGAAACCCTGTCTCTACTAAAAAGATAAAAATTAGCTGGGCATGGTTTGGCGTGCCCCTGTAATACCAGCTACTCAGAAGGCTGAAGCAGGAGAATTGTTTGAACCCAGGAGGTAGAGGTTGCAGTAAGCCGAGATTGTGCCACTGCACTCCAGCCTGGCAACAGAGCGAGACTCCGTCAAAAAAAAAAAAAAAAAAAAAAAAAAAGTAATTCAATGTCTTCTTCCCTACTGGTTAGAAAACTCTATGATGACAAGAATCGGGTCTGTTTTGTGCACAACTGTGCTCCTGACAGCCTAGCTGTAGCAAGTGTGGCTTTTTATTCTGATGCTGTGACATCTGGGGCCTTAGGGACCTGAAGGACACTGCCTCTCCTAGGGCTAGCTAACTCCTAGAGATAGTAAACAATTTTGACTTGGAGCTCACCTTTTATATGCAAACCAATCAATCCAAAGCCCCGACCCCAACCACTTCCTCCCTTCTGGGGCTCTTCTAGGGGTCTCACACTCCAGACCATTATTTCCCTGCCCCAATCACCCTGGGACCAAGCACCAGACAGTGAGGACAACAACTACACCCCAGAGTCCACTGAAATTATTCAAGCTAGTCAGTTCTAAACCTGCTCACCCTGCCTTGCTCGCCTTTCCCACAAAAGCCACAACAAAGGCTCTTGCCCACGTTTTCCCCTGGCTCCCTCTGCTTTCTGACCAAACAGAATAGTCAAATTCTGTGGAGTGTTCAGAAGTGTTTCCTGAGTGGTCCTGCATGATGTGGTGTGCCTTCCCCTCTTGGAATTGTGAGCAACAAATCATCTTTTCAGTGGCCTCACCAGACCTGATTAAAAATAAAACCTACATTCTAAGACACTAGCACAGGGCCTAGCACACAGTAGGTGCTCAATTAATACCTGCAGGGGGTACTGAATGAGTCTTTCCTTAAATGTAAAAGTCCACAAAAACTTCCTGGATACTGTTCCCTCTTGCTTCAGCCTTGTCCTTCCTTACAAGATAATGTGAACACCAGGCCACCTACCTGGGCCGAAATTCAGGTGTTCCCTCTAGACCCAGGGAGTGCAGTTCTTCCTGCCACCCGCAGGGTCTGTGCAGCCCAGGAAGGCAAGACTGACGGCGTTCCTGAGGGAGGTGGCGTTGGGACAGTGAAGGGGCATTTCCTGGCTGCCTGTCATCATGAGGCATTCCAGCTAGCGAGGAAAACAAAGACAGCGGCCAGGGAGCGTCGCCTTTTATGGTTCCATCCTGGCTGCACTTCAGGAGCAGCCCAGAAAGTGGCCTGGGAGACAGGCAGGCTTTGTCACCCACTTCTGTTCACCTCGGTCCCTGGGCCAGCAGCTGGAGAAATGCTTGTGGCCCGGCCAGCTAGAGGCACAGGAACCCAAGGGTGAGAATTTGATGGCAGAGGGAACACCCTTCCTGGCGGTGTGCTTTCCTCAATCCTCAATATCATCTCCCACGAGCACCCATGTAGGCAACAAAAAGAAGGAGCTGAAGCAATTCTATGCTTAAATAACACCAGGGGCCATTTTTTGGACCCTCAGGGGATATCTGGAATCTTCTAGAAAATAACGAATATTTATTGAGCAGTTATTTTACACAAGCTCCTACATGGAGCACTTTGTATTCTTGACAGCCAAGTCTCACAATAATCTTGTCAGCAACCCCATTTTCAGATGGGAACACAGATTCTGACTGGGGCTGGGGGACTTGCCTAAGGTCACATAGTGAAGGGTGGGGCCAGGTGTAAACCCCTGCTATCTAGCTTTCCCTTACCCTGGAGGGCCTCCCTCCAATAGTCAAATTCTGTTAAGTGTTTAAAAGCCTTAGCTGGTGACCTCTAGGGTTCTCAGCTGCTCTCTCATTACAGTGAGGCAGTTGCCCCCAGATGATCCCACTAAGGGGTTTTTTCTACTCTATCACTTTAATTCAGCAATCAACACTTCTAACAACACTTCTAAGTACTGCAGGTCTTCCTCCAGGAGCTCAGAAACCCCAGGGCCTCTGAAACCCCCTTTATATAGAGGCTGTGTGACCTTGAACAAGTTGCTTAACTTCTCTGGGCCTCAGAAAAGAGAACAGGTTTGACCGCAAAACACCAGGCACCTTCCAAGTGTTCTCCACTTATACCACCTCCTTCCCCATCAACAGTCTTGTCTCAAAGTAAATATTTCTGGTATGTTATGGAATGACAGGACATAACACAGAAAGATGTCGGTAAGAAATGGGCTTTGGTATGGAACAGACCAAATCTTACCTCCAATGTTTATTAGCAAAGTATTTAGTTTTCTCTGTGCCTCAGTTCCCTCATCAGTAAAATGGGTATGGATAATAGCAATTGTTTTACGGGGTTATTTGAGAATTGTCTGAGATGATGCATTTAGCATGAAGCCAGGCAACAGCAAGCACTCAATAAATGTTAGCCAGCCATTTGATTGTTGAACTTTAAGATTCACTTTTCTTTTTTTGCATGCCTCTCCATCTGGAGTGATGATGTGAAGAGCAACAGATGCGAGGGGGGCCAGGATAGTGGGGTCTGCAGCAGCAGCACCAAGAGGCAATGTCACAGCTAGTTGGAGGCAGGCCCTGATCAAGGAAAGGCTGGGGTAGGTAGGTGACACACTGGGCCGCTCCTCATGTGGTTCGTCACAATTTTTATGACTTTCTTTTCCATTTGCACAGCCAAGGAGTCTTCCTCCTTAGTCCTCTGCTTGCCAGAGTCAGCTGCCTGGACCTTCCTCAGCCCACATGTCCCTGCCTCATCTTTAATGTGAGTGCACACAGTTCATGCAGCAATGAAGCCTGCCACGTGCCTTCAGCCTAAGTATGGATTCTGTCAACACACTTTTCTGGAGTGATGAAGAGCCGTGAATTTCCATAGTCCTAGACTGCAAGATCTCCCTACCTTTAAGTTTTTCTGAATTGAGAACATAGCTTTTATTTGATGAGGGCACTTGATGTAGCGCTTCTCCTCATCACCAAACAGCTGTCAATAAATGCAAGAGGCATTTAAAAATTGAGGGAACACACTCATTTATCCTTGCATTTGTACAGAGATTAAATGCTGTCCTGCCAGGGTCAGTGGCAGTAATCATAGCAGTTATTGCTATTATTAGAAGCTACTTGGTGTCAAGTTTTTTCAAAGGCCCAGGGCTTTGCATGTGCTATTTTTTATCCTGGATTAGGTCTGGTTATTCTCATGTGACCAATGATGACACTGTGGTCCGTACAGGTGAAGTGACTTATCCAAGGCTTCACAGCTTCATAGCCTGGGATTTAAACCCAGGCCTGCCTGGCTTCCAGATTCCTCCTGTTTCATCCATACCATTCGGTGGTTGCTATTTTCTCTGTCAATTCCCTAATGAAATCTTGGGCAGGACTTTCCTTTGCCAAAGTCCCTTGATAAAACAAACTTTTATCTCCCAAGTCATCTGGCCGATGCATGAGGGGATGTACAGAATGGACCTTCCTAGGAGGAATGAGCTCTCTCACACTAGATATATCCAAGAGGAAGGACGTGCCCTATGAAAGGGGTGCCAAGGAAGATTCCTGTGGCCTTGGGAAGAGCTGGGATGGGGGGAGATAAAATCTCAGGTCTGTTACCTACTAGTTGTGTGACCTTGGGTGAGGCACTGTGCCTCTCTAAGGCTCTGCTGGCTCAGTATTCTGCATGTGTGCATTGAGGACAAGAGTCTTGTAGAGCCACTGAGGATTTAAGAAGTTTGCAGGGTGATGCTCCTAAGAGGGCTCAAGTGATGGTGGCATTGCTACCATGACTGAGAAGGCTCGAGTTGATCACTGAGGCTGTCTCTGCAAGCTCCAAAGTCCCATAAGTTCTCTTCAGTGAGTCAGAGCCTAGATTAACTATCACAAGTGCCCTCCAGACACAGGCCAGAATGGGCCCTCTGTTTTCCTAGGGCCAGTTCTAAACCCCTAGCTGACCCCACTGCCATGTAAGTGCCCGCTCATCCATGGTGGAGAAACCACACACTGGAGGAGTGGAGACTTCTGGGTCCCCTGGCTGAACTACTGGCTCACAGAAGGTGCACTTTCTTTCTTTCTTTCTGTTTTTTTCTGAGACGGAATGTTGCCCTGTTGCCCAGACTGGAGTGCAGTGGCATGATCTTGGCTCACTGCAACCTCCGCCCTCCTGGGTTCAAGTGATTCTCATGCCTCAGCTTCCCGAGTAGCTGGGATTACAGGCATGCGCCACTAAGCCCAGCTAATTTTTTGGTATTTTTTAGTAGAGACGGGGTTTCACCATGTTGGGCAGGCTGGTCTCGAACTCCTGACCTCAAGTGATCTGCTCACCCTGCACTCCCAAAGTGCTGGGATTACAGTTGTAAGCCACCACACTCAGCCAGAAGGCCAGAGGTGCACTTTCCCACCCTCTTCCTGGTCTGACCACCCCAGGGTTCTTCTGACCAACAGAATACAGTGGATAAATGGGGTCCTGTTACCAGACTGCCTTGGTTCAAATCTTGGCTGCTTTACTCTGACTAGCCCATGTGACCTCTTGAAAATCATGTAACCTCTTGATTGCATCATCTGCAAAATGGGGATGATGGAAACAAACCCAGCAGGGCTCTTATAAGAATTCTTTGGAGTGGATGTATGAAAAGTAAGTAGGACACAGAAGCCCATCATTATTATGGACTAGGGTGCTGGGCCCAGTTCCTGGCCCCAGAGGGCTCCCCACCAGCCACCATGATCCCTGTAGGTTGCCCTGGCTCCAGGCCTTCTCCAGCTCCACTAGTGGCTCAGCTGAGGGGAGAGGAAGGACCAAGGGCACCAAATTTACCCCCTGGCTGAAACAGTACAGCTTTAGGGGAAAACCAGAGTAGCAAGAGCAGTCAAACCCTGCCTGGGACTTTGTGCCAAGCCCTGGGCTGTGCATTAGACACATCTGATTGCTTGAATCCTCACCTTTATAAACAAGCACGTAGGTACTTTTCCTATCCCCACTTACAAAGGAGTAAACTGAAACTCAGAGAGGCTGCTCAGTGATTTGCTTAAAGGTCACACAGTTAGTTTATAACTAAGCTATTTACCTCTATAAAATTCTCCAAAATAGGTTGGGTACGGTGGCTCACGTCTGTAATCTCAGCACTTTGAGAGGCCGAGGTGGGTGGATCACCTGAGGTCAAGAGTTTGAGACCAGCCTGGCCAAATGGTGAAACCCTATCTCCACTAAAAATAAAAAAAATTATCCAGGCATGGTGGCACACCTGTAGTCCCAGCTACTCAGGAGGCTGAGGCAGGAGAATCACTTGAACCTGAGAGGTAGAGATTGCAGTGAGCTGAGATCACGCCATTGCACTCCAGCCTGGGTGACAAGAGCAAGACTCCATCTCAAAAAAAAAAAAAAATAAATCCAAAATAAAAACATTAATGGAGGCCCTACCATGCACCAGGAACTACTGGCAGTTTATACAGATTAGCACACTTGATGCCCAAAATAATCCTTCAGGGGAGGTATTGTGATGTTATTTTACAGATGAGGAAACCGATGCTTAGGGAGGTAAAGGGGCCTGCCCCAGAGCAGTGATGCAGCAGGGCTCAAACCCAGGTCTGCCAGGCTCCAGGCACGTGCCCTTAGCATATGTGTGCTGCTGCCCAAGGGCTTCTCATCCCAATTTCCAGAGCAAAAGTAGGAACATGGCTTTTCCTCTGAACTCCGAGCCAAGCCAAGAGATAGAGAAGCAGCTGCGGAGGAAACCCCCACCTTGCATCCTGCCCGTTAGCTCACAGCCGTCCCCTGTATCTTTATGGCCTGGGCTGACGGCCCCGTCCTCGTGCCTAGCCCCTCAGCTTCCTGCCCGACCCCACCATGTCAGAAAACTGCAGCTCCAAAGTGGCAACAAGAGTCAGTCACACCGCATCGTGCGAGGGAGGCTTGGGGGAGGATCTTAGGCTGAACCCAAGCTCTCAGGGCCCTGTGGCCTTTCCTGAGCCCTGTTCAGAGTCCTGGCCTCTCTGTCCAGAGGAGAGTCTTGCCGTGCTCTGTCTTAGACAAGTCGAGGTGATTAAAGATCAAAAGACAAGCTAAGACGTCTGGCTTGCCAACAGGCTATTGTCTGCCCTGTCCTCAGCGCCAACTTCCAGGCCCCAGAGGCCTGCGATCAGCCCCTCTCCACCCGATCACCTTTTCTTTCACAACTGATTTTTAAAAAAATCCCCTCCTGCTCTTAATTGCATGCTGTGTGTTCAGATTTCCTGAAGTTCATGAACTGCTGTGAAATTTAAGACAGGTCTGCATTCCCACTGCATTGCTACTTTTTAATTCTAAATTCCACCCACCTTCCCTAGGAAAAAAAAAGAGAAAAAAAAAAATCCAAGCTGAGTGAAAGAAAATTTATGCCAGTTGAAAGGAGAAGGCCAGCCTTGAATAATTCTACTAATAAAAGGGCAGTGAGAGATGGGGTAAAAATAATAAGGTTATATCCTCATAAAGTTCCCTTTATTTGTGATTCCCGAGGCACTTGGGGAATGATAGCTCATCAGGGCAGGGTCCCAAATGTAGCATCTGCTCCCCAGCGGCTGCCTCTATTGCTCTGGGTGCTCCATAAACACTGGATCACAGCAATCACAGGCCTGCAAGGTGGGCTGGTGGGAAGTACAAACCAGAGGAATTTTATAGCAGGAGGAAGAGGAGCCAAGAAGCCTAAAGACATCCCCATAGTCACCAGATAAGTCAGGCTGAACCCCAAACAGACCCCAGGCATGCACCATACTCTAGGCCTTGGAGAGGAACCTGCTAGGTGGTGGCCACAGGTTCTTCATTAAGAGATGCTCCCTAATAACAAAGACTAGGTCCTAGAGGGCTTCATGTAACCTCCATGTTCCTGCGAAAGAAGAAGGGCACCTCTCCCGATCCACTGGAGTGAAAGGAAATGGAAGAGGTTGTCTAGACTGCCACAGTATGAGTTGGGGTAGAAAATTGAGAGAAGGGCTTTGCTGAGGCAAGTATTTACTAAGGCCCTACTCTGTGCTGGGCACTGGAGAGGGAGAGAGAAAGGGGACGTGGCCCCCACTGCAGGGAGCTCACCAATACATGGGAAACCTCACTGGGTAAACAGCAGGCTCTAAACAAGGCAGGATATGGCGAATTCTGTAGCAAGCAGAGAGGGGCCTTCCCACTTAGGGCCATCCTCATCTGAGTTCCCAGCATCTCTCATCTGACTTCTGCAGTGGTCTACCCACTGGGTCTTCCAAATTTACTCATGCTGCCTTGCAGCAGCCTAGAAAGTTAAAAATGCAATGCCACCCTCTTGTACAGAGTTGTCAATGGCTTCTCCCAGCACTTGTACCAAAATACAAACACCCTACAGGACTCCATGAGGTCTGGTCCCTGCGACTCTCCCAGACCTTTTCTCTTACCAGTCCCTAAAGCCCACCTCGGGGCCTTCCACACACTTCACTGTGCTCCAGGAAAGCTCTTGCCTTGGCTCCTACCACAGTCTGCACCTCCTTTCATTGAAGTCTTGGCTCACCTGTCTCCTCAGAAAGGCCTTTACTCAGCGTTTTATCTAAAGTAACCTGGCCAAGTGACCCTGTTTTATTCCCTGCAAGGCAGATGTCCTTATTTGAACTTCTCTCCTTATAAAAAATACAGTGAAACAAATACTATCTACTTACACATTGCAAGTCTCCCTGTATTAGTTAGCTATTGCTGTGTAACAAATCACCTCAAATCTTAGTGGCTTAAAATAGCAACTATTTATTATTGCTCATGAGTCCACAGGTCAGTTGGGTGATATGTCTTGTCTTGGCTGGGCTCACTCATGTTCCTCTATAAGTGGAATAGGTAGCTGTGCTGATCTTGGCAGGGCTCTTTCACACATTTGGGGCTTGGCTGGCTGTGACCTGGTCTAGGGTGGTTTTGGCTGGGACAACTGGGCTCTCCTGCACATGGCCTCTCATCTACCAGCAGGCTAGCCTAGGCTTGTTTTCACATGGTTAGGCAGAGTTCTGAGTGAGGGGTGGAGGTGGGAGTGGGGAGAGAGACAGAGAGAGAGCTTGAGCTCTTGAGGCTTAGGCTGGGAAGTGGCGTACTGTCATTTCTACTACATTCTGTTGGTCAAAGGAAGTCTTAAAACCAGTCTAAATTCAAGCAGAGGGAAAAGAGAGCTATATAGCTTTTCCCACTTCTTTATGGGAACAGTTATAAAATCACACTGCAAAGGGCATGCATATAGGAATCCTGAAAATTGGGGACATTTTTGCAATTAACCTACCATATTCTTCTACAATGTAAATTCTACAAAAGGACAGACCTCAATGAGCACTTGCCATGCATCATACGCATTTTACCCATACTTTGTATAGTATATATAATTCACAATCTACATTTGGTACGTTTTTCAATTTGAAAAAAAAATGGCATGAACCCCTTAATAACACTGGATTCAGAGACAAGGTTGTATTCTGGGTTAGACAAGTTACAACAGGCATCTGCTATATGGAGTTGTTCTATGCTGGGAGACATATTTGCCCCATGGGATATCAAAATCCACATAATAACAGGTCATGTTATAATGAGGTTTTGCTGCACATGCTTGCTCTCAATTTAGACGGCAGGACCTGCCAGGTCTTCCTCCAGCTGCTGGCTTCAGACCTCTCTTTCCAGAAGGATAAGAACTACCTGTCAAAATGCAAAGCTCTAACAATGAAATATACAGCGCATGCTGTGGGAAAGCCCTCGGTTTACTTCCACAGGCTGCAGCTGGTGTGCACGGCAGAAATGATTCATTCTTCCACCCAGCAAAACAAGTCCGTTTACAGGATCTCCTAAACAGAACACATCCTCAACCTTTCACATGCTGCGCACTCGGCTCATGATTTAACCTCCTTTGCGTTGAAGAGCCACAGGCTCAGTGCTGGAAAAGAATGCTCCTTCCTGCATTGCTGTCTGCTCCAAGGCAATATACTGTTACATTTCTAGGAAATCAGAATGTCTTTTAAATCCTGCTTCAAGTATCTACACATTCCATGCTAAGCTGCAATGCTTAATTTAATATCTCCACGGCAGTGGTGAGGGTTTCAAATAGAGTCCACAGCCTCAGGGACATAGGAAGAGAATTCAAAAGGTGATATGATAGTTTGGGATGATTGTATTTAGGTTGGTGCAAAAGTAATTGCAGTTTTTGCCATTAAAAGTAATGGTAGTTTTGCACCAACCTAATATATTTAAGAAGTGGCAAAAACACCAAAGTGGGTTTTGCCACCATTGCCAAAACTGAATGTAAATACCACTTGACAGCAATAGGAAGCATATTTTTTTTTTTTTTGTCTTGGGGAAGCTTGAATCCTACTGAGTTCAATTTGGGGAGGGGGTAGTGCTGCCAGAGGCGAAAGAATAAAGGCTACCACTTTGCGAAAATCTTGAGGGCAAGAAACCTATTTCAGCCACAAAAATACAAATGTCTTTTCAATGTCAGGAAACTCTGGAAGAAAAGACAGAGGATGGGACCAAGAGAGACCAAATGCATTTCCTTTGGAAATCACTGCCTGGATCAGGGGTCCTCAAGTTGTTACCAACTCCCACAAGAGCCCTGAAATCATTTCTCCAAATCACAGGTGCTAATTGCTTTCATAAGGGTGCTGGCTAGAGCAGAACCCAAGGGCTTGGTAAGTGTGATATTCTCATTTCTCTGGGCTTGTGTGATGCTTGAGTTTGGAAGGTAAGTGTCTGGATTGACTTCATATATACACATGGTCCTAGAGATGCTTATCTTTTTCAAACCCATCTGGGAACATTATTGGTTTGTTAATTCATTAAATACATATTGAATATGACTCATGTGTGCCAATAACTTTTCTGGGCACAGAGAACACAACAGCCTATGTGCTTGCCTACATGGGGTTCTAAACAAAATTGACATTGAAATACATAGTATTCTAGATGATGATAAAGGTCTAAACAAACCAGGGAAAGGGATGGGGGCTATTTTTAAATAGGGTGGTTAGATGAGGTCTCATTGAGCAGATAATACTTGAACGAAGGCTTGAATGAGGTGAGGGAGTGAGCCAAGTAGTTATCTGAGGGAAGAGAATTCCAGGCAGCAAGAAAAGCCAGTGCAGAGGCCTTGAGGCAGGAGGTGCCTGGCCTGTTTCAGGAGCCCAAATGTGCTCCTCTAACTAGGGGGCAGTGCTGGGTGACTCTCACTGATTTGGTTGGCCCTTGAAGGAGTCAGTTTTAGGATGAGCATCTCAGAGGGGAAACAAAGGTACTATGGTATTATCAATCTTTCTCTTTTCAAATGCTTAAGTCCTAAGTCTCCCATCGCCACTTCCTTTAAAAAGGAAAGTAAGGGGGAAAGAAAACCATGTGTCTGAAAATACCCATGCAATAATACCATTTAGCCTGGCCCATGGGGAAAAAAGGTGAGACATCTGGGGGTCATCCCTCAAGGTGAGTTTATATACTGTGCAGATTTTTTAAGAGTATGGTACAGTAATTACACTGATGGCTGATTAACTCAGGGGAGTTACCCAGAGGTGAGGTCTTTAGATGTGTAGGGAGAAGTCTGCATGCACAGGTAAGAGTGGCAGGGTTTATGGAGAGGGAATTCACCATTTGTGGCCAGCACTATTTCCAGGTGGAAATGGTGCTCCTCTGGTGAAAGGGAAAGAAGCCAAGGTTTCCAACCAGTGGTCCTTATACCTCCAATTCATGGACAAGCTTCAAGAGGTGCCTGTGAACCTCTTGAAATGATATGCAACGTTTCAAATGTGCCACATGCTTTTTCTTGGGAAAAGGGTCCAGAGCTTCTCAGAAATTTCCATGACCTCTTCCAAAATGAAGAACCATTGACTTCGCATGGAGCAACCTCTGTTCTCACTTCTCTTCCAGGACAGGTGGGTTAGCAGATGACCCCTGGGGAGAACTCTGCCATCAGGGAGAGTATAACCAGCTCATAACACATGAGTCTTCATCTAGAGTCATGAGGCCGATCATTTGTAATCAATACCCAAGAACTTTGAAATATACATGCATGCTGTCCCCTCCCCACATTCCAACTGGCCTGGGCTTTATCCAGTCCTGCAGTTATACACAGGCTCTCATCAACCTCCTGGCCTCTGTACAAGCTGTTCCCCCTGTCTGGAACACTCTTCACTTTTCCTGTAGCTAACTCTCACACATTGCTCAGGTCTCAGCTAAAACAACATGTCCCATAGGAAGCAATTCCTCGTGGCTAGACTAGATCATGGGCCCCAGTAACATCCTGCATGTACTCTATCATACCCCATCAGAGTTTATTGTGAACTCTGGTTTCACAGAAGCTTTCTCTGCTAGAATTTAACCTCTGTGAGGGCCTCTCTCCCTTGACACAGATCCCTGCTCCAAGTAGGTACTCAATACAATAGGTATTTATAGTTGGATAGATGGATGGATGCACTGATCAGTTATTCTTCTCAGAGTGGCAACTTCTGGACACCGACCTGCTCTCCTCCTCAAACAGTGTCAAGTATCTATGAAGTGGTCTACCACACTCTGCAACTGCTTGTTCTCATGAGCAGTTATATCCAGAAGTTGGCTATCAATATTTTGAAGTGGAATCTTCTTTTTTAAATGAATGATCTATCTCAATGGCTGAATTTTGCACAGCTAATTGATTCCTATTTCAAATTAGTTTGTAAGCAAGCTCAGACTACCGACTGCCTTTGTATCATATCAGTCTTCACAACTTCATACTGTTTTTCTTCTGCAGGGCTCTGACCAGAGCCCTCCCTTGCCTAAAGGAGTAAACTCTGTCTTTGAAAGGATTGTTAAAACAGACAGGATCATATAAGAAGTAGCCTGAGTTCAAATCCTGACATTATTACAAATAGCTGAGAAGTCTTGGCAGGTCATCTAGCATTTCTGAGCCTCAGTATCTCAGCACATGATCAACTCAATGTACTGCATGGTGGTGAAGAATACGGGGCTTTGGAGAGGAAGCCCTGAGTCTGAATAATGACACAATTCTTGCCAGATAAGTGACTTTATGCAGGTTACTTAACCTTTGTTAGTCTCAGTTTTCTCATCTGACAAAGTGGGACTAATAAAGGTTTATTGCAAAAATATTGGCTGCTTAGCACAGAAACTAAACATAGTAAGTACTAATTAGTTAATGTACTCATGCCATTATTGTATCATCCTTACAGTGGTAACACCAATTGTTATGCTCTGTGGACCAGCTAAGCCAAAGAGAGGGGACTTGGATCATTTACTCGAGCTACCCAGACTCTTCAGAGTCAAAGCAAAATGTCACATTCTTACCCACCAAAAGATGGCCTTTGGGTTCTGTGCATTAGTGAATATCAATCTAAAGAAATCACAATGTAAAGTCAGGCATCTGTTAGCTACTGGCTGGTTTCCAGTGTGGAAGCTTGCCTGCCTGTCTGCCTGCCTGCCTGCCTGCCTGCCTGCCTTCTTTCCTTCTTTCTTTCCTTCCTTCTTTCCTTCCTTCCTTCCTTCCTTCCTTCCTTCCTTCCTTCCTTCCTCCCTCCCTCCTTCCCCTCTCTCCCTTCCTCCCTCCCCTCCATCCCTCTCTCCTTCCCTCCCTCCCTCCCTCCCTCCCTCCCTTCCTTCCTTCCTTCCTTTCTTCCTTCCTTCCTTCCTTCCTTCCTTCCTTCCTTCCTTCCTTCCTTCCTAGAAAGGCAAGGATGCACTGGACGGTATCAGCTTCCCTATTAATTTACTGAGTACAAGTCTATGCTAGCAACTATGGTTAGTGCTAGGCTGGTATAAGATGACATGGGCTTGTGGAAGCTGGGGGATCTGCTCAGTATAGGTGATGGAACCAGCCACGTCTGTAATGGGAAAATCCCTCTTCCCAAGTATCCGAGAGCTCACTGAGTTGCTTTTCCCATTGCAGGCTTCAAAGGGCAGCAGAGGGCTTAGAAAGTACCTTTGCCAGCAAGTCCAACCACATGCCAACTTGCTAGCCCCCCTCCCAAAACAGGTACAGGGTTAGGAGTCAAGCTCCCAAGACTTTCTGGGATAGAATTTTGGCTTCTTCACTTATTATGTGATTCTGGTTAAGTCACTCAAGCCTCAGTTTTCTTACACATAAAACGGTAATAAGCTCAGAGTTGATTCATCGTTAAAAGAGCTAACACATGGAAAGTGCTTGTTGAATAGTACCTGGCACAAGGAACACACTCAGTCGATGACCACTGTTACTATTCTTAGCAGTAATGTAGCCTCAGGGACCCCCACAGGGAAGCCTATTGGTGAAGAGCTTAGGCCCTGGAGCCAGATGCCCTGGATTTGAAGCCTGGGCCTGCCCCTTCTTGGGCAAGGTACTTTCCCTTGCAGACTCAGTTTTCCCATCTGCAAAATGGGTTCAATAACAGCTCCTACCTCCTGGAGCTTTAATAAGGACTTAAAGTATTAACAGGCATGCAGTCCTTAGAGCCACGCCTGGTTTACATCAATGTTCATTCAACAATGGCTGCTATGACTACTAGTTGTCCATGCCAGGTGTTCTGGGCTCAGTTCCTTCCTCTACCCTTGCCTCGCCGAGACTCAGAGGAAAGGCAGTTTCCCTGGCAGAATTTCCACTTAGATGAGGTTCTATAATCACACCTCTCCTACCTTCCCACTTACCCTATTTAGTGTGGAGATGGTGAGGCATTGGGGAACTCTGCTTGGAGAGGCCAGAGACTCCTCCCTTTCTCACCTGCATATGCCACGTAAACCCTCATGGGTGGAAGCAGCCATAACCCACATCTCCCTGCTGAGGCTGCCTTGTTTCAGGAGCACACCAAATACGGTGGGGAGAGAAAGATGTGTGTGGGCAAGGATAACATAAGACAGAGAGTGGCACCTCCCGAACTGAGAAGATTGACAGGGGAGCACCACCAGCAAATTGCAATCCACCATGTAGTACTTGGGCATTCCCGCCCCAAGAAGGAAGATATCCAAGCGCATGGCTTGTCTCAAGCTAAGCAGAGGCCCTGATTTTATCTCAGAGTCAATGGACAACGAGAACCAGACCTGCCTGCAAAATACCCGGGGAGTTACAAATCCAAATACGGTCTTGTCTTTGCTGTTTCGGGAGCCTGATGTATGTCAATCCATTTGGTGGGGAGAAGCTCAGGAGGAAGCGAGGCTCTTTCGGGCAGGCTGCTGCTTCCGCTGTGGTCCCTAAGATTCAGTGATTAGCATTCCTCGGTTTACCGTAAAATTCAAACAGTGCCATCCATTCGGTCCAGATTCTCTGGCCTGATCTAAGACAAATAGCACCCGGTTTGGCCTCCACAGCTGTTTGTGCTGTCAACTAGGCAGCACTTTGCAAGATGGGTTAACAGATTTAGGACTAAATCTCTAAAGGGGCCTCCATCTGGTCTCCTGTTTCTCCTGTTTTAGGGCTCAGGGTTTTTATACCAGTAATTGCCCTTGGACATCAAGTGGCCCATTAAATGGCTAGATTTACCACCGCTGAACTGGAGCTTCATTCAAACAAATGTTCCCCCCAATAAGCAACCTGTCAGTTGTGACCTCAAGTGGCTGCTGGTTCCATAATAATCCAACTAACAGTCCAGTTAATCAGTTATAGAAAAATCTCCCAACATCCCCTCTCTTCCCCTCTCTATAACTGTTGGGGTTCTAGATGTTTAAAATAAAGTCTTTTGCATAGGGTGTGGCTCAAAAACAAGCAAGATTTCTATTTGAATTACCCCTGTTAGAGAGAGCTCTTTGGGGGGACCCTGGAAGATAACAAAATCATGTAATTGTTATTCCCAGTCATCCAGGCCAAGGGTAAGGCTACCGAAGGGGCTCCGTGGGTTTGAGGATTTTTTGACCCCAGTCCTTCCTTTGCAGCCATGTGAACTACCTTTTTGATTATTAAGAACACAGAGTGACCTAGAAAAAGCTGCAGGTTTCATGGAAATGAAAGATCCACAAACAAACACAGCTGGTTTCGGCTTTGATGCTGATAAACAAAGCGAGGCAGAGCAGAACCGCAGAACGAAAATCAAAAAACCAGACTGAAATAAAGTAAAGAAAATCCTTTCTTCCCTTAGCCTGCAGCCACAGGAGGGAAGGCTCCAGGAAGCTCTGGAAAGGGCAGCGTTTGAGAGCAGGGCTTCCTGGAGAAGAGCCTGGGAGCCCCGGGGGCTTCCTCCTGGTTCACACAGAGGCCCCCATAGGCCTGACTTGGAGGCACACTGGTGCACCTGAGGTGACTGGCGGGGTGGGGAGGGAGTGGGGACTGCAGAGGGTTGGGGAAAGGACCACGGAGAAACCAAGAGGGGGTTGTATTTTCCCAAAGAGAGGTGGCCCTCGGACTGTGAGTCTTTGCCTTCACTTTCAATGCCAACTTCAAACCACCTTAGGCCAGCACAAAGGCAGATCCCAGCCATGATGCTTAGAAAATCCTATTCATAACTCCCATATTACTTTGGGAAAATAGTTTAGTGTAACTTTATATTAGTCTATTTGACTATGATAGCAGAAATGCCACTATGACTGAAAGCATCTTACCGGATATTTCCCCATTCTAAATTCACAAACATAAGAACGCAATCTAAACTAGTCATCGAGTTGGTGACCTATTTAGCCATTATTAATTTCTTTTGATAAGAACATTTAAAATAACTGTCATTTCCAACTGTTCTTTTAAAGAAGAATCATATTTTTAAAACTAGCCTTTTAACTTAAAAATCTAATGATCCAAACATTTTCACATTTGTGACATAACACAAAGCTCCTTAACCCCCTCTCCTCTTACCGTAGGAAAGAAAATGCAAATGCCTTGAAAGGAGTATTTATATCATCTTATTATTCTTTCTCTGCATGAGGCAATTTAATTTCATTTATTAAAAATTTTTATTCTGAAATATTTCAAATATGGAGAACAAAATTGAAAACAAAATTTAAAACACTTATGTAGCCACCATCCAGTAAAATCAATCTCAACATTTTGCCATATTTTCCTCAAAATTTTTTTCTATGAACAAAAAAGAAATATAATTGAAATCTTCCTCCCACTCATCCCTGTTTTCATTCTATTCCCTCCCCTAGTCCTGAAGTAAACACTAAACTGAAGTTAGGGAACATACATTTAATGCTGTTGTACTCTATGTATTCATTCACTAATAAATGTAGTACAAATTTGCAAGTTTTAAAATTTTAAACAAATGTTATCATACTGCATGTATCATTATATAACTTGCCCCTTCCCCTTCCTCTCCTTCCTTCCTTTTTCTTTTCTTTCTTTCTTTCTTTCGTTTTGCTCTTGTTGCCCAGGCTGAAGTGCAATGGCACGATCTCGGCTCACTGCAACCTCTGCCTCTCAGGTTCAAGCGATTCTCCTGCCTCAGCCTCCCGAGTACCTGAGATTACAAGCACACATCACCATGCTTGGCTAATTTTGTATTTTTAGTGTCACTGCACCCAGCCTGCTTCTTTCATCCAACATTATGTTTTTGCAATTTATCTATGTTAATGTAGGTGCATTAATGCAGAGTGCATTTTCATGCTGTGAAATATCCTATTGCATAAACATACCAGAACGTCTATCAATGAATATTTGTATTGTATCCTTTTTTGTTTTGCAATTACAAAGCTTTAATAACCCTAATGGCACATATCTTCTTGTGCCTCACCCAAGCATTTCCCTAGGGTATACACTTAAAGGTCATATTGCTATGTCATAGTGAATGTTTAATTTAAACTTGCCTACTTACTGCAGAATTACTCTCCAAAGTGGTTGTGAAATCCACACCAGTAGAGTGAGGGCAATGCACTTTCTGTGCCGTGTAGAGTATTTTCTGCCTTGCCTGCTGAGCTGGTGATAATACTATTCAGCGGTTTTTGTGTGCCAAACCTTGGACTAAGCTATTCACATGTACTATCCCACTTAATCCTAGTAATGACCTTTTAAACCAGGCCTTATCAAACCCATTTCACAGCCAGGGGTAAGAGGCTTGGAGAAGGGAAGCCACTTACACAGGGTCAACCTGACAGCCAGTGGTGGGATGGTAATGGTAACCAGCTGTGGCAGAGCTCTTAAAAAATAAATATCATTGCCTATTGCCTTCCAAACGCAAAACAGCCTTTTTCATTGACCAGACACATGAGTTGAAGCCATAAGTAAAATAAAGTTATCCAAGTGCCTAAAAATTGGGTATACATCCCTAGGCTGAACCCAGAGCCTGCCTCCTTCCTCCCAACTTGTGGCTAGTGCAAACATCAGGGTCGTTTCCTGGTTGGATTTCCCCAAGAAACCAGCTGAAGGCTCCCAGCTGGGTGGCATCAAGGGCAGGCATGCTGGCTTTCAGAGCCCAGAAGTAATGATGTTCACAGTCCCCAACCCCTCCTTCCAGCCCCAACCCCTCCTTCCAACCAGGGCCTCCCCACTGTCAATCAGGGTGATGTGGAGTGCATCAGTTACACGAGCCATTTGGAGCATTTTTCCAAGAGAAGGAACAACATCATAAAGCGTCGGCAACTGAATCAGAACAAAGGGATCCTAAAGACAACTTTCCACTTAGGCCCCGGTAAGCCGAAGGAATGTTAAAAAGACACACGAACCTTAGAAGTGAAAGCAGAGAGTGAGAGGGAAATCCCCCTCGGCCTGATGAATCAATTCCAGAAAAACCCTCTCACCTGTGCCCCATCCATCAGCACCACAGTCAGAAGATGGGAAACATTGGCTCTCACTCTTAGCACCTCTGTGTTAGTTACCTAACCTCTGAGTGTGATCGAAGAAAACTGATCCCGAGACAGAGACCAGAAAACCCTGACTCAGGATTACAGCACATCACAAAAGTGGGGCTCCCCCTTCCTTCCCACAAAGGGATCCAGAGATGCTGATAAGATGGCGCTTGACTGGATCTGGGCTCCAATGCTTCAGTTTTTAGTTTGAGTTCAAGTTCACACCAGCTACAGCAATCCTGCACACTGGCTACACCAGCCTGCCTCGAGTGTGTGGGAACACTCGAGGAAGGCCGATAATCATGGCTTGGGGCATTTCGGAGGACCATTTTGGGGGTAACCATATTCCAATACAGAGGGAGGGTAGGGCAAGCATTAAACACAGGCTTTGGAGTCAGCCGGACCTGAGTTTGAATTCACTTATTAGCTGTGTAACGTGGGCAAGTGACTAACTTGAGACTCAGTTTCCTTGGCTATAGAGGAGGTAAGGCTGGATGCAGTGGCTCACACCTGTCATCCTAGCGCTTTGGGAGGCCAAGGCAGGAGGATTGCTTGAGCCAGGAGTTTGAGACCAGCCTGGGCAACACAGTGAAACCCAGTCACTACCAAAAAAAAAAAAAAAAAAAGAGAGAGAGAGAAGGAGGTAAAATCATCAACTTCAGCTGGCTATTCTAAGGATTTTAAAAACCATGTGCTTAGAGCACTCAGCCCAGTGGTTGGTGCGCAAACGAGCAGCTTACTGTGATGGTGACTCTGTGAGAATTGGAAAAAGGCACCCTTCTTCAAGACACGTGACGGTCATTTGGCAGAAATAATTCCGCACATCTACCATGACTACACGGGGAATGTTGCCTGCTGGAGCTGTGCAGTGGACAACTTGCATAACCATGAGTACTGGCCTTGCACATAGTAAATACTCAATAAATGGTAACTGATATTCTATTAGTAAGGATAAAAACCACCACCACCTGAGGCCTCCATGAGGAGTCCTTGGGGTGGCACTGGATTCCTGAAGGAGCTTATACGTGAATTCCCAGCCTCCAGGAAAAGCAGAACTCGTGGACAGAGGCATGGGAGGGGCAGTGAGGGGAGGGCAGGAAGAGTTGTCAGGCAAAAGTCCCAGCAGGAGACAGGGCTCATGATTCTCAGGTCAAGCCCAAGAGGCAAGCCTCATTAGTCAGGGGCAAGGTGAAGTTCTGACTTCCACCAGGAAGGCATTTGGAGCTCAGCTGACCTCCCAGGGCTGCACTGAGGAGCACATGGGGGCAAAAATGTGTGTGAAAGAGAAGGCCCTGTGCAGCACACTGAAGGATTATTACTGCCTTTCACTCCCCAGTGTCCCATCCATGAAAACCTTCTCCTCCCTGCAGCCTTCAAAAGTCTCACATTCTCAAAAAAAACCTTTTAAAAAATCATGTATATTCTTTTATAAAAAACTAATTATAAAAATAAGACAATACATTTTTTTGAAGGTGGCAACGTCACTCAAAAAAATAAACCAAGGATACAAGTGGGCAATTGTAGGATAACGATGGCCAATGAACAAATGAAAATAAGCGAAATCTAAGTGAAGTAAAAAGTAAAAAGCGTGAGATCGTGCCCTGTGTGGCACATTGGGAAAAACATAAAGACTGATGATATCCAAATTTGGCGAGGTTATAGGGAAACAGGAGCTCTCTCATCCCGTTGGTGGGTGCATAAGGTGCTTTCAAACATCATAGAAACAAATTTGGAAGTCTTCATTAACATCTAAAAAGAGCACATCCTCTGACTCAGAAGTTGTCCTTCTGGGAATTGATTCTGCAGAAATAAAAGCACCAGAATGTACAGTGAAACATAAATGATGTTCACTGCAGCCTTCTTAAAAAATACTGGAATCAACCTAATGCCCATCAAAAGGACATAACTGAATAAATATGATTTTTCCATAGAATGGATGCTGCATTAGAGACCAGAGGTAAAACTACACGAACTGACCTGAAAGGAGGAACTTGATACAGTATCAAGCCAACTGCAATGATCCAACAATGAAAATTGCCCACCACAATTCTGTAAAAATTGCATATGCACTTATGCATGTAAATGTGGATGTGTGTTTTAAACTCAGGAAAACATTGGGAAAGACATATACCAAATTGTCCACAATGGTAGCATCTGGTGTTGTAATCAAACTGCCAAGACAGGTTGTGGAGGACATTAATGTCCTCTTTTATAGCTCTATAACATTTTTTTTTCTTTGAGACAGAGTCTTGCTCTCTTGCCCAGGCTGGAGTGCAATGGTGCTATCTCAGCTCACTGCTGCCTCTGCCTCCCGGGTTCAAGCGATTCTCATGCCTCAGCTTCCTGAGTAGCTGGGATTATATGCACCCGCCACCACGTCCAGCTAATTTTTGTATTTTTAGTAGAGATGGGGTTTCACCACGTTGGCCAGGCTGGTCTCGAACTCCTGACCTCGTGGTCCACCCACCTTGGCCTCCCAAAGTGCTAGGATTACAGGTGTGAGCCACCGTGCCCAGCCATATCTCCATAACTTTAAGGGGTAGAATTATGGTTGATTTTCACTTGTGTCTTTTAGCTTTTTTTTTTTTTTTAAACAAATTTTGAAAGCATATGCTTGTTGTAGAGCAGCTGGGAAATCGTGAGAAGTGTTTTTCTCATTTTTGTCTTTTGTCTCTTCTCTTAGGATTGCCTTCTGTCACGTAAAACCTCATGTCTCCACCTTTGTGGGACCCAGCACTGTGACTGGGAAGTGAAGTCTGGGGTACAGCAAGCATAGAGAATCCTTGGACATTATGGGTGGAATGGAACCCCTCAACTAGTTTAAATGAATGAAAACTGAGTCACACATTTTGTTTTCCACATGCGGACACTGAGACCCAGGGCGAAGGCAGGGCTTGGAAGATGTTGTTATTCAAGCAGGCCAGGAGCTATTTACGAGGAGAATGACCCCTCAGAAGTTTGTGTGCGTGTGTGTGTGTGTGTGTGTGTGTGTGCGCGCGCGTGTGGTTTTGACCAAAGCAGCAGCTGACCAAGGCCAAAACCAAACATCCGCAATGAGGAAAAATAAGCACAAGTCTTGAGTGGGTCCCGGGGGTCTCCCCAGCCAGGTTCACTGCCAATCACTGAACTCCTTTTCTTTGCCATCAGGCACCCCATCCCCATTATTCTTGTCCTTCTTCTATCCTGTGAGGTACATTCTATTTTTCCCATTTCACCAATGAGGAAAATGAGGCTCAGAGTAGGTAACCCCGTTGGGGAAGGTCACACAGCATATACATAGCAGAGGCAATTCTGAATCCAGTTATGTATGTTTAATGCTGACACATAGCTTCTGAAGAAAAGCTACTTCCCTGTCTCTAAGGCCTTTTTCTAGAGCATTTGTAGAAAAGAGTAGTGCTTGAAAAGATGCCAAGGAATGGCTGGTGAGGATTCTGGGGCTGTTTCAGTGTGTAGGCAGGGGAGGAACTTAGGATTCTACGTGACTAGGAAGGGTGACTGGGCCAGACTCAGCCTTCCTTGAGCCTCTGGTTGCTCATGAACGAATCCGGCTTCCTCAAAGTCTGCCTCCAGAGCAATAACAAAAGCAGCTCTTGCTAACTCAGTGGCTGGGGCCGCTGTGGGCATATCCCCGTATCTGGGCACAAGCTTTGCTCATTCATTCCATTTTTCTCATCTGTTGAAAAGTACCTGATCGGTAAGCTTCTGTTTTGAAAATAAACACCCTTTTGGATTCCACCCTTTCTAGGCCAATCCCTTCAGCCTTTACTGATGCTTGTATCTCTCCCCTCTGCCCTCTCCTTCTGGGAAGGTATTTTTCTTTCATTCTTTTGGGATTTGGCTGACAATCGATTTCTCCATGCTGGTAGAGTCATGGGGAAAGGCAAAGACCTCATTCAGGAGGGGATGGAAGGGAGGAGAGGGTAGAAAAAGGTGAGAAGGAGGCTCTGCTTCTTTATCTGGAACCTGTTTTTCATCTCTCTTTGTCTTGCCAGGTCCTCAGCTTCTTGTCTACAATGACGAAGTGTATTTTTTTCAACAGCTGGAATGAGAAATGACTAAATCATCTTGGATCCTTGGATCAGATTACTGAAGGGAAAGGAGCTCATTTATCTAAAAGCCAAACCAAATACGTGTAGACACCTACGTAGTTAAATCACAGCAGCTCTAGGTAGTTAAAACAGCAGAAAGCCCCCACGCAGATCTGCTGAAAGTATCTCCCTTCACCTACCCACCTTTGGTAGCTGATATTCTATTCTTAGAGAGTCATTTGCTTAACTACTGTACCCGTTAAAATGCACATAGGTATAACAGTGCTTTACATTTGCATAGGATGACAGGGTGCTTGAAATTTTTTTCCTATGTCCTTCTATTCACTCATTCAAATAAATTCTATGAGCACCTATTGTGTGCCAGAACTGAGCAATATGCTGGTGCTACAATGGCAAGCAAGAAAGATATGCCATGTTGTGCTGTGAGAGCACAATGATAGGTTAACTAACTAGACTTGGGACTACACGCTAGGCCCTTGACTCCTGATCCAGCGCTGCTTTCATCCAACTACCTGTCACACTAATGTTAGGGTGGGAGAAGACACTGTGTTTTAGCATCATCCTTGCCTTGGTGCAAATCAGTCCACTGGTTCATTTCTATGTGATAACCATCTGAGAGCAGGGATGAACATGGAGATGGAGAGGGAGGTCCCATGGGGGTGTGGGAGCACTGAAGGGTCATCCATGGGATTCCAGGGTGCATAAGGGAGATCCTAGGAGGAGGACCCAGGATGAAAATAGGATGAAACAATGTACACACACCTTCTTTCCTTCATGGTGTCCCTTAGCAAGTATTTTAATCATCTCTGGCTGACTTCCTCTCCAATTTCAGATGGTACTTCTTGTTAAACTCTCTCCCAAGCTCCTTATGTCTTCAAAACATCTCTCACTTTCATTAGAGATCTCACTTTCCCTTAAGAGAAAGTCAAGTCCATTTAGCATGTGCCTCACTGATGACACCTTTCCTCCCCTAGTAATATCCCTGTCTCCCCACTTTTCCACTTGGTGGTGGGGCAGGTACTTTTATGGGCCAATGAATTCCTCCTTATACTTCTCCCATTTCCTCCAGGGCCAAATATCTGAATCCTCTTGCTTTTGTATCTGAAGACTCAACCTCTTCTGGCTCCCTCCTCTTGGTCCACAAAGAGGCCCCATTCTCCCCTGTCTAAAAACTCTTTCTACTCTGGAGCCACCTCTTTCTCATTCCTCCATGTCTGTGGCCTTCACCCCTTCTTCTCTCAAGTATTCCTCGACTCTCCATCTTTTACCATCACAGTGATACTGTGTCAGATGCCAGCATTGACCCTTCAGTGCCAGAAGTTACGGTCCTGCCCAGCCTTCTTCATCCTCACCCTCACTTTCATGCTCAAAGCAGTGACCTTCCTCCTGTGCCTGGAACTGTCTCCCTCTTTTACTTCTGTGACACAACACTCAGATTTTTCCCCACCCTTGCTGTTGGCACCTTTTTTCCTCCTGTATTGTCTTCTTTGAGTTCCTTACTTATATATGCAAATGACTACAGAAAGAAGAGTTGGTAAAGAGATGGCAGATACATGTTCAAGGAAAGACAGAAGAACATCAAAGTGTGCGGTGTCCTAAAGTATCTTTAGGATGGAGATAGATGGCAACAGGATTACATGACTCAGAATAACACTGTTTAACTTTTTAGAAGACAAATCTAGGCCTGAAAACACAATTGCCTGAATGAACTGGGCTTTTGTGGTTTGCTGCCTATAACAGAATTTTGCTAAGAAAGAATCTCCTAGTGGCTGAAAGTGCCCAAATAGAAACTGGGAGATTATAGAGCAGGTAGTTTTATTGTTATTATTATTATTATTATTTGAGATGGAGTCTTGATCTGTCACCCAGGATGGAGTATAGTGGCGCGATTTTGACTCACTGCAACCTCCGCACCCTGGGTTCATGTGATTCTCCTGTCTCAGCCTCCCAAGTAGCTGGGACTACAGGCATTGTGCCACCACACATGGTTAATTTTTTGCATTTTTAGTAGAGATGGGGTTTTACCATTTTGGCCGAGCTGGTCTCAAACTCCTTACCTCAGGCGTTCCACTGACCTTGGCCTCCTAAAGTGCTAGGATTACAGGCATGAGCCACTGCGCCTGGCCAGTCAGGTAGTTACAGATAACTCTGCTTCTTCTTGAGTTCTTTGATTACATGATAACCTTTCTCAGTCTTTTTCAAAACCCCAACTGTCACCACCACCAGCATTATCCTCATCACCATCACCATCAACACTCTTACCACTACCCTCCCCCCACCATAATCATCCTCATCTTCACCACCATAATTCCCACCACTACCTTCATCATCACTGTCAAATGCCATTGAATGGTCCCCTACTAAGAACCAGGTTCTGTGCTGAGCCCTTCATATATATTCTCTCTCTTCATGTTCATATCAACTCTGAAAAGTCAGTTTATAATTTCAGTTTTATAGATGAGAAAACCAAAACTCAGAAAGGTTCATTAACTTGCTTAGAAGGACCCAGCAGTTTAAAATGTGTTCCCTACTAATATACACAAGAGAGTTTATTAATCCAAAATCAAGATATCTGTTTAAATGTCAACCAAAAGATTGAGGTAAAAAAGACATTGATATGACTTGCTTATCTTTAACAGGAGACACTGAAACTAAATAGTGGTTTAATAGCTTCTCCTCAGCATTCTGTCTCCTAATGGACTTTGCAGGACTATTTTAGGTTGAAATTTTTCCTGTCCAGTACCAAAGCTCTTCAAAGATTCTATTCCCATCCCTTACCCTTTTGGGAGACGGTCAGGGAGAGAGAGGGAGGTGTAAAATCCCTCTTACAAATCCTTTTCCAAAAATCTTTGGCTGAACAAAGACTTTCCCATTTAAGAGCAGGTGACAGAAAGATTTCTCCCATAGGCAGCGCATTAAGGCTCTCTGCAGAAGTAAACAAATCTGTTATGATGAAAGCCGGACATTCCTCAGAGCCAGGATCTAATGAAAATGTCAGTGTTTTATGCAGTTTAAAAACTGACAATTCAACAGTTTTACAGGAGCTATTTAATGTTTATCATCACTTACAAGGGCTCAAATGCAGACAAAGGGAAGGGCAACTAAAGAAACCAAGTGGATCTTTGCTTGGAAGCCGCCATGTTATCTATAAACCATGAGAGTATGGCAGTTTATAAATTACCAGGCAGCCTCAGGCAATAAAGTGTAGGTCTTAGCAAATGAAAGTTGGAAATCCACACTCCAAGATACAATCATCATAGTGACCATGCTCTGCACTTTCATTTACACCTCACCCCATTAAAGACCCAACCACTGGGGAGTGAGGATACTAGAGAAAGCCCTTAAACTAACCTAAGGTGATCCATTAAAAGCTTCTGAGTTCTTGCCAAATTGTGCTTTAGATACTATCAAAACCACTAAGAACAGAGAAATAGAATATGTAACTCCCAAACCAGTAGGGGGAAAATAGAAATAAAGAAAGCACAGTCAATTCAAATAGGACATTAAAGGAGAGGAGGGGAAAAAAGGAGAAGGGAACAAAAGAACCATAATAAGAGAACATGCGAAATAAGAAGAGTAGGTCCAAATAGATTAGTTACAATAAATACAAATAGCTTAAATTCACCCATTAAAAGACAGAGATGCTGGGTGTGATTGCTCACATCTATAATCCCAGCACTTTGGGAAGCAGAGGCAGGAGGATTGCTTGAGCCCAGGAGTTCAAGACCAGCCTGGGCAACATAGTGAGACCCCATCTCTACAGAAAACAAAATTAGCTTGGCATGGTGACATATGCCTGTGGTCCCAGCAACTTGGGAGGCTGAGGTTAGAGGATCACTTGAGCCCAGGAGTTCAAGGTTACAGCGAGCTGTGATTATGCCATGCACTCCAGCCAGGGTTATTGAGCAAGATCCTGTCTCTGAAAATAAAATAAAGTCAGTAAAAAAATTAAATCTAGTTTTATGTTGCTTTTAAAATGGAAAATGGACCAGTGACACACAAAGGCTAAAAATAAAAGGTTGGAAGAAATATGCACTTGCACACAGGAACAGAAATGTAAAGGCAAGAGCATTAGTACAGATGAAGAAGATTATTAATGAAAGATAAGAACAACCTACCAGGAGCTATAACATTAGATGATGACATTTTATACAATTAAAAGTATATCCTAGATAGAGAGAAAACAAAAAATGACTGAATCCATAATGATTATGAGGATTTTAATGCTTATCTCTCAGAAACTGAGCAGTTACCAGCTAAAACATTAATAGAGATTTAGAAGATTTATTAGATAACTTATAAGCTTCATCTAAAGAATATACAAAGAACATGCACCCAAAGAGAGAATTCTCTTCAAGTACATATGAAATATTTATAAAAAAATTGAACATGTGCTTGGTTACTTAGAAATCTGAATAAAATACAAGAAGCATTATTATGTACTTGATATCTGCACTTCTGTGTTAAAAGAAGAATGATTTGGCCGGGCGCGGTGGCTCACGCCTGTAATCCCAGCACTTTGGGAGGCCGAGGTGGGCGGATCACGAGGTCAGGAGATCGAGACCATCCTGACTAACATGGTGAAACCCCATCTCTACAAAAAATACAAAAAATTAGCCGGGTGTGGTGGCAGGTGCCTATAGTTCCAGCCACTTGAGAGGCTGAGGCAGGAGAACGGCATGAACCCAGGAGGTGGAGCTTGCAGTGAGCCCAGACCGCGCCACTGCACTCCAGCCTGGGTGACAGAGTGAGACTCCAACTCAAAAAAAAAAAAAAAATGATTTTAGAACCTTACACATCAAGGCCAATCCACCCAGTTTCCACCCAGCCTAGAAAATAGTCCTCATTTTCTGAGGCTTGTCTTGGTGTTACCTCCTCAGAAAAATCTTCTCGGGTCACCTTAAGTCCGGTAGTTCTTCTCATTCCCAGTGACTCCTTAATAACTCTACTGTACTTTTCTTCATGCAACTTACTAGTTTCTGAAGTCATCCTATTTGTTACTAGTTCACTGCCTTCCTGGCCCCACCCTTTGAAATATAATGTATTTGCAACATCTAGCTCCTGGAATGGAGCCTGGAACAGAGTAGGCATCAATGAACATGTGCTGATGAAAGCCTGACTTGGCACCCTACAGTGACCCTAGCCCTTCATAGAGATATAGACCTTGCCCCTAGAATAGATCACATTACATCAGGATTACTTGTGTTACAATCTCAGTAAGAGTTAGTGAGTTTGTCATCATATCCACTTACATAATAGACGGTAAATAAATGACTAAACTATGTCCTTCCCCATGCACCAAAAGAAGCCACACCTTGGGAAGCCACATCGCCTGCTTACAGCCACATCTTGCTAACGACAGAGCCTGATTTCTGACTGCGAGCATTACTCTGCTCCTCCACATGGCCTCCATGTCCCCTGCAACACAACCTATTATGCGTGGAGGCTGCAAGGACAGAGAAGACAACTTGCAAATGTCTTTTTCAGCAAATTCAGTGTTTCTGTTACTATTATATAGATACTAGCTTTTGCCAAATCTATTAAAATTGACTCAAATTATCATTTCTTATAATAACTGCATGTCTGCATAAGGACTGCATTGTCCAATTAAAGAAACAAAGAAAATAATAGTTCATTGACTCAAAATCAGCTGTGTGGCCATATTATCAGCCCAATAGTTAAAGAAGGAGGAATCACTGTGTGACCTTGGACAAGTTGCTTAATGGCTGAATTCTCAAGTTTCCACATCCATGAAATGCTCATAACATTAGTGCTGACTATGCAGGCTGCTATGAAGACTAATTAGATTACTCCATTAAAGCACTGAACATAGTACATGTGTCCCAATGAGCTCGATAAATGTCACTAGCATTTCAGACACCTGCATAGTCAACTTGATTCTTTTGCACTGCTTTGCAAGCTTTGCTCGAGAAACTGGTTTTTGATCACCTGCCTTCCATAGCCCTTCCAGAGATGCACCACTGTTATGGAATGAATCTTAATGTTCCTTTGAATCTGATTAAATCCATTCCTCCCTGTTACAGTGGACCTAGAAAAATCCTGGCCAATGCCAGATGTATTTGTTGGATGGCCTTTTTACCGAAGATTTCAGGAAGATGGGGCTGCTGTAGGGGCAGTCAAGATCACAGCATTGATTAACAAAGGGGCAGATTGTCTGGGGAACATTCTTCTTTGACCTAACCCTTCTTCCTCAGAAGGAGCTATGCTAGAATAGAAAGTTTCCACCACAGACATCTGCTTGCCAGATCTGTCCCAACACTGTAGCCACTGGTGAGAGCCATCAGGCAGTACAGATTTTCCCTTGGATTGGCAGCTACTTGAAGAAGGGCACAAGTAGGCTTCAAATTTATCATGGAAGACAGGAGCAGTACAATTTTGGCAAGGACTCCCTTCAAACATCAAAAACTTTTGCAGACTCCTCCACCTAAGTGTAATTTTATTTCTCTTCAAATAAATGGCTGTTGAATAAATGACTAATAACTATAACCTCCCCTGTGTGCCAGAAGAAGCCTGACACCTTGGGAAGCCACGTTGCCTGCTTACAGCCACATCTTGCTATGGACTGAGCCTGATTCCTGACTGTAAGCACTACTCTGCTCCTCCACGTCCCCTGCAACACATCCTATGAAGCATGGAGACTGCAAAGGAAGACAGAGAAGACAACTTGATACCTGATGATCGACAGCTACTAGGAATTCAGTAATGTTCTGAAATGCTAATGTATTTAAATTAAGTAATGTTTTTAAATTTTAGAACTCATAATAGTGTCTATGCACACACCAGAGAAATTATCACACATGTATTTATGAGGCATTCTATTCTGGATCATGGTTCATTATGTGTGTGTGTTTGTGTTTTTGCAGATTTGAGGACTCCCAAAGGTCCTTAGTCCACAGATAAGGAGATAAGTCATGGAAAATGTAGAACTTGTTCCTTTTAAACTGGAGTTTTTAAACTTCAGCACTAAATCAATAGTGCTATGCTATAGAAAAGGAAGAGTGACTACAGTCATCTATAGTAAGAAATTCTCAGTTGGAATATTCATGCTCAATATGTGTAACATTTTGATCAGGTTGAAGATAATGACAATTTTTTCTACCAAATTATTTATTTTCACCTCAAGGTTGATCTTTAAAATTGAGTCTTGTGGATGAATAACGCCTTGGACTGGTAGAAGATCCAAGTTCTACTTTCATTTTCACCAGGAACTAACAACATAACCTTTGACAAATCATATCGCTCTCTGGGCCTCAGTTTCCTATCAGTGAAAAAGCTCATGTGAGGCACCGAGGCAGAAGACTATAGACAGGACAGAAAATGGAAGGGAATTGACCACCCAGCAAAAATGCAGTAATGGAATCAAAGCCAGCATTAGAAGTAGCAAGGAGCTGAATCACTGCTCTAGAAAATATCATCAGAAAAATAGGCTGTAATCTTGTGAAGTTATCCCAGAATATAGAGATGTAATCTGTAAGGGACAACATGATAGATATGGGAATTACATAGTGAGAACCTGAGGATAATAGATGCTCTAGAAAAAAAGACCAAAAACTAAGAAAGGGAGCAATAAATTAATGCAATGAAACACATATATGGCAGGTTAAAAGGGCTTACCAGAAAAATGTAAAAGAGGTAAGCAGTAGAAATAATCTGGCACAATTGTTGACTTGTTGATGTAAAGAAAAAACAATCTATAAGGATCTGGAAAGAAAATAACAGGCTGTCTTTAAGAGCACACATCAAGATGGGCCTCAAGAAGTACCCACCCATAGAAGTACCTCTCTGTCATCGTGCAGAAGATGGGGGAAACATTCACGTCTGCCATCTTCTCCCCACCACTCAAGTCCCATTTTTTGTTGATTTATTTGGATTTTCAGATCAAGACATTATTTCTGGTTTTTGCATTATACCCCTTTGAAAAGCCTCTTTTGACATGTGTGCTCTTCACTGATTCCAGTATATGACAGTGGCTTGTGATGCTCAACACCAATTCAGGAAGAGGAATAGAAGCCTAGAAGAGTGCTGTTGGGGGCAGAACACTTGTCCCAGAGAGCAGGGGAGCTCTGCACAAGCTTCAGTGCAGGCCTTTGGAAGTTGTCTGTGTGGACACGGCCTCTGCGCCTCACCTAGAGCCATTAAGTCAGAATCCCTAATGCAGTGCCTGGGCAAGTACCCACGTGGTTCTTATTGGCAGCCTGGGTGATGAGCTGCTGATGTCGCTCCTACTGGCCCTGCCATGTGGCATCTGGATGAGGAGCTGGGGAGGCAAATCTGGGCATCATTAATACCTGCTGCTGGCCATGGCAAGCTCGCCACAGGCCCTCTTCTGCAGTGCCAAAGCAGGTTCGCACACCATGCGGACGGGGGCTGGGGGTAACACAAACGAAGGAAGTGAGGCAGATGTGAGGAAGGCCACATTGGTGACCAGTAAACTGGAGAGGGCTGGCTGGACAAAGGAGATTGCTGGGGCAATCTCGTGGGAATATAGCTCGCTATAACCAGATCATCTGTTTTTTTCCAAAAACCCAGAAAGCCAGAATCGTATATTATATTTTCCGGTTTTTGGAACACTCTGAGCCAAACAAAATGCCATCTAGGCAGAACTGGCTTATAAGCTCCATATGTGACTCCAGGCTTAAATTCTTCATGTCCACAGAAATTGCCCTTTTATTTTAATCAAAAAAGTCCTCCTCAGAAACAGGTCAGGCCTTTCTCAGCAAGTAGAAACCTAGGTGCTCCAAATGACTATCTTCATTAATTTGTTAATTGTTTAAAAAGCTACTCAGACTGCCCTGAAGTTCAGCTGCTCCCTGTCATTTCACATTCACACTGGTTGTGTGCAAACAACCAGCGAGCTGTCCTTCGGCACTGTAAAATGCCACGAGTCCAGGAAACAAGTGCTTCCTGCCTATGGGAGAGCTCTGCCCCTCTGAAGAGAAGCAGACACATTCAGAGCTGGTAGCCTGGACTATCACTCCTAAATAAGAGAAGGATAAAGAGCCGGGGAGCCGGGTGCGGTGGTTTATGTCTGTAAGCACTTTGGGAGGCTGAGGCAAGAGAATCCCTTGAACACAGGAGGTCGAGGCTGCAGTGAGCCATGTTCACACCACTGCACTCTAGACTGGGCTACACAGTGAGTCAGATCCTATCTCAAACAACAAACAAACAAATATTCGGGCCTCTGGAAAAGTCCATCGGACAGGAACACAAAGGGATCCAGATGCCAGAGTAAGTACTCCACTTCCTTTTTAATAACCAGCATCCACTGGGAACTTCCCATGAGCCGGGCTTTGTGTTTTGGCTGCACAGTGAAACAGTAAGTCCTCAATAACTATTTCTGAATGGGTGGATGGATAAATGAATGAATCAGGTATCTCTTCTATTTCACATTCCTGAAATTGAACCTTAGCATTGTGAGGGCACTTAGATTTGCAAAATCTCTTCCTTCCTTTGTCAACAATTTTCAAGAGCCAGATCTGTGCAAAGTCAGTGTGTGAGAGACTGAGAAAACAACAAAGAATCTGCCGTCAAACTGCGTCCTGGACAGAAGGACATGTGAGACCTGTGAAAGATGCCTCTGGATCCAGAGGGCAGTGAGAGAAGGCAGTTCTCTGGGAAGATTCCTGAAGATGCTCACAACCCTTCCCTAAAAGCCATACAAATCCCTCCATGGAATAGTGAATGTCCACTGCAGGCAGCTTTGCTCTCAAGGAGGAGACCAGCAGAGGCTGCCCTGAAAAGGAGGTATCTCAGACAGAGGCACCATAAGAGTTGGAGGAACCAGGAAAACAACCAAAAACAGGTACCACGGTGCTGATGTCATGCTAGGACAGTGCATCTACTATTAGTGGACACTTGGAAATCTCAGTCTCTGCAGGAGAAGCGCTCTGCCGCTGGGGTTCACTCTGTGGCAGTGTTGCTCAGGAGGTTCTCTGCTGTGTAGCCTCTGTGGGCAGAACCCTAGCTATTGTGGGACATGATGCCAGCTCCCCGGGGACATTTTCCCTTGCCCCCCTTCCCATGCTACCACAACCTAACACAACCTAACACCTAAGCCATCAGATGTTCATTCACCCCCCCAATGAACGCCTGATCATCTTTCATTTCATGGTCTTAACCTCATGTCTCTCCTTGCCAGCTCCAGAGAGGACTTGTTTACCTCTTCTATGCTGTGCTAGTTTCTGTACTCATCCTTCAGAGTGTGTTTCAAAGTGTGAAAATGTAGCTATTTGCTAAATCCTGCCCAGCCTCTGGCTGTGGGTTCTCAGAGGGTGGGACAGGGCATGCCTGTCTTGTCCCTACTCACAAGAGAAGACCGAGCATCTCCTTAACAATAAGAAGGGCTCCCTCATATATCCACAGAGCTTAAGGTAGTAAGGATATTCTTACTCCTCATGCTGGGATATCTTTACCAGGTAAGGAGAAGCTGGGAGACCTTAAGAAGCATTTCCCCCTTCCCTACCTCCATGACTTCTCTGTTCTACAGATCTCAAATGAAAGGCTTCCTAATGAGCAAATAATGTCTAAAACCAGAGATACTATGTTTATAAAATAATAGCCTGTTATTGTGAAACTTAGAGCTAGAGATAGTCAAAACAAAAATAAGACAAAAAGTCCAAAAACCATTGCCCTTGTTCTTGGATCCAGAAGTCCTAAATTTTTAAGAAGCCGCAGCCGGGTGCGGTGGCTCACGCCTGTAATCCCAGCACTTTGGGAGGCCGAGGCAGGCGGATCACAAGGTCAGGAGATTGAGACCATCCTGGCTAACATGGTGAAAACCCATCTGTACTAAAAATACAAAAAATTAGCCAGGCGTGGTGGTGGACGCCTGTAGTCCCAGCTACTCGGGAGGCTGAGGCAGGAGAACTGCGTGAACCCCATCTTACTGCAAGCAGGTGGAGCTTGCAGTGAGCTGAGATAGTGCCACTGCACTCCAGCCTGGGTGACGGAGTGAGACTCTGTCTCAAAAAAAAAAAAAAAAAAAGCCCTTTGCCTCAAATCCAATTCATTTTTTGAAACAAATCATATTTGAAATGTGTGTTTCTCCCTGTCTCATTATGAAGAAAATCCTGAGATACAGTATTTTCACATTCCATAAAAATCTGAACAGCTGCTTTATACACAAATCACACGGTATACATGATATCCCAAAGATCAAAACTGGCATTCATAGATAATCTTTTAAAAAGACAAAATCCAATGAATATGGTCACCATCCTTTCTAAAACTTGAATAAAGACAGTAAAAATAATTCACTGACTCCATCAATATTCTTGTGCAAAACAGATGATTTCACCCCCCCCAGCATGTCTCTCCGGCCACGTTTATTCAGTTCCCACTGTGCCTGCCAGGCTGACTCTCAGAGAGAGAAAGCAATGAAAATATATTACACTAAGATGAAACTAAACGACTTTAATATTTCCTTAATGATTCAACAAATCCTTTCAGACTTTGCTAGCATTGTGAGGGCATTTGGATTTGCAGAATCTCTTCTTTCATTTGTCCACGATTTTTGAGGGCCAGATCTGTGTGAAGTCAGTGTGTGAGGGATGAAGAAAACAACCGAGACCCTCCCCTCAAACTGTGTCCTAGGCAGAAGGACACCTGAGACGTGTGAAAGGCTTAAAGGTGAGGCCATTAATATTGATTATGCTATTAATATATTACACATCTATATATATAAATATCAATAATATTAACCAGTGGAGAGAGTAGCTTAGGAATATTTTATAATGTGAAAAAAATACTTCAGTGTCCAAGTCTCTTATTTAACCTTTACAATTCTCTCTACCCTACTTCCCTTTTCTCTATGTTCCTGCTGACACTACACTCAGCAGGCATGTCTGAGGATGAGAAAGAAGGCCAGTGCAGCATGGCACGGCACTGGGGGAGGGAGAGAACAGCAACAGATGAGGTTGGGAAGGTAGTCAGGGGACAGAGCATGCCAGGCCTTGTAGGCTTGAGCTAAGCATTTACGTTTATTACAAGTACAAAGGGGACTGCCTGGAGGGATTTAAGAAGGGAGTGTATGATGTAATCTACATTTTGTAAAGATCACTCTGCCAACTTGCCTGATGAATTTATGCCTTATGCCCTTGATCAGATCACAAGGAGCTGGATGGTAGGGCCATACGTAGTTACTCTCCCTTTAATACCCCCACATCATGGACTGGTAGAATGTTAAACCAGTGGCTCTCAAACTTTCCTGTGTATCAGGATCATCCAGAGGCCCATTTAAACACATCTTGTTGGACTCCATCTACAGAGATTCTGATTCGGTAGGTCTGGGCAAAACCTGAGAATTTACATTACTAAGAAGTCCCCAGGTGATGCGAGGATGCCAGTGGCTCTTCAAGGCACTGCACTTAGAGAACCTGTTTAAATCTGTTTGCAGAATAAATCAATCAGTGAAGAAACATGCAAATTTTTTTTTTTTTTTAGTTGGTTATTTGTTTTTGAGACGGTCTCACTCTGTCGCCCATGCTGGGCTGCAGTGGCATGATCATGGCTCAGTGCAGCCTTGAACTTCTGGGCTCAAGGGATCCTACAGACTCAGCCTCCTAATTAGCTGGAACTACAGGCATGCACCACCATGCCTAGCCAATTATTTTATTCTTTTGTTGCCCAGGCTGGTCTCCAACTCCTGGCCTCAAGTGATCCTCCCACCTCAGCCTCCCCAGTCACTGGGATTACAGACATCAGCCACCATGACTGGTGAAAATATTTTTAAAACAAACAACAGAAATAATCAGTGGTTTGAATTTTATGTAAAATACAATCATTCATTCTTTTTCTTTTTAAGAATTATTCTTTTCAATCTATAATGTGATGATAACAAAAGGACTAATCATTGCATACGGAAGTACTCTGAAAGGAAATAGATCATTGTGATTAGGCAAGATGAGACACTTCAGAGGCTGTACTGCCAAGTTTAATTATAAAATTAAGTGTCATTCAAAGAAATTTTTATTGCAAAAGTATGTGATTTACTTCTGTAGGCAGTTATTACAATACTGCCTCAATCCAGAAGGAATATGAGATGGTGAGGCATCTCTTGGTTCAATTCCAAAACTGAAAATTAAACTACAATTTCCTTAGAACTCAGGAATAAAACTCATCATGGCTCATTCTGTTTGGTTCAAAGTGTACAACATTGATGAACATATCTACTGTAAAAGCAAGTAGATTCAAACTCTCTTCCTAGGAGGAACCCCCAAAGATTCCAACTTAGGTACTTATTATGCCAAAGCAAAAATGCAACTCAAGAATGCAGAGTAAATACAGACTCAGAGCCAACAGATGAGAATAAAAGTCAGACCCAGGAGAGTTGAGTACAGACGGTTGCACAAGAAGCATAAGGCCAATGCCCTATGGTCTCTGTGGGTTTATTCTTTTCTGCCACATGTGAGGCTTCGGTTTCCATGTACCAATGTCCATCTACTCAGAAATCATGATTGCAGGCCAATCAACAACAGATAGTCCAAACTCCGTGATGGCTTGGGGTTTAGGGGTTCAGTAGGAAGCTCTCTGGCCTGAAGCCTGAAAAGTCACAGGTTCATATTCTGCTTAGGGAAGGAGCTGGTTAGGTATATCCAAAATCATATAGGGCTAGTGAAATCTCATCTATTCATTCAGTAGTTACTCTGGATCTCATGGTCTAAGAAGTCAACTGGGCTGGGCTAGGGGGTAGAGGAAGATTCAAAACATCAAAAGCCACAAAATCAAAACAAGAAAAAGTGTTGAAAATCATAGGCCTTGGAAAGCAAATAGTAAATGTAATAGTCATTAAGTAGCAACCAATGACCAACCTTCCTCTCTGTCCATGTAGCAAGATCCAAACAACACTGTGTGGCCACCATGAGGCTGACACAACAATTTACATCATGTGGATGATGGACCTAGATTATTGTTCTACACTGGTGGGAATCATGGAACAGTCTGGCTGTGAATTAAATACAAAAATAGCAACTCCTACACTCTAGCAAAATGTAAAGTACATGTGAGCCCCCAAATCCAAGCTCATTATGCAGAGTCTCTCTGAAACCCAGCACCCAGCATTTGCCGTTACCCACCTCCAAAAGGGTAAAAGTAAACATTGGACCTGCTCTGGTGTTAAACTGCCACCGGATCCTCCCCGCTGTCTCCCTCCTCCTCTTCTTCTTTACAGACAGGTAATGTTGGATCTCGAAGGAACTGGGGGCTCCCACTCTAGGCAAAGGTTGGACAGGTGATCAATGTACAGCATGAGATTTGGCTGTGCCTACGTGCCTCCGACAGAGCTGGATCATCTGGGACAATGAAAATTATGAAAATTATAAGCAACAAGAAAGCAGTATTAACAGCAAGGGCAGGGAAACCAGGACAGCACATACCACAGTTCCTAGGACACCCAGCAACCATTCCTCTCCTCATTCAGTCATTCTACACACATTCATTAAGCATGGTGCCAGGCTCTGGAGATATCGTAGTGACAAATAGGAACACAGACCCTGCCCCCATGGAGCTTATGGGGTATGTGGGAGAAAGACCAGACAGGCAGTTACAGGACAGCGGGTAAGGAAACCTAGAGGGTGCCATGGAGCACAAAGCAAAGGCAGCCAACCCAGACTGGGGGTGAGTGGTCAGGGAAGGCTTCCTGGGAAGAAGTGACATGTAACGCTGAGCCTGGAGAACCCATGGAGTTAGCCAGCCAAGACTGGGGTGGGTCAGCACGTGCGAGATTCCTGAGAATCTTTGGCTGGTCCGAAGGGCTGAAAGTCCTTTGTTCTCAGCCATTCTGCAGCCTGTAATCCTACATCCAACCAGAGCACCCAGATTTGGAGTCTGCAGCCCTGATTACAGGAGGAACTGGTGCTCCTCCAATGCCCACAATCCAGTTGCATTTTGACTTCTGCCAGTGGGATCTCAGGAAACTAAAGAACTTAGAAAATAGTGTGTTTTTTTTTTTTTTTTCTATAAGAAGAGAGAAAAAAAAAACAATAATGCAGAGTTGAACTGCTACGGAATAGACCCAATTGCAGCAATCCTTTCTGCACACCAGCATCGGGGTAAGGGAGATGCCATCCTCATGGAGACTGTTGAAACAGACAAGAAGGTGGATCACAGTTTGGTATCACAATACGGGAGCCCACTTTGCCCCTTCCTTTCCTCCAAGTCCCTGAGAAATTGCAGAGGGAGCGCTTTGTTCTTCTTACCCTTGGTGTTGACGTCTAAAAGGCTATCGCAGACATGATACCTCCCACTTGCCTGATGCAACTAGGGGAAACCAGATAGCTTATGAAGCCAATCTTGTCAGGAGCCTCCATGTGGGGGAAAAAAAAACAAAACAAAAAACCCCCTAAAGGCTGGGAAAGTCCCAGCAGCTTGAATATTGCCCAGGACTCTAGCTACCTTTGCATTACGAAAGAGACCACTGGAGAGGATGGCTTAAGACTGGGTAGTAAGCATGTGGTCATTTGACCAAAGACACGTAGTCCAAAGTAGCTTTCTGTTTTAATATTATCATATGATCCAAGTCCTACAAACAACATCCTTGACTGAAATCGAAAAGAAACAAAACCCTCACTTCTAAGAAGCAGAGCAAGCGGCGTTTTTAGAGACAAAGAAAGGATAGCTTCTTAACCTATGACAACACAAATTTGTTTAGGTTTTCCCTCCACCAAGTAAGTAAGCAATTAGGTTTTTTACAATAAAAATATCCCCGTGCATGTGCAAACACCAGAGGCAATCATATAATTACCCTGCCCAATCAGATTCAATTGCTGACAGTTGAGTTCCCACTGCTCATTAACTTCAGATCACAAAGAGGTCTTTAAGGAAGCCCTTTCCTTCTCTTTACAAAGGTTCCTATGATGCCGCGATCAGCCCCGGCACTACCTCATGCAAGATAATCATCCCCAAATCACCAGGGCCAAGGCCAGCCTCCTCTGGCTTCCTTCTGAAAAAATAAAATGAGAAATTCGAAGACACCTTGGCTTAAACACCCTTGCTTCATTTGGGGATCTCACTTCTAAATATAATAGTAACCTTTCACCCCCACATTTTAAGTGCCGTAATTACATAATTAAAACCAATTATGTCATTTAACAGAGACTTTGTCAAGATACGGCAAGCCAATTACCTCAATCATTGACCTCAGAGGATTTCCCACACTGACCTGAAACAGTGAGAATTGGGATAAATTTAGACACTGGCTTCCGAAGGCTGGCATGGACTAGCAGGGTGGGTTGTAACTGGTCTAGATTCTTTGAGACTTTAGAAGCTAAACTGAATTCATTCCCATCTACACCATCACTACTTGTTTGCACAATCCTTCCCATATCCCAAGATAATTGCTTGATTTTTTTATAACCACTCTGATGGAACGATTACTTCCATGTTGCAGACAGAAAAAGGAGGCAGGGAGAGTCCTAAAGTTATCTGAAGTCAAGCAGCTAGTGTTAACAGCAACGCTAGGGCAAGACCTAAGTCTTCCACCACAGAATTCAAAGTCTCCATGTAGCGAGTGGTGTGTGGGTGCCTCTCTTACCCCAATTTCCCTTTGAGGCAACACATTTGCCCCCACTTTTATTTAATTCACCTGCACGGCACAAGGTTCCACTGCAACTCAGGGGGTGTGTCCTAAATTAGGCCCCAGCCAATTAGCTTCCAGCATTCCTCCCCTAGCCACAGCATTGGTTCAGGATGAGCACATGATCCCATCAAAGCCAATGAGAGACACTGACACTTTTTGCAGGGCCTGTGCGATCTCTGCCTAACTGTGCTTGGAGTGACCGGAGGGAAGACTGGAAGTTAAGCAGCCATCATGCTCCACTGAGGAAGTGAGGGTGACTGGAGCCAAGAGATGTGGAGGGAGAAACTGGTTCCAGGAAACACCCTCTATTCCCTGTCGCTTCATGCTGCGAGTTACAGGGGTTATTCAAAAGCACACTGGAGAAAGCAGGAAGAGCGCCACCTACAGCTTGGGTAGGCTCCATTTCGAGGATGGAATCAATCCACTGTGGCTCCGAGGCCTGCCTCCTGCTTGCGACAGTTAAATGCCTTCGGTTTTTGAGTTATTTAAAGAACATACCATTTTATGGGCAGGAGGAAGCACTTTAATCTGCAAAATGATTTTTATCACAAACTAAACATCCTTGTAACTTTTTGGTCCTCTGCTTTGGTCAAAGTTGTCTCTCCTTGGAGCTCAGACAGCTGTTGGAGCTCAGAAGATCTGCCTCCACCCTGCACTTTGCCCTGCTCGCTGGTACTCTGGTGCTCTCCAATTCCTGGATCCATGTGGGATGTAAGAACTCAGGATCAGGACGCCTGCACGCATCAAAATGGGGCATTTTCTTTCTCTTTATCCCAGGACTTGAGAGAAAGCAAAAAACAAACAAACACAAACAAAAAAAAAAAAAAAAAAAACAAGAATTCCTCTAATTTAAGGTTTTTAACCTTGACACTTGAAGTTTTGGGCCAGACAATTATTTGTCATCAGGACTGCTTTGTGCAATGTAGGATATTCCTGGCCTCTACCCACTAGATGACCCATTAGCACCCCTCATTTGGGACAACCAAAAATGTCCGTGGACATTGACAAATAACCAGGGATGGGGGCCAAGATCCCCCCTCATTCCCCAGCTCCCCATTTCCTGGTTAAAAACCACTGCTGACAGCATCTTTAAAAACATAATTCCTTGTAGTATTATGTTGTGAGACTGAGAGAACCACCACCCTCCTTAGAACTTTACAAAAGCCATATAAAATATCCCCTGAGGAGAACTGACTTAAAGAAACTTCAAGATAGCAGCCTGCGCAACATAGTGAAATCCCATCTCTACGGAAAAACACACACACACACACACACACACACACACACACACACACACAAAGTAGCCAGGCATGGTGGCACGAACCTGTAGTACCAACTATCCGGAAGGCTGAGGCTGAGGTGGGAGGATTCCTTGAGCCTCGGAGGTCAAGGCTGCAGTGAGCCCTGATGGTGCCACTGCACTCCAGCTTGGCCGACAGAACGAGACCTTGACTCCAAAATAGCAATACTACTGTCTGTCAGGGCTATGAAGCCACATGAGACTTGACCCATTAAGGACAAGAGTGAAGAAAAATGTATCAAATAGAAATAATTTTATCTAAACACTGGCAAGAGGAAAAAGACATGGAGGAGAAACTTAGAAATGAAAAGCAGTGAGGCATCTATATGGTGAGTTCCAGCATGGGTGCTCAGCTTCTCACTTTCACAAGTAAGAAAATGGAACTTTAAGGTTATTGCTGGGTTTCCGGGATTCAAAACCCAAAGCTAAAAATGTGGAAGAGGTTGGTGTTATCAGAAATGATCTTTCCAGTAAACGCCTAAAACTCACTCACTCTGCAGAAAAAGCCAAAAATGGTAAAGCTTCACTTATTTGGACAAATGTGGGAGAAGTCATTTAAAATAAGCAAAATTGATGGATTTATAGAATATTTTTCAAGGGAAGGCATTTACTTGCTTTCAAATGCCAGCAGTAATTAAGAGTGAGCTGGCAGAGGTCCCTCCTTCAGGATTGGTTTGAATGAGAAGACAGAATTTATTGAACTAATTTAAGCATTGTTAGGCTGGGAAGGAGGGCTTTGAGTTAGATTGTCCTCTCCGTGAGCTAATTAGTTGTATCTACACACAGGCAGCTGGCTGAGACCAGCCCAGGAATTCCAGAATAGTGGGGTTCCAATGAGGCTTTGCTTCCAGGCACAGACATCTGTGCACCTTGAGGTATTGATCAAGTCAGTCAGGAGAAGCAGGCTGGCTTGTGTGTGAAGGCTGGGCTGTTTGGGGGCCTCACTGTGTGAAAAGATTTGGATTCTAGCAGTTTCTTTCTCTACAAGATCTAATGTCTGGAGAGATGGAGAGGCCTATTAGGGGAGTTCAGATGACTGGAGCTGGGACATCACTGCTTCTTCAGGTCCCAGGCAGCCTCCCCTCCAGCTATCAGCATGTCTCGGCTATCCCATGCTGTCCCCTCAATCTCCAACTGCCCTCCTTTCTCTCCATCACCAGAGAAATGTGACTGCCTAGGGAGCAACCATGTCTTGAAAGGAGAAAGAGCAAGAATAAAGGTGTCTCTGAGGGGCCTTGCTTCTCTTCCCCTAGTTCTTTTAGGCATTTTGTTTTGTTTCATTTGGATAAGAGCTAACATTTAGAACAATAATAGAAAATAGAAGTACTTGTCTGGAGGGTCTAGCAGAGGTCCACAGTGACTCTTATGAGCTGTATAAAGGACTGTCCCTTCTGGAGTCTAGTAATCAAATCTGGAGGAGTAGTCCTCAAATCTTGTTAGAGAATGAAGTTCTCAGGGTACACTCTTCCTGGCTAAGCAATCCCATCCCAGCCCCTCTCTACTGAAATCATTCATCCTGGTCAAGTGTGTTTCTCAGAATACCTGGGTATGTCAACAGAGATAAAAGAGAAGTGCAGCACACTTCCTAGTTTCAGCTGGCACTAAAACAAGAGAATGAGTTGTGCGTTTTTTGGTGGAGGTGCCTCCTGATCGAGTCTACACACTGGCTTGTGAACATGTTGTCTGTACTGAAGAACTTATCCCAAAAAGGTGGCTCCACTTACACCATAGACAAGTACTGTCCTTCCCATGTCCTTTCAGCATGAACTGAGAGAGGGGCAGTCTCAAAGTGGCAGGTGTCACAAGAGGTCACTCTCATAATCAACAACTGAAGACTTCCCAAAACAGCAACTCCTTGCTTTTGCCCCAGGTAAGCCTTATTCCCAGCATCAAGAAAAGGATTTTAATGGTGTGTGGACTCCTGGTTCAGGTAGAAGTTGGTATCCAGAGATGTCATTCCTTATTTATCAAGTACTTATTCAGCAGGTCCAGAAATGTTATGCAAAATTTGGTGTTCATGCTTATATACTTTATTCTGAGGAGCAGAATTATGGTAACCATATTCTTAAAGTAGTTTGAAGCTCAGAATTAAAAATTAAGCAACAGTTGGCATAAAGCAATCCCTTAATTTTTTTTTTACCAGTTTTTCCGAGGCAAAATTTACATACCATCAAGGTCATCCATGGTAAGTGTAAAGTTCAACGATTTTAAGTAAACTTATAGAATTGTGCGATCAGCACCACAAACCAGTTTTAGAATGTATCTACTATCTCCAAAAGACCCTGCAACTGTTACAGTAAACTTCCCTTAATTTTTGCAGCAAATGTTCTAGAGTTGAAAAGAAAGCTCTTTCTACATCTGCAAGGCTGATTCATTTTTCTCCCTTCCAAGAACTCTACTAAAAAAATTATTTGTTGCTTATCTGAAATGCAAATGTAACTGGATGTCCTGTATTTGTGAAATTCCGGCAACCCTAATCCAGGACCAAAGCAGAATTAACCAAATAAATGAAAGTGCATGTCTAGAAATAAATGTACTTTTCTGGAGCATTGTAAATAAACATGAATTATTTTCCTAGTTTTGAACCATTTGAGTTCTAAGATGGTCAGAACCTAGTTCCAGTTAGAATACCAGCTGAGAACTAAGCTACAGAGACAGCCTGAATAATTCACAACCCAATTGCTGTTTTACAAGCAAGCCTGGGACCTCAGACACTCATAGGATTATATGCTACATTTCCCTTGAAAGGTTAAAGTGGATGTAATTGTTAACCTTGCAGCTCACAATCAGAACTGGAAATGTGACTTTTAGGGGCACAAATTATAGGGAAATCATTCTTAACCTTTTTGGGGGGCGGTGTCACAAACTCCTTTGGGAGAATCTGATAAAAGCTATGGACCTTCACCATAGGAAAATGCGTGTATACACATTCACAACATTTTCCAGGTAATTTTCTTTTAGGTGGGAGAGGTTTCACAGATTCCATGACATTGTTCATGGAAAATTCAAGGGTGCAAGAGCCTGGGCAAGTTGATTAAAACCATCCTGGATTCTTATGCCTTGCTTTTCTCTTCCTCCTGTTTGTGTGGGAAGTGAAGAAGTCGGGATAATGGCAAGGGAACTGACTAACTCAAGACGTGGCTGTGGCCGGGCGTGGTGGCTCATGCCTATAATCCCAGCATTTTGGGAGGCCAAGGTGGGTGGATCACCTGAGGGTCAGGAGTTCAAGACCAGCTTGGCCAACATGGTGAAAACCCCATCTCTACTAAAAAATACAAAAAATCAGCTGGGTGTGGTGGTGGGCAACGTAATCCCAGCTACTTGGGAGGCTGAGGCAAGGAGAATTGCTTGAACTCAGGAGGCAGAGGTTGCAGTAAGCCAGGATCGTGCCACTACACTCCAGCCTGGGAGACAGAGTGAGACTTCCTCTCAAAAAAAAAAAAAAAAAAAAAAAAAAAAAAAGAAGACATGGCTGGGCTACTTTTGGCCATCAGTGGTAAGACCTGGAGGAATCTGCCCACACTTCATAGACTTCTGTTCACTGTTGATAAAATGAACAGATCAGCCTGACTCTGTTTTCACAAGTTATATCCTACGGATCTACTGGAAAGGTATCTGGAAAGGGCTCTTTTAGGATCTGAAGCACTGCACAAGATTTTGTAGGAAAAACAAAAGTTTTAAAATCACTAGACTACATGGTCCTCAAAGTCACCAAAATACTCTGAGTTTTAAGCCATCTGATTATCTGATTCTAGATTCTAAAGAGTGGAAGCCAGGTATCAGTTGGGGAGGATCTGGGTATTCTTTTTCTCTGAGTACAAGGAAAAAAGGCATTTGGTAGGGACAGGAGAGAAAGACATCCCAGCCCTCACTACTCTCCAGTTCTGCAACATTTCTTTCTTCCTTTGAGCTGTTCTCCTTCCTTCATATGAAAAACTGTCTACAGGTATGGTAATGGTTGGTCAAAAACTACCCATATTTTTTCTGATAAAATTAAAAAAAAATCCTTTCCCAATTATATGAATTTTCCTTTGGGTGACAAAGATACCCAATGATCTATTATATCATTATATACTACTATGCCAATGATACTAGTAGACCACGTGGATAAAAGACAAATGTGCTCACTCTGAGTTTTATAGATGGCCTCTCTTTAGTGCCTTAGAGGCCCCTACAAAGTAGGCTCCAGTATTATCATCCTCATTTTTTAGAAGAAAAGACTGAGCGGGGAAAAAACGTTGAGTGACTTACACAAATTCACCCACCTAGCCAACAGCAAAATGGGATTTCAGGTCACAGAGCCTATGCTCATACTATGTTGAAGAGAGAAATTATATCACTTACCACTAAAACAAACAAACAAACAGGTTTTATTCACTCATTTTCTCTCAAAAACAACCTACCACTTTAAGGAAGTGTGTTATCACACCCAATGATAGGAACCATAAAACTATTTTGGATGTTTATTTGATACTTATTGATGTTTAAGCAAGCCTACTATGTTCACAGTTATCACCCCAAAGAAAAATATATTATTTAGTTTTTAGGTTTTATCTTATCTGTCCTTGGTCCTTGAAACAGCAAGAGAAACACGTACACTCTGTTCTTACTTGTTGTCATAGGATACCAGCTGCCTGCTGGGAAAAGCATACTGGGAAGTACTGTTCTACACTTTGTATTAAGAGTTAAAAAATAAAATACCCAGAGCCTGTGTAAATCACAGACAAAGTTGACAAATTTCATGGCTTAGTCATGGTTAACATATCAGATTTCATGGCTTGACAGAGATTAACAAGAAAATCATATTAGAATTACAACTATTAGTAGATTCTTAGATATTTGATAGAGAAACTCCAAGCTCTCCAAACGCCATTGCCCACTGCACAGCCCTCTTGTCCTTCCTCCTGTGGATAGAGCCTCCATGAATCCAGGGAGAGCAAATGGGATCTTCCATTGTTGGTCACAATCACCTCACCTCCTGACTATGGCAGGAGTGAGCCAGTGCCTAGTGGGCCCCAGGGAAAGGTCTTAGCATCCGCGAAATAAAGTAAGGTTTAATATTTATAGCCTAATTCATAAAACTGTAAGGAGAAAAAAAATACCTCATTTGTACATAACACAGGTATTTTACCCAATATTACATGCACTAAGGAGAGGAATGAATGATCATTGTTGGAACTATGATATTTTCGGTGAAAATTAAGTTTCCATGTCTTTACGAGGAAGCAATTCAGCAGAGGCCTTGTTGTTAAAAGTGGCATGCGAGCAGGAACTTCAAAAGACCTGCTGACTGCCTGCCGAGCCATTTGGCCGGAGGGCTCTGCATATCCTCTTTCGGGTAAGAGGCAGCTTACTTGTCAACTTTGCATAAAAGACAGCCAATTTGTCAGCCATTTGCTTTAATTTTGTTTCTGAGTCTTCCAACGACAAACTCCATATACCTTCTGGTCTTTAATATCATATATCTGACTGAGGGATGGAAATTCACTCTAGTGTCTCAGGCTGGTTTCCTTCCCAGGCCATCCTCCTGGGTCTTATAGGATGTCCTTAATCAGAACCACATTACTCAGCTAGAGGAAGTCCTTGTGCAGACGCTGGCAAGACACTATGGCAAAAGAGTTTCACAACATGAAAGGTCAGATTGAGAATAAAAGCTGCAGTTATCTGTTGTGTTTTCTTTAGTTGAGAAAATAAAGGCAGGGTGCCTAACTCCTGAGGAACCAAGATTTGGATAAGTAGCAGCCACTTAGGAAAGGAGTTCCATTGGCCGCTGAGTACAATGGCCAGTTGTGGAAATGGAAAGTCCTTAAATTCCAAGTATTCTGGACCTGAGCAAGGATTTTCTCATTTTATACAGATACGTTTTTATATTTCAGTAACACCCTAGACTGGTAAAACAAAAATAGCTACATCTTGTCAAAAAATATAATTGTCACTGGACTGTGTAAATATACACACATATATATATATACACTACATATATGTGTGTTAGATATACACATATACATAATATATATTTTACATATATGTGTTAGACAAATAAAGCACATTTTAATCGTAAAAGCTACCAGTTATTGTGCTTTTTTTTTTTTTTAAGTGCCAGGCACTATGTTAAGCACTTTCCATGCATTATTTAGTCTCTCAACAAACTAGCATGGTAGGGACTAGCTTTGTCCCTATTTTACAAATAGAAAAAACTTGAGATTAGAGAGGAAATTCAAGGCACACAGTTAGACACAGAGCCAGAAGTGGAACCCAGGAGTGCCTGACCCCCGAGCCCAGCAAATTGAACCCTAGCAATTCTCACTTGTTCCATTAAGATGAGTGCCCAAGCTGACTGTGAAAAACAGGGGAGGAGGTGAAGTGATGAGCCATTTCACTTCACTAACACATAGGTGTGAAGGAGTTAGGCGTTACTCCAACCCTGTATCTTCATCCCAGGGAGGCAGCCTGCAGGCTTTGCCGATGGAAGGCAGGGTGTGAGAAAAGGAAGAAGTGATTGCAAAAACCCAAGACCCACCTCCTTTACAAATTTTGCCCAAGATCAGCCTGGCTGGGGAGACTCTGAGAACTCAGAGGGACCAGAGGACTTAATGGAAATCTGTCCCTCACCCAGTTTCAAACTGATAGCCTTCCCTTCTCATGCAAGGGGCTTGCCCTAGAGATTTGGGGCAAGAAATATTTCCAGTGCGCCTCTACCTTAACTCACACCACAGGGGCAGCTAACAATTACAGAAGGAATGAACTTTTTCATCAAATGTCCTTCCATAAAACCATTTCCCAGGAAATGGAACACAGCATGAAGCAAGCCGACTGCAATTTTCCACCAACAATGAGCATCGTGGGGCACAGGTACTATATTTAAACAATTTTCCTCCAGCGTTTTGGCAAGGCTGTCTCTCAAGGAGACTTACCAAGTTGGGCTGAGGTCTCATTCCCCTCCGGCCAGCAGGATCAGAATGTTTAATATGGCCCTGTCTCTTCAACACCCATGTGTAAACCACCAATAAACAAGCCAGGAAAGACCTGCAGGCCTAATTGCCTTTTAACTCTGCCAAGATGATAAACTCCCAGAGCAAAGAAGGAAAGACTTCCAGGGATTTAACAAGTTTATCTGCCTGCCACTTGAACATTTTCTGTCTGCCTACACTTCAGTGAATTCACCAATAAAAGGATAAAAGGGCCCAGAATGTCAGACCCCTCAAATGACCAAGAAGTTCCACATTCAAAACGTATGACCAGCAAAAATTAACCAGTTAATTGAGCTTCATTTTAGGTGTTTTTAAGATCTGGAGCAAGGGAAGTGGGGCCACTTGACTCTTTCTAGCACTGGCCATTTCTCTTTTATTGACCAAGGCCTAGAAATCTTTACTTACAATAAAGAAAATTGTTTTCACAAGGAAACTGGGATAGGCAACCCATTCTGAAACCTCTAAAATTTTAGATAGAGCATTATACTGACAGGAGAGAAACTATACAAATCTCGGTGGTGGGAGAAATGGAGTATATCATATGGGCAGTCATAAGATTGGTGTTTACTTCTGTAAAGATATTTTTCATCTCTCCCTGAACCAACTTGCAAATTAAGCATGTTGGTTGTTTTTGTTGGTTTGTACCCTACCACCCAGAAGAAAAATACTGAGAGCTCTTTACCTATTGGAGTTAAATTGGAAAAGCAAAGCAACACCAAACAAAGAGACTTGGGGTAAGTACAGAGAGGTGGTGCCATTCAAGGCATTAAAGCAGGGTGAATGGGCATCACCTCTGGGAGGCCATTTCACAATCTTTATCAATATTAATGTGCAACTTCCCTTTTAGGAATTTATTCCAAAGAAATTATTGGCTAAGTGAATAAAGGTTAAGCCCAAAAGGCTTTAGGGAATTCTACTAGGGAACATTTTAAAACATCTAAAGTTCACCATTAATAACTGGCTAAAGAATGCAAAATTCCATACTCCGTTACTATAAAAATGATTCCATAGGTGTATATTTATTAATGTGGAAAGTGTCCAACATACAATGTTAAGTTCAAAAAGCAGATTATAAAAACATTTATAATATAATCCCATTCTTTTTAAGAGTCTATATATAGTAAAATTAGAAAGATACATAGTTCACCAAAATGTTAGTATTTCTGGATGGTGGATTAGAGGGGACTTTTATTTTCTTTGGCAAAGATTTTTGAATTATTTGAAATGTTTAATGAGAAAAATGCATTGCCTTTAGAAATGTTAAAACACTAAAGCAGAACAATAAAATTGAATAAAAACAAAACATTCCCACCACCATCATTACTGTCCTGATCAACAGGAAAAGCTGAAACAACATCATGGGAAGACCCAGCTATCCTTTCTCGAGGAGGCAGGAGTAGAGAACGCTGATGGATTTGGTCTTGCCTTATCAGCACATATAACTGTTGTTCAAGCGTAGTCTCCAGTGAGATGCGAATGGAATGGTAAAACCACAAGTGGGCTCAAAATCCCAACAGGTGTCTTCTCCAGGGGACCCAGGTGTCTCTCTTTCCTGGAATCATGGTACAAATGTCGAGGACTCCCCTATTAAGCTAACCTGTACCACTTAATAAAACAGGAACAGTTCTTAAGTACGGCACTTGCCAACTGAAAAATCTGGAGCACTATTTTTCTATTAAAACCTTGTCCATGTTTTTCCTATTGGAACCTGGAAACTGGACAAATTCTGAAGAAATCCGAAGGAATTTCTTTAGAAAAGAATTCTGTTAACACCAAAAGCTCCCAAGCACTACACAAGGCAAATGCTAGGTTGCGTTACGCTCAAATGTAAAAGCAGGGTTCCAATCCAAAGTGATGTGTCCTTCACACCAGGCTTTGTGTGCATCAGGGTTTATGCATTTGTACACTGATCCTCGCACATTTCTGCATCTCCCTGCTTCATAATTTCATAATCAGTTCCAGATTTCCTATTTCTTCCACATCGTAAGGCACAGAGTTCCAGATTTGAGAGATGCAAGGTTTAAGGGTATGAAAGTGCAGTGAAACGTACGATAATAATAAAACCAAAACTGAAGTTTTGTTTCATACCCACTGAGAAGTAACAAACTGAGTATATACCTTGGGACCCATCTGATCTTCAGAAACTGTTGGAACATGGTAGACATGTACAAAAATTTCATATGTAAAGTGGATCCTTTGGTTGGTAGACCTCCTTACCAACAAAGCTAAAAGTGTTCCTACATTGCTATAATAAACACATCGGATTTGGATATGCCTGCCAAAGCACCATAACGCTTCTCTCAAAATTCAGAACTCTGTCTCTACATTACAAGACAGAGCAAACTGAAAGATCAGGTTAATCTAGGATAAACTTCATCTCTTGAGTTCAAAGACAACTGGCCTCTCTAGGGGTTTCAATCAAGGGTTCTTTGAAGGATTGCTCTCAAATTCATTAAAGAAATTTCACTGACTTCACAGACTTTGGCATTAAATAGATAACCTGAGCTCTTCATTGCCTGGCAAAATGACTGTTCACCTTTGAAGCTCTGCAAATTGGGATTAAGTTGGCTGTTTGCCTTTTACCTCAAAGATGACTCCACTCCATTGACCAGCGAGTCCCCAGGCAATGACCTGGTTGATCAATGACATCAAATTTATCTCTACAATGTGTCTCTTAAAACACCCATCCTTTCAACAGATTGGCTTTGTTATGATTTTTGCTTTAGATGTAGTAGTACTCTTGATAATAATGCCATCCCCATAATAAAAATTCAGGAAATGAATCATATTTTAAAAATCCAAGTGTAATTTCCAGCTAACTTGAAAGATGTGTGGGGTTTTTAGATGTATAAACTCAACTTTTAAACCCTGCTTTGAATTTCGCTTCCTCAATTACCACAGAAAATGAGGTGTCTCATCAGACCCTGGAGCGAGCCCTAAAGCAGCACGGACTTGCTTTTCACAATGACTCTGCACATTCCGGAGAAGGATCGGCATAAACACATAGGTTTTCACCCTCTAACCCCACCGTCTGCTTCCTCTGTGCCCCATAATCTAAAACATCTCTTCTTCGCAGGTATATGGTCTTGGATTTGTCACAGTGTACGGGAGACTTTACAAGGCCAATAAAATGACAGCTGCACAGAGGGAACTGGGTGGCTTTTACCGACTCTGAAACACCACTGCCTTTAACTCCCAGGGATCAGGAACTTGAAAGCACTCCGATTCACTTAGCTCTGTGTTTGTCATAAAGTTAAGGCTAATCAGATTTTCCCCAACTTGCAGCCCTATCTTAAATCCTCAAGCTGCTCCTATGCAAACTTAACTGATGGAAGATGTGATTACGCCTTCTCAGGTCATAAATTCTAGATATTTATAACATAACTGTTGTCATTTAGGCCAATTAAGATGCTTTTACTAGCTCGGAACAACTACCTATGGGGCTTGTCAAATACTCTGACAGTGGTTTATGACCCTTCACAGTGATTTTATCTTATAGGGATATGAAAGATGGTTGCATGCAAAAATAGCCAGGAGGCCTTGAAGCACATTCTTCATATTAGCATCATCCATACCCCATTTCCATTCTGTCCCCTTTCTTATCCACTAAAACCCCGATTTGACTCTAACTGCCCCCCCTCCAGCCAGAGTTGGTTTCTTTGATCACCTTTTTTTTCTCCAAAGACCTAAAAGAGGGAGATAACACCTCTTGAGACACTACTATAAAACACCCAAGTGGTGGGCTGGTTAAACGCCCAGCTGGGAATGCCAGACTTCCACATGCATAACATGTCCCTAAAGACAAGTGGGTTTTCCTTTTCACTTAGGGCAAACACTCCCTCATGAAAAGCAAAAGAGGGTGGGTGACAACAAAGAAAGAACGGGACATATTTGGGGAGTTCATACAGACAGGTTATAGCTTCTCCTTTTCCTTTGTGAAATATCGCTTATCTACTACTGTTCCCCTCCTGCCGTTTCTTCTTTTAACAAGGCCCCCAAGCACTGATTTCAGGCACTGTACTAGGCTAGGGATACAGGGATCAAGAAACACTCAGGCTGGCTGGAGACACAGACACCTTGATAATTATAATGCAAAGTGTTAACAGGTAACAGGACAGTCATGCACAGCAAATTCTGGAAGCACTGAAAAGTGGCATTTCACTTTTGGAAGGGAGGTGGTCAGGGGAGATTCCTTGGGAAAAAGAATTCCTAGTCTGGGCCTTAGAAAATGCCAGGAGACAGCTAGGCCAATTGGGGGAGAAAAGTAGTTCCAGGAGGGAGAGAAAGAACAAAGGCGTGGATTGGAGGAGGACATGGGATACGTGGAAAATGCCAGGCAGGTGAGTGTTCCAGAGCATCACATCCCTGCCAAGCAGCAGTGAAAATTGAGGCTGGAAAGGAAAGTCAGGGCACACTCCTGTGGGACTTTGTATTCACATGACATAAGCTATTTCCTTTCTTGTTCAAAGGAGGCCTGGTATAATGGTGCTCTTTTCATAAACCTAACTGGACATAGTTGGGTAAGAATTTTTCCATCCGAATCTGTTTGCTTCGTACCGCCATCCATAGCTGGCACTGTCAAATTCCCCAGACTAACTTGACAGACATAACTGTTTGAAAATCCGGCCACACTTCCCTTGGTAAAGAACGCTTTGCTTTCGATGACCAAAACAACACTATTTGTAGAAGCCAGGTAAAGCACCCAAAATTCCACCTGATATAACAAATATGAAGTGCTGACTCCATACAAAGTCCTATTCTGGGAATGAGTCAGAAATGTGGTGGAGAAGGCACCACCTCAGCAGCCAGTGGATTCTCAAGTAGACAGTGACACATCATGGATCTTAAAATGTAATGGTCTTTTATCAATGTGATTTTTTCCTTGTGTTTCTAATGATGACAATTTGATTGAATTTGACCAAAGGAAAAAAAATAAAAAGTACAACATCTACTTGGCCAAAGGAAGATAAAAGTGTGGAAAATATATCATAGCATTTGAAATTCTGCAGTATGGGCAAATGCAAGCTACCAGCAATTTCTTCAAATTAGCAGCTTAAATGTGCTACAGAGACACAGGAATCAGAGTAGCAGTGCTAACCTAGGCAGTCCTCAAAATGATCAAATTGGAGTTCATTTTCAAGAATCTTATGGAAGTTTTTGCTGCTGTTAAAAATTTTAAATATTTGACTTTGTTTGTTTATACTCTGCCTTGGTCCAGAAAGGATTAAAGCATCTAATACCAAACAGAAGAGGGTCATATTACTGGAAGAGTGAGTGCTTGAGTTCCTCCTCCTCATATTAGAGGAGGAGTGAGGGCTCCAGTTCCATCTGCCATGCAAACGTCAAGTTGGTTCCGACCGAGACTTGGACCATGCTGATTCAAACCCAGAAAATGTTTCTAAACCAGAACATTCTGATTCAACACAAAATTCCCCAGCTGTGGAGCAACAAGGGAAGAACTGTGAATCCACTTCTAGAGGAAGGCTGGGAACCAATGAGCTTTATCAGCTGAGCAAAATTCCAGATAAAGAATTCATGTTCTCTGATTTGTTCTCCATGCCCACATGTGACTTGTTTCTGACCTGAGGATGGTATAAAGTGGCACAGTGCAGTGGGAGGCACAAGCCCCACTGCCTGGTTTGCATTTCAGTTTCACCACTTGGGCAAGTCACCTGAGCTTTCATTCCCTCAGTTTCCTCATTACCACAGAGGATTACTGTAAAGACTGAAAGAATTAATACATGAAGACAGTGCCTGGCACATATGAAGTGCTCAATAAATGTTAGCTGTAATTATGATTTTCTATTCCTCTGTTAAGCACAGAGAGAACTACAGAAGTAAAGACCCCTACTTTGTCATGTTAAGTATAGTGAACCCCAAGTTTCTCTTCAAAGAATCAGTATGTCAGTATGTTCAGCTCTCTTATTCTTTGATTTTCCATTTTAAAGTTTAACTTCCTGGTTCTCTTCGCCCTCTTGCTTCTAGTTTCAGTAAACAACATTTTTCCACCAGTTTTAATCAGTAGTTCACATCTGTTCCCCTGGTCACCTGCTTTGACCTCAGTCATGCCTGGTCACCTGCTCTGACCTAAGTCCCCTTTAGTTATCTATTCCTAACTGTCCTTCCCACCAAACTATTCACCCTGCCACTCTGGTTCATACCCCTGCTCTGTTTAAAATAGCCAATCAGAATTAGCTTAGACTGAGCAGTCCAACCCTAGCCAATAGAGGAACGACACAGCAGTAGGGTCCTGCATCAGGAATAAGAACTACTTCCCCTCCCCTGTCCAGGTGTGCTCTCGCCATTGTTCCATCTGCAAGGGGCACCCTTTCTGCAGAAAGTAAAAATTGACTTGCTGAGAGAATTAAATTTATGTTCAAGTGCTATTTCTTTGCAGCACTGGGTAACAAGCATTTTGCATTTCTAACAGTCTATAGGGAATTTCCAGTCTTGCTTCATGTATGATTGCCAAAGGAGAATCTGCCAACGGTGATCAAGAGAAGGGAATTCCAAAGAAAATTGGGTTAGGACTCCAACAGCTCAAGAGAGAGGGGTTTATGGCATATTCAGAATTTCAGAGGAGGTTTCCTAAAGGAGCATATCTGGGCTGAATCCAACAGGTAGGATGTAGGCAGATATTGGGCATTTTAGATAATGGCAAGCAATAAGCACAGAGATGTGAAAAAAGGAATGAACACTATTTTTAGAAGAGGAAAAATGATACCTCATTATCTGGGAATGGTGGAAAATTCATAAAACTGCGCAGGGGGGCCCATGCGGGAGGAATGTGAGGACGAGTCTGAGGTAGTTGAACCTAATATGGTTGGAAATAAAGAGGAACTGACAATGTGTCGCCACGGGAGGGACACAGAGAACGTGGTGTTTCAGGAAGGTGAACATGGCTGGGGCATGCAGGGTGGATGGGATGGGAAAGTTCTGAGTCAGGGAAACCACCCCAGACTGGTGCTGAGAGGACAGAGAGGAAGTGGTGGATGGGAGAGGTGCCCTGTGGGAAGAACAGGCTGGCCTTGGCCAGTGACTAGACATGAGGTGTTAATGCTCAGGGTCTGGAGTCTGACGGCATGGGTCTGAGGCTCAGCTCTGCCACTCAGCAGCCTTGGCTCGGGGCACTGACTCAGTGGAAACCCAGCTTTTTCCTCTGCAAAATGGGAATAAGTGTGCTGACTTCACCTGGATGGAAAGCACTTAGCACAAGGTCTGCTCATCCCAAAGTGGTCAATAAATGGTAACCATGTCTGTGGTGTCGGTATGATAAAGAAAAAGGAAGAAAAAAAATGAGAAAACTGAGGTTTCTACCTGGTCCTGAAGCCACTGAATGAGACACAGTCCTGGCTGGTCCCTAGTTCCCTCTTCCAGAGACCTCATTAACATTTAATATCAGCCACTTAATGCCTGATAAATTAAGATGTCAGTGTAAATGGAGGCTTGTTTATTATGTCCCTTTTATTACATACCCCATCCATTTCCATCTCTCCATGGAAACCAAGTCTTTCCAAAAAGGAAAATGGTGATAACCTTGTTTTATTTAAAAGAAATAGCTTAGGCCAGGCACGGTGGCTCACGCCTGTAATCCCAACACTTAGGGAGGCCGAGGTAGGCGGATCACTTGAGGTCAGGAGTTCGAGATCAGCCTGGCAACATGGTGAAACCCCATCTCTACTAAAAATACAAAAATTAGCCAGGGGTGGTGATGCATGCCTGTAATCCCAGCTACTTGGAAGGCTGAGGCAAGAGAATCGCTTGAATCTGAGAGGCAGAGGTTGCTGTGAGCCCAGATCGGACCACTGCACTCAAGTATGGGTGGCACAGTGAGACTCCGACTCAAAAAAAGAAAAAAAAAAAAAAAAGAAAAGAGAAAGAAATAGCTAAGTTAAAAAAAAAAAAGTAAGTGCTTTTCACTTTATTTCATAAGAAGAGGGAGGAGGAGGCTGGGCGTGGTAGCTCACGCCTGTAATCCCAGCACTTTGGGAGGCCGAGGCTGATGGATCATGAGGTCAGGAGATCGAGACCTTCTTGGCTAACATGGTGAAACCCCGTCTCTACTAAAAATACAAAAAATTAGCCGGGCGTGGTGGCGGGCGCCTGTAGTCCCAGCTACTCGGGAGGCTGAGGCAGGAGAATGGCGTGAACCTGGGAGGCGGAGTTTGCAGTGAGCCGAGATCGCGCCACTGCACTCCAGCCTGGGCGACAGAGCGAGACTCCGTCTCAAAAAGAAAAAAAAGAAGAGGGAGGAAAAAAGATGACACATTGTACCAGTGATTACCTGCCCATTTTAAGCCCTGTCAGCAACACAAAGACTTAAACCGAAGTGAAATACAGGGCGCATTATCCCTTTAAGCCCTTGAGTTAACTCAAGGGGACTGAAAGGCATGTCTGTATTTCTACAGGAGGTTTGTGGTGGGTTCAGAAAACATTTAAAGAAGTACCCTATTATCTCAGGTAGGTGTGTTCCAAAGAATCTAAACTGAATGTACGTCTGTTTTGGTTCCTGAAAAATGTTTCTCAGCTACTTTCGCTTCCCAGAGTCCATCTTGCACAATACAAATTACAGAAGTGAGTTGCATTTTACCTAGTAAGTCTGGAATGAGCAGCTAAGGAAGTGGTAACACAGGGAAATGTTTCTTTAGCATGCCTTTTTGACCTTTGCAGAACTGTCCTTGATGGCCCTGAGCATGCCAGCCTTTACCTCCCAGTTAAGCTTGAGGTATTTGGAAAACAAGTTTTGAAAAAAGCCACACAATCAAAGGAGGTCAGGCAAATGACTTGGTACTGATCAGCACCAATGATTAGCCCTGGTGGTTACTGATGTAAGGACCCCGGATCCTTTAAGAAACCAGAAGGAGAGAAATGATGGAGTAACTTCCCTAAGTCCGCTAAAGCATATTTGCTGAGAATATGCTCTCCAGTCAGCCTAGGCTCTGGAATCCCTGAGCAATTATCATTTTTTCCATTCTTTACACATGCAACTCATTAGCATTACAGCATAAATGAGTTTTACTAGCCAGGTCTGCTTATTTACTGAATAAAGCCCAAGCCAGTGATTGCTTTTATTACAGAAGGAAATTCATGGCTTCTCACCAATCCTTTGGATAAGGTGGCATTGGAAAAGTAACCTCTAACCAGACACATGGTACAGAAGAATTGCTACTGCTCACCAGAGATATAAAATCCAAAAGGAAATGACTTTACCCACCATAGAAGCTCCACAGTACTCACAACTTGTCATCTGTGTATAACAGCACAGGTCATAGGTCCTCTCAGACCTGGAGTTCCTTCAACACGTTCAGAGCCAGGTGACCCTGGACAAGTAACATTTCTGAGTCTCAGTTTCTAGCCTTTAAAATGGAACCAATATCTACTCACTTCACAGGACATTGTACAGGTCAAATGGATTAGTGCATATAAAGTCTTTAGGATTATGCCTGGCCTGTGGGAATCATCCCAGAAATATCTGCTATTGCTATTAATGTAAAATCAAAAAAGCACAACCTCTATCCCACTGAACAGTGTTGTCATTCAGGGCTCTGAGTAAATTATTTTCAGTGGATAAATCATCTCTGAATGAGACAGGAACAAACTGAAACTTGGCTTCAGCTCCACAAAACTGTTGGGTCCACTCTTTCTTCAGAAATTTCTTCTTTTGGCCGGGTGTGGTGGCTCACGCCTGTAATCCCAGCAATTTAGGAGGCCAAGGCGGGCAGATCACCTGAGGTCAGGAGTTCAAGACCAGCCTGGCCAACATGGTGAAACCCCATCTCTACAAAAATACAAAATTAGTCAGGCATGATGGTGGGTGACTGTAATCCCAGCTACTCGGGAGGCTGAGGCAGGAGAATCGCTTGAACCCAGGAGGCAGAGGTTGCAGTGAGCTGAGATCACGCCATTGTACCCTAGCCTGGGCGACAGAGCGAGACTCCATCTCAAAAAAGAAAAAAAAGAAAAAAGAAAAAAAGAAATTTCTTTTTTCTCTGGGTCTGTTTAACAATCATTTTTAGCAGAGCAGATCAGATTGGCCATATGGGTGAGCCAATATCGTCACCTTAATATTTAGAAGCTAGGCAAGATTAATGAGAAGATGAGTGTCTTAAAGCCACAGAAACACAGGACCATAGAGCTGCTCAGGCCCTTGAGAACCTTTTAGTTTAACTCTTTCTTGATAGAGACATCACAAAAGAAAGTGTCTTTCCATGGGCCACAGGTCATGAAAGAGACAGAAGCAGGACTGAAATCATCAATCAAGGGACTTTCTGTGACCTTCCATTTTTAATTTAAAATATTAGATGTTCCTTGGAATTTTAATAGAACTTGGATGTAAAATCATCTGGACTGGGACTTGGTGCTTTTTTTTTTTTTTTTTTTTTTGAAGAAAGGGGGCGGGGGTCATATTTTAGCTACTGATTTAGTCCTTTTAGTGGTTACTGATATATTTAGGTTGGCTTTCTATTTAATTTTGAGTAAGTTTAGAATTTTTTTCAGAAAATTGTATCTAATTTTTAAATATATTGGCACAAAGTTACTCATAATATCTTTTATTGTAAAAAGTCTCTTTGTATCTATAGTTATACCCCCATTTTTCTTCCCAAGGAAGCATTTTGTATCTTTTCTCCTTCCTTTTTCTTGTTTAACCTGGACAATGATTAGACTACAGAGGAGATGTCAACAGAATTTTCTGCAACAATGGAAATCTATTATCTACAGTGTATGATATGAACAGACCTGCATTGTCCAATACTGTAGCACTAGCCACTAGCTCAGTGTGGCTGTTGAGCTCCTTGAAATATGACTAGTGTGACTGAGAAACTGAGTTAAACATTTTGTTGCATTTTAACTAATTTGAATGTAAATTGTCATGTTACCATATTGTGTCATGCAGGTCTATGATATACATAGGGTCTTTTCAAAGATTCAGCTTTTATTTTGAAAACCATCTCATATTATTTTTGTTGTTGCTATTTTCTATTTACTTATGCCTTTGCCTTAAACATTTTTCCTTCCTTCTACTTCTTTCTGTTTACTCTGACTGTTTTTATGAAGATCAATCAGTAGCCAAGAAATAGACTGGCACAGGGTTCCATCGAGGCCCAAATCCCTTCTTCCTTGGATTCCAGTCCTAAAGGCTCAGTAGGAAAGGCCTGGGAAAATGTCATTGAAAAAAGAAGATGAAAAGCGGAAGGCTTCTAGATGAAGGCCAAGCCAGGAACCTGGCTATTAAGAATATTTTCTCTCCTCCCCAAAATGAGCTGGTTGAATCCAATGTGACACTGAAAGGGAAATCAAAATGCCTGAAGAACAAGTTGTAGATTTGAATTCTCAAGTACCTGAATTCCTCCTTGGGACTGAAGCCTCTGACATATGATACTTTGTAGAGAGTGTCCTGCTAGCCATGCCGAAATCTGGACACCAAGAACCTTTCTTATATGAATGAAGTTGAGAACCAGGAGCTTTGCTATCCAGGGATTTCACCATTTGGGACTAAGAAGCAGAGATGGAAGGAAACAGATGCAGATGAACTACTGTAAAGGGACAAGAAGAAATCTCCCTTTGCCTGGAGGGAGTCTGTCTTCAGACTTGAAGATGAGACCCACCCTCCATAAAGCAAGGATTCATTACACTTGCAGTCTCCTGGGCCTCGCGGCTCACTTGGAGCCACTGAGCAATAAATACCATGAAGCTCACTATCATAGGGATGCCTAGGGAGTGGGGTGGCAGAGATGCCATGGCTCCCAGAGATGATCGGAAGCCAGTACACGATGAACTCTAGAAGGCTTAAGCTGCTTCTGCTTTGATGCCTGGGGTTGGGAGGAAGCCAAAAGGCTTATCCCAAAAGGACTCTCAAACACTAGAAATAAAACACATTGAAACTTACAGTGACTTGGAGAGCATGTTAGGTAAAGTTAGCTTATGACTTCCAGTTTTCCTGGTGATTTTATTACAGTAATTCAAGGTTTCTCATAATATTCCTTGCTTCTTGTTACTTTTGAATTGTATTCTAAATGACCAAAGTATCCTAAACACCTACATTGCATAATTACCTGTATACTCAGAAAGAGACTAGCTGTTCCCTGATCATGTATTTCCTTAAACAACCAGTTGCAGAGCTGGGCACTCTGCCAGGGCTGGGCTTGCGATGGTAAACCACATAGATAAGGTACTTCTCATGAATAGATGTTCTACTGAAGACAGGCAAACATGTTAACAAATAAATAACTTAATTCATATGGTGACAAGTATTATCAACAGTATAAAACAGGGGAATGTGACAGACAGGACCTGGAGGGTGTGGGAGTCCTCTTCAGGAGGTTACAGATAAGCTGAGCCCCACATGATGAGAAGGAGCCAGCCTTCTAACCATAGAGCGGGTGGGCTCCAAGCATATGAGACAGCAGTCTCAGAGGTCCTGCGTGGCAATAAGCTAGTCGTACTGGTGGGGAGGGGTAGAAAGAAAGTGGGGTACCATGAATTTGGTAAATCAGTGCAAGGCTCTGTAACAGGACGGAAGAGAAGACGGGAGCCAGACTGGGGGAGCCCTTGTGAGCCAGTAAGGACTTCACATTAATTAAAGGCTCATGAAATATTTGCAGCTACTCTCCTAAAGCATACTATCAGACAAGACACTTTTTGTTTTGTTTTGTTCTGTTTTTTTGAGACGGAGTTTCGCTCTTGTCGCCCAGACTGGAGTGCGATGGCGCGATCTTGGCTCACGGCAACCTCTGCCTCCCAGGTTCAAGTGATTCTCCTGCCTCCGCCGCCTGAGTAGCTGGAATTACAGGCGTGCACCACCACACCAGGCTAATTTTGTATTTTTAGTAGAGACGGGGTTTCTCCATGTTGGTCAGGCTGGTCTCGAACTCCCAACCTCAGGTGATTCACCCGCCTCGACCTTCCAAAGTGCTGGGATTACAGGTGTGAGCCACCACGCCCGGCCAATAAGACAGTTTTTATACTTCCTTACTGACTCTCAAAGCAAAGTAGACCCTGACTGTGGGGAGAAAGGGGAGATTACACTGGTACTTTTTGCAGATTATACTGGTACTTTTTGCTCAATGAGTTGGGCAAGAAACCAGGTCCTTCTGAGACCTCCTCATGTGTCTGCAGCCATCAAAGACACTACTGTAGGGGCTTCACAGAGCTCACGGGCCTCCCTGGTGGACACACCGTCAACTTGGATAGGCCCAAATTCCTTGGCAGTCATCCCTGCTTCCGCCTCTAGGTTTTACACAAAGATTTTTTTCTTTTTTTCCTGCCACTGGGAAAAGTACATAAAAATAGGTGTGCCACTTGAAAATTAAACAGAGAGTAAATACCCAGAGTATCCGGGCTGTGATCTAGATAACACTGGAGAATCTAAGAGTGGGAAGTCACGTAACATAAAAATAAGAAAGAAGGAATCATGGCAGTAATGATCAGTTTGGAAAAAAAAAAATAGATGGAAAGAATTTGGAAGGTAACAACTTCCAGATGGTCCTGGTGGTGAAGATAGCTATATATAGAGAAAGAGAGGCTAATTAGTTCCCAGGCTGAGGCCCTAGTTTCTGTTAAGTAAGTGATTGTCTCATGGTGGTTTAGTTCAATACTAGGGGACACACACCACATTGCGAGTAAATTAAGTATTTGGGGTTTTTTTTTTCCCCAAGCAATGGGAATTGCCCAACCTTAATACAATTAATTAAGACTCAATGAATGTTTAATTGAGTTCTGGTGCTTGTACCAGGGACACAATGGGCTCTTTGTTTTGGCCAAGCTCCTAAATATTGGGAAAAGGAAGAAAGGCTGAAAAAGAGCAAGGGTTAGTCAATAGCTTTCCCCTAAATGCTCAGATGCACAAGTTGGTTTCCAAACATAACAGCCAATTCAGTGAAATCCAGGAGATTGCCCTTGGAGGAGGTTGTGGACCTTCCAGGAAGAAAGGAAAAATATTGCCTGACACCTCCAGGTTGGCACTGAAAGTTACAAGCTAGTTTCAAACTCCTCCTCCAAAACTCTAGCTCTGCCAACTAAATGGACCATCTTTACAGTGTACACTCAACTAAACTCCCACTTGGTTTCTTCCTATTGTGGAGTCAGGGGCTCTCAGCAGTGAAAAGAAGGTTGAGAAAATTTAGGAGGTGGGAAGAGTCATTGGAATGCTCTTTCCAGAATACTGTGACCAAATGGACAGCTTTTGGCCAGCCACCAACCATCACCTGACAGGTGGCTGGATAAAGATGTGGGGATTTTTATCACTCTCAAATCCACACTGTTGGCTTCTAAGAGAATTCCACAAAGAGCAACAATAACAATTAAAAAGTGCTTCCATTTGTTTACCATGTATCTATTCTATCAGCCCTGTGTGTGGCATTCCACTTCTATTATCTCATTCAACTTTCACAACAATATTGAGTGGTCAGCCCTCTTATCATCTCCCCTGGAACATATGCAGAAACTGATGCTTTGAGATATTAAGTCCTTTGCCCAAGGTCTCATAGCTAATAAATGGAGGAACTGCGATTGCAACCAAGGATGCTTGACCTTGGAGTCTGCACTGAGTCTTGCTCACACCTGATACTGTGCTGAGTTACTCTCTGAATGAACTCCCACTGGGCAGATGAGCTGGAGGAACTGCCAAACAGCTGGTTCCCTCTATGCACACCAGCAGGGGAAGTCTTGATCCTTTGGCCAAACAGGAAATATGTGATGTGTGCCCATATACATACCAACCTGCAGAGCTGCCAAGTGGCAATTAACACTGTGGATCCCTATAGAACATCAGCTTCTCATCTTGGTCCAGTTGTACCTGAGAACTAACTGATTGGAGAAGAGAAGCAAGGAGGCCCAGGGTACCAGGGTATGGATGACCATGAGGTTCAAGCTCATATTTTTTTTTCCAGGAATCTGGTCTTAATTCACTGCTGGAAGGCTGTCAGGCTCTGGGAAACCAGGTGAGATGGAGACAAGGAGGCAAGGACTTTTGCCCCCAATATCCAGCTCTCTATTCTCTTAAGTTTGGTTTCAGTGGAAGCCCAAGGGGTGGCCCAAAGACATCTGGCTTGGCCATGTGTTATGTCCCACCCCCACTCCATCCTATAGGATCTTTAGCAGCCTGAGATGATTGCAGTCCTAATCTAGAACTTTGGGATGACTCAAAAGAAGATGTAACTCACCTAAACCATCATTACATCATAATATTTAGAGCTGGTAGGATTCTTGGGGATAATTTAGACCAATATCATCTCTCACCCCAATTAACACCAAGATCCTCAATATAATTCTGTGAAAGAAAGGAAGAGAAGATAGAAGGAGTGAAGAGAAGAAAGAAGAAAGAAAGGAAGTTGGTTAGTCAGCTAGCTGTTTCTGAGAGGCTAAAGGGTCCCAAATTAGTTTCGCCAGGACTAAACCACAAGTGTTCAAATTCCTAGTATGTGATCTTCCCATTTTATGACCTTGTCACTATTTTTTCCAGAGTACCCATTGTCCACCTGTCTATTTATCCATCTAATCAAGAGAAGCCTTATTGCCTATTATCTCCTAGGCATAGGGAAGTGCACACATGAGTAACCTCCCTCTTTGGTGGGCTTTTGTGAGCTCTAGGATAAGTAACCAATGTCTAGTACTGTGCCTGACCGATATCAGCACACAATAAATATTTGCTGAAAAGATGCAAGAAAGCACCCAGATAACATAATCCAGGGTAGAACATAAGGACCTAGGAACACCCCCAGCAACTGAAAGAGTACCTGACATAGAGAATGCATTCCATAATGTCTGCTGAATGAATGAGTGAGTGAATGAACAAACAGAATTGAGTCCAGCAAAACCTGCACTGTGGGCTTTAAGAACACTAGGCAGTAGGGTCTCTGGAGGGATGACTCCCTCACATGACCTTTTCTAGGGGGTCTAGGATTTTATAAAATAACTCTATATCCCTTCCCCACGAAGGTTCTGAAAAGGTGGAAAAACACTGAGTGGCATATCTGTCTCCCTCTACTGGGCTGTAAGCTTCTCGGGGACTGCTCCTTATTTCAAGGGCCTGGCATATAATAGATGTTTATTTAACAGGTATTGAGAAAGCAGATACATACATGAACACTCAATGGCCTTTCATTAATTCAGCAAATACTTATAGAGTGCCTGCTATTTGCAAACACTGGCCTAGACTCTGGAGCTGCAGCAGTGAGGATAATGGGTGAAATGTTTGCCTTTATGGAGCTTACATTCTGCTGAGTCCAGGAAGAGTGAATATATTTCTCCTTTCATATTTCATTCAAAGCAAAACTAAACCTTAAATGATTTCATCCTTCATTCTTTTTAATCAACACAAAGCTGACTGATGCACATCCCTCCAGTCCCCTTCGTTTCTCATCACAAAACACACCATGCCTGGGAGTCAAGGGTCCCGGGTGGGAAATGCCACATATTCTGCCCACCTCCCACATGGCCTCTATAGAGACTTCATTTGTGTTCCAAGATCAGGGGACTTGCCACTCCAAAGCAGCCCCTTCAGATGTGGTCAGTTTGTCAGCACATATCAAATGCAGCAGAGACCTCTGCATTAGGGCAGCTTAGCACAAAAGGGTCTGGTTCCCTCCTCTTCCTATGTATGTGGTTTTCAGGCAGCTCTGAAGGGGTGGTGAGGAATGCAGGTCACAGAATGCCCCAGACACGAAGACAGTTTATAAGAATCTGCCCATGCCATAAGTACTAGACAAAAGTTGAGTTTATTTTCCTTGAATATTACACTTTATGTATCCATGCATTCCCCCAGGATATCCAATGCACAGACTGCCTTGAAGCTACTTGGGATGTATGTAAACCATACATTCATGCTCCTACTATTTATTGGGACCAGCCTGCTCTATTTCTACGATCTTGGCCAAATTCTACCTATTGAATATTGTCAGTCCCGGCTGTAACATAATCCTGGCTGAGATTCACATGAAAGATGTAATCTTGACAAGCCATTTAGAATCTCTTCTAAAAAAACGTAAAAGCCAGCATTCTTCCAGAGGAATGAATCAGTCTGATAAAAATGTCTACGGGGGAAGCCTAATCAGTTCATACGAGAACCTGTCAGTAGAACCTCTACTTAGACTGTAAGATTAAACCATCTTCATAGTCATTAGAAGGAAGTGTGGTCCATTCGGCTAAGATGGTCTTCTCCTATTTCCAATTAGAAACTCTGGTTTGCATTTATCACATGGAGATGCTGGCAAAAGCTGTGTCTAGAATGAGCATTAAAAGGATAACGCAATCTCACTTTTGCTCACTAATAGTGGTTCATTTTTAACCTGTTAAAGCAGGAGGGCAACTCTTCCCTTTCCCATAGCACTTCAGAGTTCTCAAAGGGAAAACCTGTCTCACTTTATTATTTCTTTTTTTTTTTTGACGAGTCTCACTCTCTAGCCAGGCTGGAGTATGGTGGCACGATCTCGGCTTACTGCAACCTCCGCCTACTGGGTTCAAGCAATTATCCTGCCTCAGCCTCTTGAGTAGCTGGGACTACAGGTGCATGCCACCACACCCAGCTAATTTTTTATTTTTAGTAGAGACGGGGTTTCACCTTGTTGGCCAGGATGGTCTTGATCTCGTGACCTCGTGATCTGCCTGCCTGCCTCAGCCTACCAAAGTGCTGGGATTACAGGCGTGAGCCACCGTGCCCGGCCTATTATTTCTTTTTTCTACAAATCCTTTTTTTGACCTCTTATCCAGACAGTCATCTGCTGATTATTTTAAAGGTATGCGAATATTTAGACAAATCCTCCAAGATCTCTGTCAGGTTGGAACAGGAAATGCTTCCTGTCATTTTAATGTTTATAAACATTAGTGGTGAAATCATATCATTATGAGGGAAAACATTTTCAGATGATTTTTTTTCTTTCTTTTTTTTTTGTCTCTTTGTCTCGCTCTGTCACCCAGGCTGGAGTGCAGTGGCTCGATCTCAGCTCACTGCAACCTCTGCCTCCTAGGTTCAAGCAATTCTTGTACCTCAGCCTCCCAAGTAGCTGGGACTATAGACGTCCGCCACCACTCCTGGCTAATTTTTGCATTTGTAATAGAGACGGGGTTTTATCATGTTGGCCAAGCTGGTCTTGAACTCTTGGCCTCAAGTGATCCATCTGTCTTGGCCTCCCAAAGTGCTGGGATTACAGGTGTGAGCCACTGCGCCCAGCCTCAGATGATTTTCTGATATCATTTAAAGCAACTAGAGTTCAAGTTTAGAAACACGCATAATGAAGAATCATCTCAACCCAGCAGAGGCTCTCCCAAATAAGTGGCAACTTCACTCATCCATCACTTTAAATAGCAATCGTTCCCATCAGAGATTTTTTAATTTTTATTTTTATTTTATTTTATTTTATTTTATTTTGTTTTATTTTTTGAGATGGAGTCTCTCTGTCTCCTAGGCTGGAGTACAGTGGTGTGATCGGCTCACTGCAACCTCCGCCTCTGGGTTCAAGCTATTCTCCTGCCTCAGCCTCCCAAGTAGCTGGGATTACAGGACTGTGCCACCATGCCCGGCTAATTTTTATATCTTTAGTAGAGGCGGGGTTTCACCATACTGGCAAGGCTGGTCTTGAACTCCTGACCTCAGGTGATCCGCCCACCTCGGCCTCCCAAAGTGCTGGGATTACAGGCATGAGCCACTGCACCCAGCCTCCATCAGAGATTTATAAAAATGTATTTTCAACATTTTAATCTTTCTTCCTTTCTCACAGTAATCCATATTCACAGGGCAGAATAAGGACAAACATGGAACACACTGTCAAAGAGTAAGGCTGACAGTGCAGAGTCTGGAGACTAACAAGCCTGGTTCCAGTCCTTGTTCTGCTCCTTGCTGTTGTAACCTTGGGGAAATCATTCACGTTCCCTCAGCCTCCATTTCCCCACCTGCAAAATGGGGTAATAACATCATCGCCTCACACAGCTGTTATAAGATTGAGCACAGCACCTGGGACACTTTGTGGGCTTGGCACAGTGCATAGAGCACCTTAGATGATCAATAATTACATGTGTTCAATGAACAAATGAGTGCATCGATGACTGAATCTCTTCCTACCCAAACTATAATACACTAAATCAGGGGTCAGCAAACTTTTCCTGTAAGGAGCCAGCAAGTAAATATCTTAAGCTTTGCAGGCAATATGGTTTCTGTCGCAACTATTTACCTGTGTTGTGACATGAAACCAGCCACAGAAAATAAACGAAGAGGTGTGGCTGTGCTCCAACAAAACTTTATTTACAAAAACAGGCAGGGCACTGAATCTGGCCCGCAGCCCTACGGTTTGCAGACCTCTGTTCTAAAGGCCTACCTTGCTAATGACAAACCAGACCTGATTTGCAAAATAAGTGCTCAGTCATGACTTATAAGCCTAGTGTTAGACCAAATCACTCCAAGGGAAGCTAGGAGGCCATGAGAAGTCAGTCCCTCCTAGCTTCTCTCCAATCATTCACTGTGCCCTGTCACACACTTCCCGACCATTGCCAGGACCTGTTGTGGTCTCACAGGTGTGCCCGTTCACTCCTGTCTTCCTGTCCCTCTCCTGGGGACTGGCCCATCCAGTATAACAGCCTGTTGCACCCAGTTCCTCCTGGGATCAGGCCTGTGGCTGAGGCCCTGACAGGACAAAGGTCCTCCTGGAATGCTCCCCTTCTTTTCTTTCTCAAACCAATGATAGCACTCCTTTGTCCAAATCCTCAGAGTTGGGGATAGAAACTTTCTCATCTATGTCTAGGCAGAAAAATAGAAATGTAATTCCTTCTCATTCTCCCTTTCACCTGGAGAGTACAGAAACACACTGTGGAATATGGAAAGGCATGAACCAGAGCTGCTCAAAGGATGGGTGGGAGTGCGCTTAGGTAGCATCTCTACCTGCTGAGGACTCATCAGGTTCCAAGCACTGCCAGGGACCAGGCCCATGTGCAGAGGGAGAAGTGGAGTTCAGAAGGCATGAGGGGCTTGTGTGAAGGCACAGACTGGGAGCAGAGACTGGCATCCAGGCTGGGCTGACCGGGGTCTCCTCAACTCTAAAACCCAAGTTACTGCAAACTCTAAAATCCAAGTCTCTGCCCCTGGGTGCAAATGGCAGCTTGAATGCATTGAGTACTCACTGGAGCCAGCTTTCAAATGCAGTACAATTTGCAAGCATTTTACTTATTGATATGTTTAGTTTTTTTTGTTAACTCCCTACTAGACAATCAAGTCAAAAGAACCTGCTCTCTCTATCGAGCATCGTCACTGGCACACTGTAGGTGTTTATTACATATTTGTAGAATTTGTTAATAAAGAAAAATAATGTGAATACTAGATAGTAGTAGCTATCTACATGGGCTAAGAATTTGACATGCATTTTCTCACTGACCCCTCTGACTCAAGTTAGCTACTGTTATTTTTCCCATTTTATTGATGATAAAACTAAGGATCTGAAAGGTTAACACTTTTAGCCCAAGGTCAGAAAGCTAACAAATGGCAAAAGCAATAATTGAACCCAATTCTGTTAGGCTCTTAAGCCAGATTCCTCTTACTCCATTCATTTCTCCCCACACAATGATTTCCCTTGTCCCAAACCAGACAGTGAGCCCGCTGGCCCAGGGCCCCATTCCTCCCACAACAAAAAGTCATCTTTTCTCTTTCCCCCTGACCATGTTCATTCCTAGTGTCTGGAAACTGCCCTCACCTATAAAATCAGGATAATTTTCCATTGTCAACACACATCCCAACCTCCTCCATGGGGTTTTTGTGAGAATTAACCCCATTTGCAGCCATTAATTAAGCTGTTAAAAGCACAAGTAGCTTTTTCTCCATTTTTACATGGCTTCTCAAATGGTTAATGTCGAGTTCTTTCTTGGTGCAAGCACAAGGAGCTCATAACTTTTCAATGGATTATGAAAGTTATTCCCCGAGGGGCTCGGCAAAGCAGTCATCGTTGTGCATAGCTTTGGCATTACGTCAGTGAATTTAGTCCTTCCTGAGCTAATGGTGGTTCTTAATAATATTATTGGAATTATTATTACCTTCAATTAAAATGTTGGCCATGAATGACTTACTACTTCAGAGAGATTCCCCAAAGAGTCACGTTAGAGTCTGTAGTCTTTCTGCTAAAGGGCACCATAAGAACAGGAACCAGAGTCCTTGCCCATCCCCCAAGTAAATACATTAATTAATAAATACACAGCATTCAAATACTTTTATGTTGTTGGCTGGTTACCAGGTTTTAAATTGACTTCCTTAAGGGTGGATAGGGCTGGCTAATCACTACCACTTTGTTCTAAAAACTAAAAGGAAATCAGGAAAACTTTACGCATTGTTCTTTATTTCTACTCACCAAACTACATTAGAATAGTATTATTGGTACAGCTACAACCTTCACAGAATGACCTCCATCTTATCTTAGTGGAGATGGTGGACAGCACAGGGTTTGGTTTCAAAGACAATAAGATGAATGGTACCTGGTAAAAGCACTACCTATGACATCTCCCTTGACAATACCTGAGCGTTGAGAACACCCTATAGAAATGGCTTCAAAACCAGGCAAATTGCTCATTGGATTCAGGGTCGGTGAGCTATCTAACTCTGCATATGTGCATAGAGGTGGAGGAAGTTCTCAAACAAAGAGTTGAAAGAAGTGTGTAGGCTGGGTCAAAGAGGACTTTGGCTGTGTCCAGAATCTGATACTCAGACAGTATGAAAATGTGTCACCACTTCTAGGGAGACCAGGTAGGAGAAGAGCACTACCTTCATCCACAGGGAAAGTAGTGCTAGCATGTCCCAACCCCAAATGGACAGAGAGAGAACTATCTCAAGGGTGTGGTGATGCGTCTTGGAAATCCAGGTGCTGAACTGCAGGGGAGGAATATCTGAGGCCAGCGAAGACAATGTATTCACAATCAGGAGACTGGGGACCAGGACATGAGCCACAGAGAAGCCTGGGGAGCCTACAGGAGGGAGAGAAAGTATAGGCTGGAGACAAAGAGGAAGAAGAGTCTGGGACACACTGTCTGGCACAAAATAGACACAGAAATAGTTGTTGAATCAATGAACAAACAAGTGAATAACTGGGGGAGATCTAACATCCTAGCTTGGCCTGAAAGCTCTGTTGCTTAAATCTACGTCAGTCAGGAAAGATTTCCTGTGTAAATACCTTGGCTGATTTCGATCCTTATATTTAGAAAACCTGTCTCTTGCTTTTAACCCAACCAAACCTAATTCAATCTACTTGCCTGAATGTGTGATACTTTGGTTTTTGTGGGGTATGTGTGCGTGTGGGCACACGCACATGTGCATGCACACATGTTTAATTTTCATTTCTAATAAAATTAACTTAAACCCCTGTGTTGCCGATGAGTTTATCAAGGGCAGGAAGCAGATGTTTTCACACTTGGACCAAGGCTGAGGGAGAAGAGGTGGTGCGACACTCAAAGTCTCACCGTTGCCTCTAATAAGAAGGAGGCAGATCCACACAGGGCAGGAGCCCCAGGGAAAGCTATGTCAATGTCGGAGGGAGCAGCTTAACGAGCGCTGCCTGGGGAAGCTTGCTCTGCATGATATTGAAAGATGCCACAATTCACACGTCCTGTGGCTGCACTTCACCTCCCCCGCAGAGAAGTCTGTGGCTGTGTTAGTGCAGCCACACCCTTGCCTTGATTTTCTGTCATCCTCTTTGGTAACTAACTTGGACTTCCTGCTTCCTTGATAGCCCATTCTTGGTCCATCTGTCTTTGTCAAGGAATGAGATTCCAGGTTTTTCTACAAGGCTCACATTCCAAGAATGGCCTTGTAGCCTGATTCTGCCCAAGTTTTTGCCTGTTCTTGACATATATTATTGCCTTCTCTGCCACACCTTTCTAACGATCCTACCTTATGCACAGCCCTGGAAAGAGAAACCCCACAGACAGCTTGATCTGCCCTAACTTGTACAGAGTTGACTGTACCAAGTTAGGACTCCTGCTTCAGGCAAATACATCTATAAGGCTGGCCAGTGCCATGTAGCAGGTGACCTGGTTCTGAGATGGATTAATGAGCTTCCTCCCCTAGAGATTGAGAAAGAGGGATTCCAAGAGACTGAACCAGTCCATGATAAGGTTGTGGGAACACGGAGGCTGTGGTAAGGGCATGAGGAAGGTAAAGAACATTGAATGAGAGGGGACAGAAGACCATATGAGAAAGTAGAAGACAAACATCCTGATTTTCCACTCCCCAGATGGAGTCCTGTGTAGCTCAGCTACCCCTCTAGCCCTTCAACTCCACAACAGTCCCTGCAGGTCTTCAACAAGCCCTGTAGGAGACGTTCTTTTTGCCTGTTCATTACTCAGTACAATTTATTTTTGTAACAGTACTTTGATTTTTCTTTTGGGGACTCACACTTCTCTCATTCTCAGACTGTGGGGAGCGAACACGACATAGGACTAGTCAATTAAAATAACTTATTTCTTAGCCATATAGTAATTGGTTCATGGATAGGAACGCGACAAAAGTTGATACAATGACAATCCATCGGAGGGGAGAAAGAGGCTTCCATACATCTGGGGTGTCCATACTGCTATATAAGCATCTGGGGCTGTCAGCAGCTGTTTTTCTATTTTATGGGGAATCTTACAATAGAAGTCTGCTAGAGAATGAAATCCCCTTGGGGGAAAACAAAGCCAAAAGATGGTGAAAGACAGAGACCCAATGCCATTGTTTTTAGCCCCTAGATGCAGCCATACCTGAAGTCATTATACCCTGACTTTTCAGATATAAGAGCCAATATAGGCCAGGCATGGTGGCTCACGTCTGTAATGCCAGCACTTTGGGAGGCCAAGGCAGGCAGACCTCCTGAGGTAAGGAGTTCGAGACCAGCCATGCCAATGTGGCAAAACCTCATCTCTACTAAAAATAATAAAATTAGCTGGGCATGGTGGCGTGCACCTGTAATCCAAGCTACTCAGTAGGCTGAGGCAGGAAAATTGCTTGAACCTCGGAGGCAGAGGTTGCAGTGAGCCAGGATCCCGCCATTGCACTATAGCCTGGGTGACAGAGCAAGATTCTATCTCAAAAAAAAAAAAAAAAAAAAAAAAAAAAAAGCCAATATACACTCCTTCCCTTTTAAAAAATAGTTTGAATTGATGCAAGACTCTTGACTATTATGTATCCTTTTAGGATCCAGATAGCCTGTATAGGTTCCTATTTCTTGCAGCACAGGAACCTTCCCTACTGATGCCTCTCTCCTTTTCCTTCTACTGTTTTGGTTATCATGAATAAGGTGTTAAAAGAAGAGCAGAAATTTCAACTTTAGGTGCCTTAGTGCCTTTGTAAACTGCATACTCAACCATCTAGCCATCTTTTCCATCCATCTTACTAGCCCATTACGTTTCTCAGTTTGATCCAAGTAGTCTTAAATGTCTTCAGAGGGCACAAGGAAGATTACAAAGACTATTTTAAGGTGAAGAGTAGCCCATTACTTCCACTCAAATTCTATTGGCCAGAAATCATTTGCATGGTGGAGACATGCAATGTTCCCTTACTCCCAGGAAGGAGGAACCCTAGTGAGTAGACACTGTGTGCTGCACTAACATAGTACTGGCCCAAGATAGGCACTCAATATTTGCTGAATGAATAAACAATGAGGAATGTATAGAGTTGGGGATTGTAAGTAATTCAGAGATTCCTCCTTACACTATCAGGCAAAGAGGAAAAGCCATATCCCACTGTCATTCATGAGTGAGCATGTTCTCTCTCCCCAGGGAAATAGGCTAAGTTCAGTCTCTCTGCACATTCGCCCAGATTTTCTCTCTGGCTCCTACGCTTTCCACAGATCACAGCTTTTTTTTTTTTCTTTTCTTTTTTTTTTTCTTTTTTGACAGAGTCTTGCTCTGTCGCCCAGGCTGGAGTACAGTGGCATGATCTCAGCTCACTGCAACCTCTGCCCCTGGGGTTCAAGCAATTCTTGTGCCTCAGCCTCCCAAGTAGCTGGGACTACAGCATGCACCATCATACCCAGCTAATTTTTTGTATTTTTAGTAGAGATGGGGTTTCGTCATGTTGGCCAGTCTGGTCTCGAACTCCTGGCCTCAAGTGATCTGCCTGCCTACCAAAGTGCTGGGATTACAGGTGTGATCCACTGTGCCCAACCAGATCGCAGCTTTAATTGACCAATTTTGTTTTCTACACTGATTTGCTCTCTCCACATAATGATACTGTGCCATTCCTATGTCATCCCAAAGTGTGCCAAATATCTCATCAGGTGGGGTGAAGGGAGAGGAATGGAGGAGTTTGCTTGTTAAATTCACATTGTATATGGATTTAGAAGTGTTTTACTCTCAAGACTAAGCAGTTCAGAAATAGATGAGGGGCAATATTTTCCTTTACTGGAAAAAAAATATTTTTACACTGAAAGTCACATATATACAAGTGTATGTATGCATCTATCTGCCTAAAGAGGAAATCATTATGAAATCTTGTTACCACTTTATTTACCTGGTTTTATATTTTCATGGGCAAATATAGCACGGAAATTTACTAAATTTACTCTTGAGTATTTTAGAGGCAGTGGCTACCCAGTCTGGAGAAACTTTTCTGCAGGACCCAGCTGTGGATGGGGCTCTGGGAGCCAGTCTTCCTGACACTGCTTGGTAGGATCAAAGTGTTTTGTTTAAAGGAATATTTTCAGAGAATTATAATGTAAATTTAAAAATGGGATTGGCAATCATCATAGATTTAGAATGCAACTTAAAATTTTTTTTAAAAATCTAGGCTCACCTTTCCTTGAATACTTCTTTGATACTGATATTTCCTTGATTGTGGGGAAGATTTTTCAAAATCTTATTCTGCCTTGAGGTAATCATTATGAGCATCAATCATCATCATGTGGATATAGAGCACTGGCAAGGCCAATGTTAGATAAAAGAGAGTTTCTAATGCCTCCTCTAGGGTGTGGTTCTGTTTTCAAGGGACTTGCCATTACATCCTTGAACTGAATTTTACTGGACTTGAAAAAAATTTGCATGCAAATTCCTTATTAGGGTTACAATCTTGGGCAAGCCACTCAATCTGTCTGTACGTCACTTTCCTCGTCTGTAAGATGGAGATAATGATAATTCCTACCTCATAGGGTTATCATGAAGATTAAATGAGTTAATGCACATAAAACATTCAATAGAGTTTCTGGCACAGAGAAAACTTTAGCTATTATTATTTTCTCATTATTTTTAAACATATGTATTACTGAACAAGCATACCTTTGGAGAAATTTATGGTTTCCATTTGTAGTAAAATCAGATGTAAGTTGGCATCTAATGTTGAAGATAAAATATTTAGAGAAAAAATATTAAAATTTAAATACTATTCAGACTCTGAATTATTAATGCAAAGCAGCTTTCACTATAAATATTTGGTCTCTGAGTTTCAAGATAAATGGAAAAAATAATGAAAACCAAACTCACAAATGCCCTCCAGACATGGGGATGCTAGGGCTAGTTAAAATATGACTGTGGATGCATAATGATTTGGGGGTCTTTACGGACAGGATGAAAGGGGTCAAGCAGATGCTGAGGAGGGCAGGGTGTGAGAGGGCAGCCTGGCTCTATCCGCAGGCCCAGTGGCCGGCCAGTCCACCCAAGTTAGAGCATCAATGAGCTGTCAACTAGTTGGTTGATCTCAGCAAGTCACTGAAGTCCCAGTACCTCCCTTTTACCATCTGTAAAATGAGAATAATAATAATAGTCGCACTCTCTTCAACTTAAAAAGAAAACAAGGGAGAGAGAATAGAAAACACGTCAAAAGTTAAGGGTTAGAACATGTAATTCTTCTACCACAAACAAGCATTTCTATGGGAATAAAGAAAGACTTTGTGAAAGTTATTTATTAAGAAAAAAATGTGGCATGGTATATGGACATATAAAGTTGACCTGATGTCATAGAAAAAGTGTGGACGTAAGCCTTAGAAAACCCAAGTGTCTGAAAAGTAGGACCAAGCACTTATTAACCTTGGGCAAGTCACCTAACTTTACTCAAGCTCAGTTCCTCTATTAGTAAAATTAGGACAATATTACATGCCCCATATGGTCACTGTCAGGGACAAAAAAGGCTGAAAATATATAAAGTCATCTGGCAATTAATAGGTACTTAAATGTATGTGCATAAGTGTATGTATGAGTGTGTATGTATATATGATCTATATGATGAATAAATAATATATAATTTGGAGTTTGGTGTAGATTTGGGGTTATTTATATCTATGATCTAGTATCTGTGATCCCCTTGGATAGATATCAAGAGGGTATGTGAATCCCTTGAAATTTACTTTATGCTTGTGCATTTTCTGGGGAGAGAGTCCTCTGTTATCATCATGTTTTCCATCCAAGGAGCCCATGACCTTGAAAAAGATTAAGCATCACCAGTGTAGACAGAGAGATGGTGAGAGTGATGGGTAGCTTTGCTTCCATATTGCTCACTACCCATAATTCAGCATATCTATGCAGTGGTCATCTAGCGTGAGAACTTCCCCCGTTTAAATACACAAGGTTCTCCTTACCGGAGAAAAACTGGAACCTGGAAGAGGGTACTTGTCTTTGACAGGGACCAAAATTTCAAAGTAAATAGTGGGAAAGAGATCTGGGACTTTATCTTTAAAAATGAGACCAAAATTTTTGGAAATGAGTATATGTATATTATTTTTAATAAATTTTAAACTGTAATTTCAACAACTTGCCAGTTTTATAAAGAACAAAGAATAAAATATGGGTTGATTTATTTGGCCCATGTCTTCCCAATCAGGTTGTGTGAGGGCACCACGTGACCTCCTTTACTTTCATCAGTACAGTTGTTAACAGTCTTATTTTTTTAAGAGTCTGCAAAAAAATATTTGAGACATGTGCCACTTTCCCAAGAACCTGTCATAAGCCTCTAACATCCAATCCCTCACTTTGAAGCCCTTGGGCTGTCATCATGCTTATTGGCTTTTCTTTTTAATTGATAACAAGTTATCTTCTTTTGTTAAGGAATTTGTATGTGACACAAAGCTGGCTTCCAAAATCCCTTTCATCAGCTTGATAAAGCCTTGCATCTTTTGAAAAATGTGCTGCTTCAATTGGCAAGTGTTGTGCAATCTATTTTCACTGTGTTTCTTGATGCTGGAAACATCTGGATGATCCAGGAAAGACAGATGTACATAGAGTTGACTCTCGACACAGTGGGGGGCCCACCGTTAAAACGGGAAGGATGTCTGAGTGGGGCTAATTTGATAAGTGGTCCATTAATTCATGAATGTTTCAATGTTATGACAACTTTGGCTTTCCTGCTACCTTTTAACCATCAACGTTGGATAATGAATTTTCGGATAAGGGAAAACCAAGGTGAATCCCTCTACGGTTAGTACAAACTGGTACCAGCTTGGCGCAAGGAGAAGAGGGCCCTTTCAGTGCATTCTTCCAAAAAAGCCATGTTGCACATAGTGGCTGGTGAGGGGGAAATAATACATTTCAGGCAAGTGTAGGTTAAATAAGCCCTTGAGAATTAGTCTATGAACTCTACTCTAGTGGAAAATGAGGCCCACATTCCAAACCAATTTCACAACGCCCCCATCCCCCTTTTTAATAACAGCCCATTTTTACATAGGGGGTTGCCTATTCTGCAATTCTGTAATAGTGAATTTTTGCTTATTGTGTTTCTGGATAACAAGGTGTGCCTGTGTTTCTTTCTTGCATATCGGTTTGCAGAAAGTAATTGCCCTGCAATTCTTAATCCAACCTGTTCACGCATTCCTTTCTGCATTGTTCTTGTTCGTCATGTCTGAGCTGTCACCTGAGAGCTGATCTTCCTTTGCTAAAATCCATTCAAGAAGCATCTTTACCCTTCAAGATGTCTGGTGGAAAGATACACTGTTTTGACTGATGTAGCAAAACATTTACAGAGCATCTTTTTCCAAAGTATTATACTCTTGTGTTACTTCCCAAGAAAAAATCTGTTTGTAGAATAAAATGGTGGAATTTAGATGAATGATTGTCTTTTTGGGAGAGTGTTAGAGGGTTGTCACTTAGTAAATATAACCTAAAGAATAATAATGCTAATATTTGTTCCTTTTTCACCGAAAATCTTATTATGTGTGCTAGACACTGTGCTAGGCATTTTGTATGCACAATCTATTTTAACCCTACTTATTACTGTCCCTGTAAGGCTTTTTCCCCCAGTGGAATGTAAGCTCCATGTAGACAAGGATTTTTGTCTTTTTATTTATTGCTACAACCCTGGTGTCTAGAACAGTGCCCGGAATAGACTAGATACTCAACAAATATTTTCTGAATAATAAATGAATCCCCATTTTACAGATAGGAAAGCTAAGGCACAGAGAGGCCAGTTATATACAATTTACATAAGGTCACAACGGTAATAAGTGAAAAATCAGATTTCGAACAATATTTACTAGCAAAAAACCTACAGTCCTAAAAGATATGCTCCCTTTTTCCATCCAACACACACACACAAACACACACAGGTGCACAACCACTCTCAGACGCATGCACAAAGAAGCCTGCCCAGTTCACCTGCTTCTTCAGCTCACCACAGGCCGACTGCTGAAGGACACATTTTTGTTACCCATCCTCCTCCTCAAACTGTCCTCTTTGAACAAAAATCCTCTGTAGGTTCCTCTGCTGGCAGTCTTCATTAGTATTTAGTGACCTCCCCTGCCCAGTTCTCGTTTCCTGCACTACAATCCCCGCCTCCCGATGAACTGTTAATTATAACTACTACAAAGTCTACACTCGCCTGGGAGACAGGCTGTTTGGCAGCAGCTGTGAAAGCCGAACTAAGTTCTTTGGGGATTAATCCGCCGCTGCATGTAGTCTTACAAGTACAGCTTTGGAGGAAAGGAAAGGAAGATAAAATGAGCTAATGCTGTTCGTATAAATGTGAACTTCTACATAACACACACAGGCGCACCCACAAATACGTTGACTGAAAGTTAAAATATGATTATCAAAGGATAAGAAAGACTTACAACTGTAATGTAAAACATTAAGAAATATACCCTGGCTTTCTGTGTTCTGCAGGGATACAAGTGTGCTCTGAGCCAAGGAAAATTAAAAAAAGAGAGAGAGAGAGACAGAGATAGCACATTGAAATATCTTTACGTAGACTTAAATATAGCTTCAGAGATTATAATTCAGATCAAGGCTAGAGCTCCATTTCAACATTCCTTAACTGCTGGTAATATAACAAAGGTCTGCAAATTGGGAGGTACGTCTGCTTGGGAAGGGATGCTTATCTGATCTAGGCCCATCTTTCTTCATGTTTCAATCCCAGAACAGCTGCCCTTCCCTTGGTGAGAAACTCAGCGATGAAGGCACAAACCCAGCAAGCTGAAAGCGCAGCTGGCTGTGGTCCTGCTGCAGCCGCCTCGCCCTGTGGAGAGTGTGCGTTGGCGGGTGGAGCAGAAGTGGGCTACTTGGGGGAGTCCTTGGTGGCTGCTGGCAGGCAGCTGCATGCCCCGCAATAGGGTAGTGCCCATTTGTAACCCAGCGGGGGGTGGTGGTGGAATACAGCAAGACGATGGGGCCATAAGAAGGAGGCAGGGCCAGCTGAGCTTCCTGAAGCTGGGGATAGGTTGGAAGGGTTATTCTTCCCTTTCGTTCATTCCCTCACTCGTTCCTTCATTCATTCACTCCTTTTATCTTCATTTATTTTACTCCTTTTATCTTTCTTTACTTTCCCCCAAATTATTCATTCAAATATTAGTAGAGCAATGCAGTATTAAAATCAAACGCATGGACTTGGGGGACAGACTTGGGTGGGACTTCCAGTCCCCTCAATGTGCCAGCTGTGAGACTTTTGGGGAATTATTCAACCTGGATGAGCTTCAGTGTCCTCATCTGATTAGCAGACATCTTAACAGTGCCACATCTCCTAAGACTGCTGCAGGACACTATGATTCAGTGATAAAGGACTTTACGTGCTGCCTGGCACATGCTAAGTGCTCAATAAACAGCAGGCATTAGGATGAGGATGACAGTTCTGTGGGAGCCACAGAGATGTGTCTCGCAGGCGGCTGCCTCCAAGGGCCACTTGAAAGATACCCAGTCTGCATGGTTGTCCCTGAGCAGAGGAGTCATACATGAGTAACAAGATAAAAAGTTAAAAAAGTAAGAGAGTCCCAAGAGGAAGGTGCAAAGAAAGCCCCATGGAGAAAGACCATCAGATCCAGAGTCTGTCTATTAGAAGAGTATCCCTTTGCCCTGGTTCAGAGACATGGCTGCCGAGGACTGAGCCCCAGGCAGGAGAAATGGTATGTTAAGGGGCTGGCACACACAAAGCTCTGAGCCGACCCCAGACTGAGAGATGCTGCTTCTGCTTCTGTTATGCTCCCTCAGAAGACAGCTTTTTTGTGACAAGGGGGAGCGGCAGAGAGAGGGTACAAGTGGGACCAGGGAGGGGACACACACCACGGACACACTGGACAATTTGCCACTCTGTAGCAGTTGAACAAGGCCGGGCAGGGACATGAATGAAGATTCCCTTTCATCCCCCATCTCAGAACCTGGGGCTTATCCCACAGACCAGCTCCCCGAGTGTCCTGAGGAACAAAAGTTCTACAAGTCATCCTTCCCCAAACATTCCAGAGACACCTGCATAAATACACCTGTGACAGGCATAAGACTTCACTTCCCTCTAGGAGTCACACTGTGCTCATTAGCACATCAAAAGCTCTGAGAAGTCCTGCATAGACAATCTGTTTAACTTGATTCTTTCAAAGTTATCCAACGCTGAATTTTTTTTTTTTTTTTTTTTGAGAGAGAGGCTCACTCTGTCTCCCAGGCTGGAGTGCAGTGGTGCAATCTTGGCTCACTGCAACCTCTGCCTCCCAGGTTCAAGCAATTCTCCTGCCTCAGCCTCCCGAGTAGCTGGGACTACAGGCGCGCACCACCAGGTCTGGCTAATTTTTGTATTTTCTACTAGAGATGGGGTTTCACCATATTGGACAGGCTGGTTTCAAACTCCTGACCTCATGATCCATCCGCCTTGGCCTCCCAAAGTGCTGGGATTACAGGTGTGAGCCACCGCACCTGGCCAATAATTTTTTAAAATAATGCCTTTGTCCCAATCCAATGTATGCGTTTTATACATAAAGAAGTGCAGGTGCAGGGTGAAGAAGATGAGACTCTCTCGAGGCCACACAGTCAGTGAGGAGCTATGCTGAACCTGAATGCTAGCTCTGGTGAACAGCTCTTTGCCCTCCTCCTCATTTCCCCATGGAGCCAGGGCACCCCCGTCATGTGCCAGTGCTCCTTGGAATAGGTGGTGACAATGCTGACACTTCTGTCAAGCAGAAGTCATTCAAGGTGACTGCCTTTTAACACACTTCTAAAAACAAACTGTAAAAGCCTCTCTGAAATGTCTGATGGGGAACGGATTTTTAAATCCACGTCGCTGGAAGACATGCAGGTGGGCCAGGAGGCAGAGGGGCCGGCAGGGAGGGGCACAAGGCTCTGGGTCCCAGGTCCTGAATCCCGGCTCAGCCCTTCCACTGCCCTTGCTGGCCATGTGCCTCCAACCCTCCAAGCCTGATTCCTCACTGTGAAACAGAGGATTGTGTTGTCTTTTGGTCCTGGCTATTTATGACTGGAAAGAGAAAGGCTTGTCAGAATTCAGGTTGACTACTTGGCATTTGAGAGAGCCCCACATCCACCACTGAAACGCCCACCCCACCACGGTGATTGTCATGCTTCTCTGCCTCCTTATTCATAGAGCGTTCCCTGCAAAAAGAGTCCTCGCAAGGCTCCCCAGTTCTCCTAGAACATTCAGTCTACTGACTCTCACTTAAGGCTCAGTGCACACTGGATACCACCCACCTCTCCAATTTCATCTACCATCTCTCCCCCCATCTCACTTGATGATCACCACCCTGGCCTGCTTCATGCTGGCTCCTTCTCATCCGAGGGTCACCTTCTCACATCAGCCCTTCAAACTATTTCGTCTGAGGCAACATCCTCCCCTCTTGGTCTCTTCCCCTTCATTTCCTTCTTTGTACTTACCACTGTCTAAAATCATCTTACTTATTTGTTCATTTATCTGCTTAATTTCTGACTCTCCCTGAGAGAAGGTAATCTATGAGGGCAGAGTATTGTTTATTGCTTCATATTTACTGCTTGTTTACCTGGCACAAAGACTGGCAAAAAGTAGGTGCTTATTAAACTTCAATTAAATGAATGAAGAAATTCTCTTCCAGAAAAAAAGCCTGCTTACCCCTTCAAAGTCCATGTCAAATAAAGCCTTCTATGAATCACCTAGGCAAAATTGAAAAGCCACCTTTTTTGTATTCCTACGGCCTTTGTGTCTGCCTCTCATAGGGTGTTTTTTTTTTCTTTTTTTTTTTAGATGGAGTCTCTGGCTCTGTCACCTGGGCTGGAGTGCGGTGGCGCGATCTCAGCTCACTGCAACCTTCACCTCCCGGGTTCAACCAATTCTCCCTGCCTCAGCCTCCCAAGTAGCTGGGATTACAGGCATCCGCCATCACACCCAGCTAATTTTTTTTTTTTTTTTTTTTTTTTGTAGTAGACACAGAGTTTCACCATGTTGGCCAGGCTGGTCACAAATTCCTGACCTCATGTGATCCTCCCACCTCAGGCTCCCAAAGTACTGGGATTACAGGCGTGAGCCACTGCACCTGGCCTGCCTCTCATAGGATGTTATATGCCAGTCTGCCCTCACTGCTGTGAGGGCAGGGACCTGTGCATGTCATTCTGCAAGTCCACAGCCTCCGCCAGAGGCTAGCCCTCTGTAGGTCTTCCACAGTGCTTAGAGAATTAAGGAATTGCTCGTCTAGAACCAAACTCTCTCTGGACTCATACAATCAGGGCTTTGTTTGCTCTCCAGGAAAGTTCAGCCATAAGAGTTTTAAAGCTTACATTAAATTGTCTACATCTTCCTGTCCATGGGCCTTCCCCAAGAGAAACATCATCTGGAAGCCATGTGATCGAGCGGACACTGATTTTGTGTAAGCCCCACATCCTGGGTTCTAGTCTCAGGCTTCAGCTGGGGGATCTTGAACTGGGTCTTTCGCTTCTCTGAACCTTTATCTCTTTAGTTTATGAAAGAGATTGAAAAACCTCTGAAGACTGCCCCACCCAGCCCTTACTGGTTTTGAATATGTGGCTCAGTCTTTCATATTCTCCCTCTAGCAGTCCATACATGTGGTTTGATAAGGAGTAAGTCTACTAGGTATAGCCAAACAAGTATTTTGTCAATGAAATCTTACCCTCAGAGAAACAGGGGATCATCCATTATTCTCTGATTGGTGTTTTTAATTAGACTCATTCTGCCACACACAGGCTTATACCAAATGAGGGGATTTTTATATCTGTTAAAGGTCCAAGGCTTTTCACAGATTGCAAAAAAGGCAAAATCCCAGCAGCTCGGAATGCTGTTGCATTTCATTTTACCCAGCCTTGTAGATTAGCTCCAAAGCCTGCTTGGTCAGCAAACATTTCTGCTGTCCCAGAAAAGCTCTTCAGTTCTTCCCAATCCCTATCAAGACTGTGCCACCACAGCAATGAGGAGCGGGATAAGCCATTTTCCTTTCCTGCGAACATTTCTGGGCTCTGAGGCCTGCCTTTTTTCAGATTCTGTGGGCCTTTGCTAATTTGTGTGACAGCTTAAATGTAAATAGGACACATCTGCATGGGTTAAAAAAATAGCTGCTCGTTGTAAAGGGCAGTGCACTGTGTTTATTTATCATCTACAACTGGAAAGCAGGTTCTGTTTCTAGTCTGTAATAGCTGATGGTTTGCGACAACCTGAGGCATTCTGGAACAGTTTTAGTTGACTATTGACTTTTGACATTAGTCTACATTCATTTTATTTTATTTTTTTTCCCCCAACTACTTGGCTGGGAGAAGAGAGTGAGCACCTATAAAGGTGGACATTTACAGACCAGGTCCTTGAGGCACACACACCTGACCAGATGCCTGCTGTCTGCTGGTGATCACATACCTCTTCCTAACTCTACTAACCACTATTTGCTGGGCAGGTACTTCATGCCAGGTAAGGGCTTCATATGCATTCTCTCTTTTGCTCCTGTCAACCACCCAAAGAAGTGCACGTTGGCCGGGTGAGGTGGCTCATGCCTGTAATCCCAGCACTTTGGGAGGCCGAGGCAGGTGGATCATAAGGTCATGAGTTCGAGACCAACCTGGCCAACATAGTGAAACCCCATCTCTCTTAAAAATATAAAAAAAGTAGCTGGGCGTGATGGCAGGTGCCTGTAATCTCCTGAGGCAGGAGAATCGTTTGAACCCGGGAGGCAGAGGTCGAAGTGAGCCAAGATCACGCCATTGCCCTCCAGCCCGGGCGACAATGCAAGACTCTGTCTCAAAAAAAAAAAAAAAAAAAAAAAACCAATACATGTTATTGTTCTGTTTTGAGAAATGTAGAAACTGAGGCACAGACAGTTGAGCGCACTGACTGTGTACTGAAAAGTATCAGAATTGGTGTCTGAGTTCATGGCTTAGATTATTCTTAACCATCTATATAGTATCTTTCAGAAGTCTCACACTCATCTACCAAGTTGGGCTGCCAGTCAAGGGACACACACAAGCCTCAAACTAAATCTTGGTGGTAGGTGAAGGAATTCATTCAAGAAAAATAACTCACATATAGAAGTGACATCTTTAGTTTTATTCAGACAGCCCAATATCTCTCTTGAATTTCATTACACCATACATATATATTTTATGTGTGTAAGTGCATATTCAAAATCATCATTTCTGTAATCACTTTTTTCATGAATTTTTCCATAGTTCACTTTAATTCTATTGCATTCAACAGGTAAGATAATAAAAGATTACTCTTACTTGCAATAGTGATCACAGCAACAACTGCAAACACCATAGGCTGGCAATTTGGAAAGCAATCTGAGAAGTCACCTCAAAAATTTTAACAAAGTATTATAATCTATCAAAAGAGCACCACAAAGCAATGACAGATTATACCGATGTGGAAAGAAGTCCACAATACACAAAGTGCAAAAGAGGGAGTTGTGGAATAATTTGTATAGAACAATCTCAAACCTGGTAAAAGTGTGTGTGTGTGTGTGTGTGTGTGTGTGTGTGTGTGTGTGTGTGTGTGTAAGCCTGGAAGAATCTCTGGAATGACAGAGTGCATAGATGTGGGGATGTTGCAGAAGGGACTTTCACTTTTCACTATATGCATCTTCTAGACTGTTTAACTTTTTATGCATATGCATTTTTAATTTAAAAAGTGATAAAAATGACATTTAAAAGTGTTCCCAGCCAGCTGTCCCAGGCAGTCCAAGTCACTATTGGTGCGCTCTCTATGGTGATTACTGCCATCAAGGCCATATTTGTTCCTCAGATCATCTACCTGCTGGCCCCAGCTCTTTCTTGGAATGCCCGCTCCATCTCATGGCTGGCTAAGCCAGCTAAACCATGCCCAGCTGATTTTGAGCTATCTAGTTCTCCCTCCTCTTCCTCCTCATTCCTGGTTACATATTGTCATGCCCTTGCTCTTTGCATCCAAGAAGGCCCAGATAGCTGGGAAAACAGTTTGCACTCCAGAAAAGGATGCTGAACTCAGCCTTCTTGATGAGGAAGGCTTGCCCCAACCCAGCTGGTAAAGAGGAGATCAAAAGAAACACACAGGTCTCAGCTCCTCAGCTAAGTCATCCTCCAAACTTGATTCCTCTTTCATTCCAGGCTGTCTAGCAGGGCCACCCATGCTAAGCATGAACACCAGCAAACTGTATCACCTCACATGCTCAGCATTTCAGAAGGTGCACTGTCTGTCCTATCAGCAGGACACAAATCCAGTGTTGGGTGGTAGCACCTGCCAATCAAATGGCTTTTCTGTGTGTACTTCTCCTGAGCTTTGAGGATGTGGTTTCCAGTCTGACTTTCTTGTTTCAGAGCTGAAGTTTCAAGCATGCATCTGGACAAAATATGCTTTCCATATAGGCCAACAATTTATTTATTTATTGCTTATGACATTGTACTTGGCAGCTAAGGAGATATAAAACAATTTGAACCACTCTGCAGAAAACGGTTGCAGAGTTGCCACTGGAGACTGCGGTGGAAGATAACAGAGGAGAATGGAGTCTCGCAGATCTTTCTGTAATTGACAGGCAGAGCCTCTAGAGGCAAGCGCGGCCAGCAGACATTCCTGCAAGGAGCTCACATCTCTTTCCAGCCTCAACTCCTGCTTTGGCACGAGAAGGAGACCGGAGGCATGTGTTGGAAGCCTCCTCTGACAGGACAGATGGAGCCAGTATGAGGACCTTTGCCATCCATCCCTAATTGCCAGGTTAGATGGATGTTTTGGACATTTATTAATGCAGTGGGTGGTGGTGACCTGCTTCCTTCCTCTGCCTGTCTCTCATTGACACTGTGGGTGCCCCTTCCATGGCCTGCTAGGCTCGACCATTTCAGTGTATGCAGCCCAACCTCTAACTGCCCATTCTTGCATGCCTTTGCCTGAGGGCTTCCCTGGCCTCTAAGGCTCACCCTATACAGGCCTGTGGCAGGTGAGGAGTGTGAGGGTATTGATGCCCCTTGGAGCAGCCCTCGGCCGATGACCGTCAGGAATGAAGACACACATATCACAGCTCCCTCACCCCTAAAGTGGGATGACTCAGGTTCCACACTAGCCTCCAGCATTCCACAGCAGGACTAAGCTGCAGTCACCAGTTGCCCACAGTGGTGGCTTGACAACTCCCCCTTTATTGGCTTGCCTTCCCATTGCCTTATTGATGTTTCCTGGGAACACATCCCCCAAGGACAGCTTGTACTACATCCTTGTCATGTAGTACAAAGAAGAGTCTGCTTCCAGGAACCCAAACTCAGAAAACTCCTACCTATTTCTGCCCAGCCCTTAGATTATGGATCAAAATTAGAGGAGCCCCAAGATTGTTTCCTGCACTTGGGCTGGTTGTTGGGCCTGCAGAGTGTTTAAAAGAATTGAAATAAGTTGCTATCATAAATAAATCTAGATTCTTGGATTCTATTGAAAAATGGCACAGATATGGCTATACTGAGCTTGCATTCCCTTATGGCATGTGGGGCTGAAGCTGACTTGTGATGCCCCTCTAACCAAGCCTCCCTGGCCCATTTCCCTCATTGACATTTCCAGACTGGACCCTATGGATAGTTGCTGGGTCAGCCAGGCCACCTATAAGGCCAGGTGCCTTCTTTCTCCAAGACTCCCTGCCTTCCTGAGGGTCTGAGTCACTGTATGGAACACTCAGGCCTAGATCATACATAGAAAAGTATGTGGATAGGGATGTGTGTTCATCCCAGGATGCAAAAATATCAGCAAGAAGAGAGCCACTAACAGCTAATGAGTGCAACCACGTCAGGTGCCCTGCTAAACCCTTTGCATTCTTTTCTTTTCCATTTTAGTCTTCTAGCCACTCTGGGAGGCAGATCCTATTATTTTCTTCATGTTTTATCTGAGGAAACTGAGCCTTAAAGAGTTGGAAAACTTATCCACTTAGCTAGTAATGAAGCTGGGACTCCAGTTTAAATTTGTGGTGTTCTTTCTGTCTGCAAAGCTGCTTGGCCCCTCTCATCCAGGGCACAGGTATATCCATGGAATGCACTTTATTTATTTATTTATTTATTTATTTTTCTGAGTTTTGATTTAAAGAATTTTTTTTAGAAGAAAAAGTCTCACTCTGTCACCCAGGCTGAAATGCAGTGGTGCAATCATAGCTCATGCAGCCTTGAACTCCTGGTCTCAAGTGATCTTCCTGCCTCAGCCTTCTGAGTAGCTTGGACTACAGGAGTACACCCCCACTTCCAACTATTTTTTTTGTTTTGTTTTTACTTTTTATTTTTTGTAGAGCTGGGAGTCTCACTATGTTGCCCAGGCTAGTCTTGAACTCCTGGCTCAAGTAATCCTCCCACCTTGGCCTCACAAAGCATTGGGATTAACAAGCATGAGCCACCATTCCTGGTGGAGAATGCACTTTACATGGTAGCTATGCCATCACCCAGGCCTGGCCTTGAGTCCGGGAGGCTCTGAAACCTTCCTTGTCAGGCCACAGAAGAAGTACATCTCCAAAAAGGCAGCCTCCAGAGTAGCCAGCTCCTGTCTCCTTAGCATTACAAAATAGAGACCTTGTGATTATCTTATAAGGAGAACTCTGAAAGATGTATAGACCAAAAGATTCATTAGCTTCTGACCAACTCAGTCTCTTCTTGTAGGAAGTCACAGGGGAAACCAAGTTAGACTCCGAAGGCCAGCTGAATTTACAATGATATGAAACTATCACTGCAGAACCTGGAATGTCCAACTGTGGCAAGCACAGTCCCCTTCCCATAGACACGGCCTCTAGGGAAGAAGAGGCCTAGAAATAATTTTAAAAGAGAGTAGAAGGGGTCACGATGAAGAGAAGAATGGCATCCTCAAAACTAGGGATGTTGGTTGAAGTAGTCATGTAAGGGCATCAGGCTAAGAGGCCCTGGGGAACTATTCCACAGCAGGATGGTGGCTTTGATGGAAAGAGTGACTGCTGGATTCCTGGCCCCACCTTCCCTCTCATCTCCCCCTAGAGATGGCCTGGCCACTGGGAAGCTCCGTGGCTATGACACCCATCTCCTGGATAGTGGTATGAAGGGCATCCCCAAGATCCTCCTCTTTCACTCCCCCGCTTTTGCCTCCATGGTTGGCTGACACCTCTCCTGACATACCCTTTTTCATTTTGTTTTTTTTTTTGCTGTCAATACATTCAGGCAGCTAGATCTAGCCTGGCTGGCTGGAAGCTGTCCTGGCTCTGTAAGGCAACTTGGCAGATCTCTACTCCGATCTATTCCATTTTGCTTTCTTGGGTGTACAGTCTTATTTCCCTTACTTCCAAGTCCTTGAGATGGGAGGAAGTAACCTCTTTTGCCTGCCAGTGTGTAGACGATAACTCACATCCTCTGTCACTATTATTACTATATTAGACATATTTCTTTTTTTCTTTCTTTTTTGAGACAGGGTCTCACTCTGTCGCCTAGGCTGGAATGCAGTGGCATGATCTCAACTCACTGGAATCTCTGCTTCCTGGGCTCAGGTAATTCTCCCACCTCAGCCTCCTAAGTAGCTGGGACTACAAGCACACACCACCATGCCCGGCTAATTTTTGTATTTTTTGAAAATAGAGAGAGGATTTTGCCATGTTTCCCAGGCTGGCCTTCAACTCCTAGGCTCAAGCAATCCTCCCACCTTGGCCTCGCAAAGTGTTGGGATTACAGGTGTAAGCCACCGCACCCACCCCTGGATGTATTTCTTAACTTCTCTGGTCTAGGTTTCTTTCCCTGTAAAGTGTAGATAACAATTTTTAATTAAAGGATGTGCTCAAAGGGTGAAATGAAATAATGTGTGTAAAGTGCTGAGGAGTGTCTGAAATGTCTAATAAATGGAATAATAACAATACTGGCAATGGCTGTGATTGTAGCACACCTCCTGTGCTCCCTGGAGCTCTGAGGTATAGCTCCCACCGTGGATCTTAACAAATGCTTGCTAAATTGACTTGAGCCAGGACTCAATAAGGGATGCAATTTCTATTCATCTGGCCTCAAACTGACTTATGGAAAAAGGCATTTATTAGTTCTTGTAACTAAATCATTCAGGACTAGTCTGGCTTTGGGCACAGGTGAATTCGGGATCTTAAATGATGTCTTCAGGGATCTGTCTCTGCCTCTCTCTCCATCATTCTTGTCTACTTTCCTTTTCCTTCTGACTTCATTTTCAGGTAGGGTTCTCTTCTCACTATGGCCCTGTCGCTCCCGGTACCCCAAATTTCATCACTCCAGCTTCTATTTCCATAGAGTAAACAGTTCTTTTTCCAAGCAATCTTAACTCAAAATTTCAGAACTGAGACTCATTGGTCTAGTTTGATTATGTGCCCATTTCTGAACCAATCACTGTGGCCTAAGGGATAGCTCCCTCTGAGTGACCAAGTCTAGGGAAAGTGAACTCTGATTGGCTGGCTTGAGTCATGTGCCCATATTGACATAGTGCTGGGTGAAGGGTAACTGTCCCAGAACTGCAAAAACTGAAAGGAATTCCCCAGAGAAACTTGGCCCCTGGTATCAAAAGATAGGGAGACAGACACTGGGCAGACCAAAGCAATGGATGGCTGTACACCATTAGCAGGCATTAAATGCATTTTGCACACTTGCTCATGAATATCTCCCTCTCCCTGTTGCAGAGCCACATAATCAGAAGACTGAAGGACCATTGCTGTGCAAGTGAATCTGAGTAGTTCTGACTTGCCAGCCTGTGACAGGGAAATAGCAGCCACAGATGTTTAACTAAGCAAGTACTACCAGGCCCCAGGCCCACAAGCTCTTCCCCAAGCCCAGTCCCAGCTGACAGGCAGGCGTGACAGGACATGTCAAGGCCAAGAGTCAGGACACCTGTCAAGATGTCACAGTGCCTCAGGACACGTGGGTTGGGCAGGTGACAGCTGCAGTGAACCTTCCCGAGGCCCACAGAGCAACCTGCATCTGCCACCTTCAACAGGCAAGGCATCTTTCTTCTCAGAAAACAAGGAAAGCAAGCAAGCATTTGAAACTGTATATCCTTTCCTGTTTCATTAAGGGGTTGGGCTTTGTTTTCCTGAAAGCTTTTGTTCTTCTGTCAGCATATTCAAAACAACCAAAAGGCGTTACCTGCTCTGAAATCCCTGAGATGCCTATCCTCAGAGGTGCTTTTGGCTGTCTTATGCAGCAGAAGGAAGATTTGCTTCCTAGCTGATTCTCCAGTCCTCAGGACATTCACAAATGGCAAATTATAAGCCCGTGTTGCCTCTGCTGACTGCAACTTGGGCCTGTCAGCCCAGAATAATATTTGCATGATGATTTGGCCAAATCAGGCCTGGCTGTCTGTCATCCTGGGCTCCCTTCTCTCCCTCCACCAGACGAACAAACCCCGTGGCCCCTCCTCCTCAGATAGCTCTGGAATCCCGCTGCTTTTCCCCATCCCTGATCTCCCCACCCTTCCTTTCTACCCCCTACCACCTCTCTCAGGTCCCAATAGTCTCTGTGCTCCACTCACTCCCCTCCATCAATTCTTGGCTCTTCCACCAGAGGGGTCCTTCTAAAGCACCCACATCCGTCCATGCCACTGCTCAGCCTTTTCTTTCAATGGTTTCCAAGTCCCCTTATAATTAAGTTCAATCTCTTCAAAAAACTAGCAGAAAGGCTTTCTGACCTCAGTCTCAACCGATAGCCTGTTTGCCTCCTATACTCCAGATGTATTTATGGACATAGGTAGGCTCCCAGATCAGATCTACATCATGACATCCCCTGGGGCTGGGCTATTCTCCTCTGCCGCCTCTGTACCTGGCCAACTCCTACTTATCCGTGAGGCCACAGCTCAAGGGTCACTACTTCTGGCTTCTGAATCTCGGTATGGCGTCTCTCCCATATTTGCTCTAGGCATCTAGTGCCTCCTCCACTACAGCACTTATTATACTATCCTGAAATTGCTTGCTTTTCTGTGCTTCCTTCATTAGCCTGGAGTAATGGAGCCTGGAAGATCTATGAGTATGGAACTCACCTTATTCATTACTGCATCATTAGCTTCTCATGCAAACCCCATCACATTATGGAAGCTCAGTTCATATTTGTTAAATGTCTGAACAATGTGAATGTTCATACTCAGACTTTCCATTGGCTGAATTTGAGGTCACAATTTCTGTACATGCAACTGAGAGCAAATTGGCACATCAACCCGCACCCCCACCTCCAGATAAAATGTAAGCAATAGCATTTGTTCCACCTGATATTCCTTTTGGCTCCTGATCTTTATGTCCAAGTTATAAAAATGTCTCCATCACAACTTCCACCCCTGGAATTGAGTGCCTGGTGCAGGGAAGGGGCACAATCTTTGACACAATCTAGAGCAAGTGAGACCTCCAAGGATTTGAAGAGAAATGTAAGAGTGTGCTCTGAGCTTTGGCTTGCAGAACCTGGGGGGTGGGGCGGGGGTGGCGTGGGAGTCTCCTATTTCCTTGACCATCCAAATTTGATTTTTTTTCTCCTTGCTCAGCACCTAGTGGTGTAGTATTCCAAGGGCATTAAAACAAGGTTAAAGGGCTTTATGTGATGAAAGGCATTCTTAGTTGTGAGTGTTTAGCAGGAGTTTAAATATCAGCAATTTTGTATATGGAAACATATTAGCTTCATATTTAATTGGGGTCGTGGTGCACTGTGAAGTACAGCACTTATGTGCACAGACTTGGGTATGATGTCCCACAGACATGGGTTTGAGTCCCAGCCCTGCCATTAATAAGCCATGTGACACCTGCCCAGGTAGCTAACCTCTGTGAGCCTCAATCAGGTCCCTCACCTATAAAACAGGGATAATAACAATAAAAGCATAAATCCTTGTAGGGCTGTTGTGAAGAACAAGGTAAGAAATGCACATAAAGTACCGTGCACAGCACCTAAAATGAGGTAAGCACCTAGAAAATGCAAGCTGGTCTTCTTCATATTATAACATTGGGCCCTTACCCTGCTCCAGTTGCTAGAAAGTAAAAAATGCACCAGCTTGTCCTGTGGGCCAAGTCTCACACACAGATGTTGGTTCAACTCGTCTGTGCATTAGTTTTCTACTGCTATCCTAACACATTACCACACACTTAGTGACTTTAAAAAATATCTATTTATTATCTCACAGTTCCGTAGGTCAGAATTTTGGCACAACACGGCTCAGTTCATTCTCTGCTGAGTTTCATGAGGCCAAAATCACCAGGTGTCAACAGGGCTGCAATCTTTTTTGCAGCTCTGAGGCTGAATTTACTTTCCAGCTCATTCAGGTCACTGGCAGAATTCAGCTCCGTCTGGTTGTGGGACTTTCCTGGCTGGCAGTTGGCTAAGCATCATTCTCAGCTTCTAGAGGCCACCTGCAATCCCTGGCTCATAGCCCCTTTCCTTTTATCACAGCCTCGTCTCTCCTCTCCTCCCCCTTGGGACCTCTCTGCCTCTTCTGCTGCCTAATCTCTCCCCTTCCCTCTTCCACTGCACCACTCTGACTCTTAGACTTTCTTTCTCGACTTTTAAGGGCTAATGTCATGACATTGGGTCCGTTTACATAATCCAGGATACTCTCTCTATTTTAAGATAAGCTGCAAAGTCCCTTCGTCCAGTACCTGGTTAGTGTTTGAATAAAGCATGGGCATCTTGGAAAGGCATCTTTAGATTCTGCCTATCACATCTTATTTGCTGCATTTTAAAATCTGAAACAAAACACATCTCAACACAGCACAGTCATTACGTGTTTAGTTTGGGCTATTTGTGGAGTTGGCTTAGCTGAGAAGAAAAACGTGAAAAGGTTATTTAAAAAAAAAAAGTGGGCCCACCTCCTTTCCTGGGAGACTAATGCTTTGTTAAATATGGACTTTTCAATCCATTTATCAGGGAAATTCCCTTAGATTTTCCCTTTTTCACTTTCTGTTTAATAAAGTCCATACCATTTTAGGGTATTTAAGAATTTAAATATTGCAAAGCTAAGGTTTTTATATATGAAGCTGAACTCCAGATTTCAAACTGTCAGCCAGCAGGGTCTGAACAGGGAGGACTCTTGGGGGCAATCCTGCATTAACACAAACAGGACAGCGTGGGCTGGGAAACTCAAGACTCAGATTGGAATGTATTTGCCAATTGGCAACCAATCCTGTTCTTATCAGCTTATCAGATTTATTTCATGTAGAAAATTAAAATTCTGGGTCTCTATTGTGCAGAAATACTTGCACATACGCCCAAAGGCATATACACAAAATTATTTACTGCAGTCTTGTTTGTGATAGCAAAACATGGCAAACTATCTAAATGCCCATTAACTGTGAGTGGCTAAAATAAACCTTGGCAGGGGAATTCCATGAAATACTTCTGTCGCTATTAGAAAATAAGGTAGGTCTATATATATTGAAACGGAAAGTTTACCAAGACATACTGTTAAGTGAAAAATGCAAATCACAGAAGAAGCTGAATAATATAATCTAATTTGTGTTAAATGAATTATGTGTGCATTATTTGTAAATGCAGACAAAGGACATATCTACCAATTAATTGGGGTCTATTGCTTCTGGGGAGAAGTGTAGAGTTGGGGGACAGAGTGAAGGAGACATTCAGGTTTTAAGTTGTCTACTTCAATATAGCTTAAATATTTTATAATGAGAATTGAGTCATGAATGTAGATTATTTTAAAGAATTGGGTGAAAAATACCATGTTAGACATATTACTAAGGGTAGGGGCATATAGGTTATCTATCAATGGGACTTGAAATATGATGTTATTTGATGTTTCAGAAATTAAGGCCGGCCAAACAGCTAAAATGACTAACCTCTGAGCAATTCAGCTTAAATTCCATGCTTATTCATTGCTACAGTAGAGCCAAGTCCTGATGAGACATGCTGAATGAGAGAGGGCTATTTAACTTCTAGTTTCTGGATGGCTGTGACCTTCCACAGACCTCGCACATAGAAGGTACTCAATAAATACTTGAATAATAAAACAAATGGCACTATTAAATTTGGGAAAAGTCTGGTATCTGCCTTTGATTAAATAAATCAAGCCTACTAAAATCACAGGAGACATATATACAAGATTCAACCCACTGTCAAGAATGGATGAACGGAAGGGAGATGGTTTCCATTACAGAATACAGGCAAGTAAGATTTGGAATTAGACAATCGTTCTTTACTTTCAAACAGAACCAAACAAAAAAATTCCCCAAAAAACAGACCTTAAAAACTAAATCCTAACCCTACACAGCCCCTGGAATAAAGCTTTTCCAATGTACCTGCCAGAGCAGCCAGTAGAGGAGAAAGGGGCTCGGAGGAGGAGGAACTTGCTGTCTGCAGCGCTGCCCCTTCATCAGTGAAGTGGGGCTAGAATCGATGATGGCTAAGCTCCCTTTCAGTGCCAACTTTCTGGCAATCTGTAAGTGGCCACTCTGGTTGCCCAGTATCCTCAAAGGAGCTAGAATCAGTTCTTTCAGCTTCAAAGAAACAGACCCTTGGGTTTGCATGTCAAATGTCATTGTAAACCTATGCCCCAGCCCCCACCTCGTCTGCAGATCACCTATCAGGGTTGAGCTGCAGGAGGAATTACAGTGGCCCCTTCCTTTCGGAGGGCAAGTTGGAAAGGGAGGCAGAATGTGGCAAAATGCCTTCTTCAAGGCCCTCAACATTAAACTTTGCATTGTTTTTAGCTCTTTAAAAAAATCTTTTTTTACTTTTATAGTTCTAAATTTACTTTGGATTTACCAATATTAACTAAGTGGCTAAGTAAATAAATATATAAAGCAAACATGAGTACCACACTGTCCCCCAGGACTCTAAGCCTAGGAATGCAAGGAACCCTGTTTCTAACCATGTACACACACTCTTTGCTGCTATTGGTTTGTCTCTGCCTATAGCCAAGTCACATTTTGCAGTGCGACTATTCTGTAAACTACGCGCTTGTTTGTAAATTGTACCAGATGCTCAGCCACTAACTCAGCCTTATACTTTCATCAGGTTTTTATGTCTTTATGATGTACATCTTTGCCACTCAAAGGGTGGTTCACACACCAGCAGCATTAACATTGCCTGGGAGAAGAGTTGCCAGATAAAATATAGGAAATTCAAATTTTACTGGATGTCAAGCCTTTTATTTTTTTCCCCCCTCTAAATCTGATAACCCTACCTGGGAGTCTGTTAGAAACGTAAAATCTCAGGCTCCACCCAGACCTAATGGAATCAGAATCTGTATTTAACAAGTTTATAGGTGGTTGCAAAATCGACTTGAGTCTACTTAATTCCTGTGATACAAACCTTCTAAGTTCCACTGGCAAATTCTGATCTCACTCTGCATCAAATGTAGATGAAAAGAGTAAGCTGTCAACAAGCTTGGTTTCTGTGTTTTCCCCATTTCGTCATACATTCTGTTCGCAAATGCGCACATTTTTCAACCTGGGCACAGAGGGCACCCCCACTTTCAACCACTCCTGAGCCCGAGCTCACGAACCGCCATCGCTGCAGAGGAGACGCCAGGCGGTGTTAATTGCTTGCTGGGTGGTGGGGAGGAGGGGCTGGGTTACCATCTCGCCTTTGATCAGGAGGTAGAAGTAATGGTTTTACTTACATCCTGCTTTGTCTCTGCACAGGCTGAGAGCCAAGGATCCATTTCAGGCTCTCTCTTTCTTCCTAGTATTCTGTTACTGCCTACATACCGCGGCCCAGAGCTTCAGGCGAGGTTGTGGGGAAACCAAACGCTCTTTGTGGTACACCCACATGACAGGCTTCAAAATGGAAACAATATTTAAGTTTAACCTGGAAGATCAAGTTTGCTCAAATCTCGCAACGCAGGGAGCTTTTGAAAACTTTAGCAGTAGGTCTGCATTTGATGGAGAGAGGCAAGCAGTGATGGAGAAATGAGGCCTTGTTAACAGACACTGAATCCCCACACGGGAGTCAACATTTCGCCTTATTCCTTATAAATAATGGGGATAATAATAACACACTGAGACAGAGCCTTGAAAGCTTCAAGGTGTCTTTACAGCCACATTCTTCTGCAGTCTGCAGAATAATTTTGGGAAGAGGGTGCGCGGTGAAGGTGTAGAAGGTAGCCGTCATCAGCCCCACAGGACAGAGAAGACACATAATCAAGTAAACTGATTTTAAAAGTCAAAAAAATCAAGACACTTTCCTCAAGTAGCACATTTCCTGACTCTTCAAGCAGCGCTCTTTCCACTGTTCTCAGGGTTCCATTATTTGGTTGCCCCAAGCTACTCAGATCTCAGCCATTCCGCAAGGAATTTCAGGGCTGGAAGAAACCTTTAAATGATTCATAGAATCTTGTTATGGATTGAGTTGTGCCCCCTCAGAATTCATGTGTTGAAATCCTAATCCCTAGTACTTGAGAATGTGACCTTATTTGAAAACAGGGTTGTTGCAGATCTCATTTGTTAAGATGAGGTCATCTTGGATCCTGATCTTAGGTGACTGTTGTCCTTATAAGAAGGGGAAATTTGGACACAAGGAGACACATGCACTCAACAACGCCGGGAGAAAATGAAGACAGAGATCAGAGTGATGCATCTACAAGCCAAGGAACACCAGAGATTGCCACCAAACCACCAGAAACTAAAGGAGAGGCATGGAATAGATTGTCCCTCACAGCCCCAGAAGGAAGTGCGCCTGCCTACACCTTGAACAAAGCCTGCAGAACCTTGTTATGGCAGCCCTAGAAAGGAAAGACAAATCATAAGGTGGGAAGTGTCATCATGGTGCTAATGCTGATGAGAGTTTGCTGGGCTCCAGAACTGGGCAAGGGTTCACTGCATCATCTCATAGCTTCCATACATGGACTCTGCTAGGTAGGCACTAGAAATGAGGGCTTTGAGGCTCACAGAGGCTGAGCTACTCAGTCAAGATCACACAGCTAGCATGTGGCCAAGATGGATTTAGACTTGGGCAGTCTGAGTCCAGACTCTGTTGCATTATCCCTTAAACATCACAGCCTCAGGTGGGGTGGCCAGGACAACTGATTAGCATCTATGAAGCCCTTTCTCATGTAGAACCTGTAAGGGGCTCACACCACCACCATGAGGTAGACACTATTGCCTAGGTTTTGTAGGGGAGGAAACAGGCACTCAGATTAAATCACTGACCCAAGGTCACAGAGCTCATCAGCGGTGGAGCGGGGATTTGAATCAAGTCTGTTGACTCCAGCAGGAGCTCTCAATCACTGCGCAGGAGACCAGCAAGTTCAGATTTGCTGGGTTCTCAGTGGCAAGTATGTCACCCTTTCCAAATCACCATCTCCTCCCTCTGTACCTCCACCTGCCATGCACACCTTGACTGTTGGTCCCCTCTTCCATGTCGTAACACACACATGGACATTTTCAATGTTCACTTCCCTTCCCTCCCTCTGTGAGAAAGCTCTGCTTCCTCTGAGTAGTGTCAAAGGTAACTTTCAGACTGTAAAGTCTGTGAGGTTCCTTCAGTCTGCGGGTCAAACTCTGATAATGTTCAAAGTCAAATCCAGGAATGACATGTAGGGGAAAAGCAGTGGTTCCCAACCAACCAGGAGCCATGTTGCCCCCCAGGGGACATTCAGCAATCTCTGGAATCATTTTTGGTTGTTACAACTAGGGGCTGGGGGTGGGGTGGCAGGGATGCTATTGGCATCCAGTAGGTAGAGGCCAGGGACGCTGCTAAGTATCCTACAACAGACAGGATGCAAGACAAAGAAGTATCCAGCCCTAGATTCAATAGTGCTGAAGCTGAGAAATCCTGGCATAGAGCGTGTTCTCCAGAGGCAAACTGCCCACTTCTCAATTCCAGCTCCATCACTCACTAGTTCCGCAACTTGGAGGCAACTTTCGTAAACTCTCTAGGGTCCAGTTTTCTTCTCTTTAACATGTAACTAATAATAGCACACGCCTATTAATATACATAATATTAGTTATTATGTAACGAATAATAGCACATACCAATATCTTATATGTATACATTATTACATAACACATGTTGTATATTATATGTTAAACATTGTGTTAGTTTCCCAGGCTAATCCACAAAAACCTATATCATGTTGTCATGTTGCTAAAATTCCTATGCTTGTGGAGAGGGTTGGGGAGGATAATGGAAGATAATATAACAGCTAAAACATAATACGAAAAACAATACTGAATGAAAACTTAACAGCATTGATTGATCTCAGGGCCACATACTTCAGGAGAAGTGGCCTTGTTTAGAAAGAACAAGGGAAGATAGTGCTCATCTTATGATGCTGTTTTGAGAATTAAATCTGTTAAACCATGTAAACCGTCTAGCACATTGTAAAAGTGATGTAAATGCTAGTTGCATAGATAAATGGAGACCTTTAAAAAGATTCCAGAGGGAATTTCTGAACTCTTTTAAAGTGAAACCTTTAGAGAGTGATCGCCTAAATTATTTATACTTAATTTCACTTTAAAACAAGAGTTTCCTTCTACATTGCACCTGGCTATTTGTGCACATGCTAAGTGCCTGAGTCTGCCATTCATCATCCTGAGACTGCATGCTGCAGCTAAGATTGCCAGCTAGTGCAGCTGAGAATCAGCTATGGAAGCCCCACAGTCAGATGCTTACCTTCCAGTTTTGGAAATAATAAGGGTGCCTCTCCTAAGCAATTACACCGTGCCCAGCACTTCACTTAGTGCCTGGCCATACACTAACTCACTTTGCCCCCCAACAAATCCAGGAGGCGTGTGCTATTATTAGTTACATGTTAAAGAGAAGAAAACTGGACCCTAGAGAGTTTACGAAAGTTGCCTCCAAGTTGCAGAACTAGTGAGTGATGGAGCTGGAATTGAGAAGTGGGCAGTTTGCCCCTGGAGAACATGCTCTATGCCAGGATTTCTCAGCTTCAGCACTATTGAATCTAGGGCTGGATACTTCTTTGTCTTGCATCCTGTCTGTTGTAGGATACTTAGCAGAGTCCCTGGCCTCTACCTACTGGATGCCAATAGCATCCCTGCCACCCCACCCCCAGCCCCTAGTTGTGACAACCAAAAATGATTCCAGAGATTGCTGAATGCATAATAAATTATATATCTCTCTCACTATATACATATAAGATATATAATGCATAATAAATTTTATATATATATATGTATCTCACTATTTGATTTCCCAACCATGAGTTAGCTGGCTCATAAACTCATCTGGGGAGAGACTTTGGCATGTGGTTTAAGGAGCTGGGTCTGAATAACCCCTTGCTATATCAGATAGCTAGCGGTGGCCACATAATACTGAACAAAGAACACGGAATGTGATGGGGAATGACAACTGGGTTACAGTCTGGGTTCTTCTACCTCTGAGTTGTGTGACCAAGATGTAATTTAGCCTCTCCTCTGTAAAATGGGGCAACCTAAGACCCACATGGTGGGGCAGAGAAAGACTAAGTAGAGTTACACATGGACAAAGGAAGCCTTCCTTAACGGTTGTGCTCCACTCCAGGACAAGTTATGCTCATCGTCATGACTTGGATTCCATGGCTACAAGTCTCACAGGACTCCATTGGGGTCTGCCGGCTGATGACAACACCTCATTCCAATGTGGTAGTATCACTTTCCTATCTTCTTTTTAGTGCCTTTGTGTGTTGCCCCTCTTGACCTCTGGGACTGGTGTTCAGGCCACACCACACAGCTCTCAATGCCAGCCTGTTGAATCGCCCATGCTAATCTATATCTATACAGAATTGATGGCAATTATAGATTATGCAATATAAAGTTACCCTGTGCTAACCTCCAGAGTCCTTGAATTCTTCTTATGACCAGAACCTCACATTGAGAGATGAGTAAGAATATACTTAACTTGAGTAAAACTACTCAAGGAGAGCAGGAACTTGAATATTTAGCTTCTGTTGAGGTGCACATAGCAGGTACTCAATAAATATTTATTGAACTAACTGCTAAACAGGTAAGTATTAGTTAAGTGCTACATAGCATAGTATGCAACGGTTATCCCTCCCAGTGTCTTCTTTCATTTCTTTTCAAATAATCTGAATAATTTGTAGGCAGGAGCACAAGAGCTTAGTTTTTCATCTTATCAACAAAGAACCCTCCAAAGAGGAGACATTCCTTTGGCCTTGGTTGTTGGCATTTCAGGTATAATTATATTTTTCACCCTAAAATTTCCCAACAAGATTAAGAGTTACACACAAAGTCTCCTTAACCTTTGGCTCGGAAGTTTGCACAAGGAGCTCTGCCCACTTTTCATGTGATTTCTGAAAGATGCCAGCTGCTGGCAGCCATGAAACATGAAACACAAAGAACCCATAATCTGCTAGAACATACCCTGCTTGCACAATTCCTTGAAGCCTCTCTAAGAATACACCAAAGCCTGCAAGTGTGTACATGCTTTTCTCCAGGCAAGGAAGATGCAACATTGCTTTCTCAACAAGCTGTTTCCAATATTTTAAGTAACTATTCTGGCTCGGCCAAGATAAGAGAGTACAAAGATCTAGGGAAAAGACAACTTTCACATTTTCTTTGTAATTTCACTTGGTTGTGGCCTCTGTTGAAGTTTCCCCTACTTCAAAACATGATTGTATTTCTTGTAATGGCTGAAAAGTTTTAAGCTTCTTCATGTACCTAATTCCAATGGGCTATTAACTGGGCTAGTTTATTGGCACTGTGGATGGAGGGCTTTTGAACTTGCAGGCATATATTTTTTATTGGCTGGACAGTTTGCTTGACTCTTCGAGAGCTATATCCAACCCATCCCAGCCAGGTGGTTTTTGGTGCATAGCATGAAGTCTCCAGGGAGAATGGTTCCATTTGTTCCCTTGGCCGTGTGTGCCAATGCAAAGCCCAGCACTCAATGCTCAACCTGATTCAGGAGACATGGAGCAAGTAAACTTTTAAAGCTTTATAACACATAGTAGATACTTGATAAATAATTACAGAGATATTGACGTGGCAAGCCTGTGAGAGGTGATCAATGTAGAGTAGGTAGTGGTAGGGAAGAAAATAAAAACAACAAGGCTAGTATTTATGGAGTGCCTTACTATGTACTAGCACTGAGCTCGCATTTTACACCACTATTACGTTTGATCTTCACAAGAACTCCATGAGGGAGGAAAATGTAAGAAATCGCTTTCCCCATTTTCCAGATGAGGACATTGGAAATTCAGAGAGATTAAATATTGTGCCCAAGGTCACACAGCTTTCAGGGACAGATCTGGAATGCAGAGCTCACACTCTTACCCCATGAGATCCTATATGCAGACTGGACATTCTACTCATGAAAAAAGGGAAGAACAAAAGGAGGAAGAGGTGGTGAAATAAGATGTGAGAAGAAAGCAGAGAAGTGGTCAATGGAGAAAACCCCTAAGGTGGAGAGGATGAAAATGGACAGAGCCCTTGTTGGCTGTCTTCACGATTCTTAAAGAAATGGGCCCATCTTCCCCTTCCCATGAGGGGAGTTTGTTGGGGAGCTTGAAGACTACAGCAGAGATTGAAAAGGGTCACCATGGGGAATGCAATGTGAGTCAGTGCAGACAAGCAACCGCCCTGCAGCTCTGGAGTCAGACATACCTGGGTTCGGATCCTAGCTCTGAGATTTTGGAGCTTTGTGACTTTGGGCAAAGAGCTTTCCCTCTCTGTGTCTGAATTTCCTCATCTTGAAGACAGGATCATAGTGGTACATACCACATACGGAGACATCAGGATGAACAAGATGACCAATGTGAAAGCACTTAGAATGGGGTGGCAAATAATGGCCCAATAGGTCAAATTCAGCTAGCCACTGGTTTTTGTGTGGTCTGCAAGTCGAAAATGGGTTTTACCTTTTTCAACAGTTGGGGGGGAATTTTTTTAAAACGAATATTTTGTGACACATGGAAATGATATGAAATTCAAATTTCACTGTCCATAAATATAGTTTACAGTGGAACACAGCCATGCCCACTCGTATGGTCTCTGGCTGCTTTTGCATGGCAATGGCAGGGTTATGGAGTTGCAGCCAAGACCACACGTGGCACACTCATGGCTTTGCACTGCTGTTCACACACTACAAATGGCAGCAAGGTTGCTCTAACTTGACCAGACTTTGAGTGTCATGCATATCACCTATCTGTATGGACAGATATTTTTAAAGATGAAATACATAAAATACCATTACAGATCATCATTAACAGATGAACATTTGCAATATATTTTGATAACAGAGAATACTAATTTTGATCCCCAATAAAGTGACATGTTATCCCCTAAAAGAAACCCACTCTCTTCTCATTAGTAGAGGTATATTACAAAAAATTATACTCATTATATTTTGAATTTCTTCAATAAAAAAATCTATGAACATTTGTTTTCTTTCTTGTTATATAAACATCTATATCTGGATTTTGCCCACAGATTTTGGACCACAAAACCTAAAATATTTACTATCTGGACATTGCAAAGTTTTCTAGTAAGCCCTAACTTGGGACAGTGGTGGGCACGTGGTCATCGGCACAGGAGAGGAAATGCTAGCCTCTCCTTTGCCGACATCCTTTGAGAAAGGCCCCAAGTTCCTTTTTATTTGTCTCAGTCTTCTTGAACAGTGAATATATATGCCCATTAAGCTCCACATAAGTAAGCACTTGGCAAAACATAGTTGCCAAACATAGAAAAAGAAAAGCCTAATGGTGGTGCTAGGCTATCGGCCTTCTCCTTTTCAGGCCAATTCATCATTTTTGGCATGCGGTTGTCCAGGCTTCGTGTTAACCACCTCAGTCAGTGGTGGTAGCTCCACCTGCTTGGAAAATGGCTCATCCTATAGTCCAAGAGAAGTCAGGCTGCAGCAAAACTTTCCCCAGATATATTCTGTGCACCCTAATTCTACATGAGGGTGTGAGAAGAAAAGGGGCTGTGAGCAATAAGCACAGCAAACGCTGTCTCTCTGGAGTGTGACAGCTGACTGGAGGACCCTGGCCTATTGAAGGCTCTGAGAAGGCCTGCAGTGGAGAAACCTATTAATGCTGTTTAATCCAGCTTTGCTCAAACTTATTTGAACACCATATGCCTTTATGACTATTTTTTAAAATAGTGGCCAGGTCGGGTAGCTCATTCCTGTAATCTCAGCACCTTGGGAGCTGAGGTGGATCACCTGAGTCCAGAAGTTTGAGACCAACCTGGACAACATGGCAAGATGCCATCTCTAGGCCCCCCACCCCTACACAAATAGCCAAGTATGGTGGTGTGTGCCTCCTAGCTACATGGGAGGCTGATGTGGAGGATCTCGCTTGAACCCACAAGTCTGAGACTGCCGAGAGCCATGATCACACCATTGCACTCCAGCCTCGGTGACAGAGGAGGACCCTATCTCAAAAAAAAAAAAAAAAAAGTCTTTTAATATCCAACACCATCAGTGCACTGAGGAACACCTTAGGGAATTACTACTATAGTGGAAGGAGTAGCTGGCCAAGAGTCACATGTTTGAAGTTCACGTACTAGTTCCCCTGTGTCTCATCTGTATAGCCCTGGACAAACCTCCTTTTCTTACTCTATAAAATGGGCATGGTGTCACCTGTCTGCCCTCCTCGTAGAGCTGATGGGAGATCAGATGAAAATCAGGGACACAGGGCATTTTCTCTAAACTGGCAAGGGTGCTATGTGAGTGAGACAGAAGTAGAAGAAATGGCAGTGTCAGCTCTTGGAACTTTAAGGTGTTTTCCCTAAGATGAGTGAACTAGGCAGAAAGCCACTGTGCTGAAGGCCCCCTCAGTGTTTGTCAGGACAGCAGTGACCTACAGAGGGGCAAACGCCAGAGTCCATCCTTCCCTGTCCCCAGTCCCTGCCATGGAAATGCAACCCAGCTACATAAAGCTCCTGCAGGCTTCGGGGCGTAGGAGTCTCTTGCATGGAGTCAGGCCCTCACATGAAAAAATGGCTCAACAGTCCGGGCTCCATCAGCATGTTGGTGCATTCATAATTTTTAAAAATAATAACATGGAGAAAATTCATCTGGTGCATCTTAGCTGGCACCCTCACACATCGTCACCTCCTTATCTGATATATTAGATTTCCCTGTGTCCCAAGCCTGTTATATAATGAGGGACAAAGATTGCTCTCTGGCTCTAGAAGACTTCCTCATTCTCCCTTTCTCATTCCACATTCCGTGAGGGGGAAGGACAATTCTTTGCAGTGGCCAATTGTACTGAGCCCAAATCATGTTTCGGATCAGCTGGGGGAAACACTGTTAGCCCTGCAAGCCCTTCCTCTCTGAGAAGAAAACAGGCTTGCCATGAGTTTCCCAATGTGTCACCTGCCTTCAGACAAAGGGGAGCAGAGGCCGGGCACGGTGGCTTACGCCTGTAATCCCAGCACTTTGGGAGGCCGAGGTGGGCAGATCACGAGGTCGAGAGATTGAGACCATCCTGGCCAACATGGTGAAACCCCGTCTCTACTAAAAATACAAAAACTAGCTGGGCATGGTGGCGCACGCCTGTACTCCCAGCTACTCGGGAGGCTGAGGCAGGAGAATCACTTGAACCTGGGAGACGGAGGTTGCAGTCAGCCAAGATCACACCACTGCACTCTAGCCCGGTGACAAAGCAAGACTCCGTCTCAAAAAAATAAAAAATAAAAAAAAAGAGGAGCAGAGAGGTTTCTTCGATAACATGATTTTTATCATGCTCCCAAGCTAGTGCCCCAGCACCAGGGGAGACAAGTACAAAAAAATAAGTAAAACCACAAACCCAACACAAAACAGCAGCCAGAGTCCCACACACTGAATCCGTTTACAATCCAGTGCCGTGGGCCAATGGGGAGACTCCCTTTTTAATTACCAAGTTTTTTTTTTTTTTTTTTTTTTTAGTAGAGTGATTTGTACAGAAACTCCTTTCAAATAACACAGTGACTTCAGGGATCAAGGTGCACAGAAAGAAGAACAGCAGAGGCTGGGGGATCAGCAAGGTTGCTAATTCCATCACACGCTGACTCAGGGCAATCAGAGGCACTCCTCTGACACGTGAGCAGGGAACAATGAAGCCTCATGCCACTGCCAAGAACAAACCCAATGGGCAACAGTGTACTCTTCCCAGCCTCTGCATCCAAAGGGCTCTAGTGTGCGTGGCCACTCCAGCCTGCCCTGACCTCCCGACTGCCCGATGCAGAGCATATCTTAAAATTATAAACAGATGTGAAAAACAGTCATGTAATGCCAAGTAAATGATAACACCACCAAAAACAGTCTTAGCTACCTTTAAAGGCTTAATCCATCAGGTGGGAGTGGTGGAACCAGTATTTGAACTTGGTCTGTGAGGCTCTAGAGCCTGGGTACTGCCCAACCACTCTGCGCCAAAGATTATGCAAAGACAGAGATTCCCATCTCCATCAAGTACATATTTACAAGACCATCTGCATAGGAAAAATATGGCAAGATATATACTGAAAAGTTAAAAATGATGCTTTCTCTGAATGAGGATTTTGAGAAAATTTTTTTCCTGATATACTTATTAAATTTCCTAAGTTTTGTAAAATGAGCATAAAAGTAATACATGAGGAAAATGAATTGGTGGCTGTAGGAAGCTCAGATTTCCCAGTGAAAGCAATCTGCGATTATTATTTCAGGGCCTCGTCTTATGTTTGCCCTCTGATGGACAAAGATACAATGTGCAGCGAGGGGTCTTTCGCCACATATGGGAGTCTGCCTTTTTATTCTGGATCTAATAGGTTTAACTGAGAAATCTTCTCTCGAAGAGATTATAACAATCTTTCTTCTTCAAACTTCCAGGGGCTCTGTTTCTACCTCTCTGCATATACACAGTGACTGAGGAACTAAGGAAATGTTTGGGGACTGGCAGATTTTAAAGCTACCCTTGCCCTTCAACCACCCACACAAACCTAAAAGAAGGGACCTGATTTATTAAGGTGCACAGCAGAAGGGCACACGGTGAGGTTGCAAACGCTGACTCTTAGGCTGAAAGAAATGGCAAGGAGTCTCCTTATAAAGGCTCAGCATCTCAGTGATTTTGTCACCATGGGAACAACCCTGTGAGCTGCAAGGCATGCATGGACCCATGTTTACAAGTGCAGGATCTGCTTCAGAGGGATGGGGGCCTGACATCCCAATTTTACTCCACTCAAGATTGAACACACGAGCACCTTAGATCCTGACCTGGCACAGTGGAAGTTCTCAGTTGCTGTGTGCTGTTGTTCTCAGCATTTACATTATATTTCCCAGAAAACAAAGCTAGAGGACATGTATATTCCCAGAATACATTCCCATCTCAAAGTCTCTGACAAACATGTTCATGGGGAAGCCACAATGAGGGTTGCAGTAAGAGTTTCATAAGAACACCAGGTAGCCACCAGATGGTGGACTAGCAATTTTCCTGCAGAGATCATGTGACTCTGGAGAAGGAATATATGGGGGAGGCCTGAGGACAGAGTTAAGGTACGTCTTGGTAAGGCTAATGACCTCCAGCCAATGGATGCTCCAATAGCAGAAAGGAATCTAGCCATTCTGATTGATACACCTAGTGGTGGCCATAATATGTGCTCTGATTTTAGATGTCGTCTTGGTTTTCCCCTTTGGTTGGGGCTGTGGAGATGGTTGGAAAGAGGTGGGGCTGGAGTTGCTTTCCCTGAACCAACAAGACAATTCTGACTCAGAGCATTACGTTGGCCACCAATTGGATGGCTCCCCAAAGAGGCCTCTGAGAAGTATCTATTCTCAGGCTACAAGTCTCAAAATGAAACCTGTGAGCCTTCTCAACCCCACATTTGCATGTTCTAGAGCAATACCTTCTGGTCTCCCTGAAAGTGCCATTATGGCCATTTTCAAATGTTATTAATAATTCTTTTAGAAGCTTTGGTTCTGCCTCCAACATTAAATGATGCCCTGCATCGTTTAAAAACCCTTTCCATCTTTCTTTCTCTTTTCTTTCTTTTTTTTTTTTTTTTTTTTTTTTTTTTTTTTTTGAGAGAGAGTTTCGCTCTTGTCGTCCAGACTGGAGTGCAATGGCACGGTCTCTGCTCACTGCAACCTCTGCCTCCCAGGTTCAAGCAATTCTCCTGCCTCAGCTTCCCAGGTAGCTGGGAATACAGGCATGTGCCACTACGCCCAACTAATTTTTTTGCATTTTTAGTAGAGACAGGGTTTCTCCATGTTGGCCAGGCTGGTCTTGAACTCCTGACCTCAAGTGATCTGTCCGCCTTGGCCTCCCAAAGTGCTTGGATTACAGGTGTGAGCCAGCGTGCACAGCCTTTCTTTCCATCTTTCTGATAACTTGGGTGATCCTCTGAGATAAAGCATGTATAATATTGTGATGTCCCAGGTGTAAGACAATTGTCACATAAGATCACGCATGTCTCTCTGGCACCTGCTAACACTGACAGTGCTAACTACCAAAGGCACCTCTCTCCCTACTCTCACCCATAGCAGACTTTTGGGCTGGCTGGTTTCGCTGACGTTTACTGAGCTGCTTATTATTATTATTATTATTATTATTATTATTATTATTTTAGCATTCAGCTTTTCATATCCCTCCCACCCATTGGTATCTGTGTCTCAGATTAATTTTCACCAGATGTGAGTGTCTGGACTTCTCCAAGATTTGTTATTTTCCCTCCATGTTCCTAACCTTCTTCAGGCCATTTGTGTGATTTCTCTGACCTCAACTAGTGTTTCCAACACCTTCCAAATTAGTGTCATCTGTGACTTTCCTTCACATGCTCTTTTCTCCCCTTTACAGATCATTAATAAAGAGGTTAAACAAGACCAGACCAACAGCATACTCTAAAGCAAATGACAAAAGGGTGGGAGAGCCAGCATGCTCCCTGTGCGCCAGCCCTGGCACAGGAAGGATGTAATGTAATGTAACAACACTCTGCTAGACGCCTCCCGCCTCTGGCCCAGTGGTAATTTATCACCACTGTTTGTTTATGATTTCTCAGCCAGATTTCAGGTCCTCAGAGTGTGGTCATATCTAAGCCAACATGCATTGCTCTGCCAGGTAACCCTTATGAGCTCCAGAGAAACCCACAAGAACTTATTTACTGCCCTCCAATCTCCTTAAAAGCTTCTACCTTGGCCCCCAAGTCCATCACCCTTGAGAGCAGAAAGAGGTGGACTGAGACATTATTATCCTTTTCTCTCTTCCAATTCATTAGCTCGCAATTAATTATTTGTTAAATATTCATTGGCTTTCATGTTACTCATTAGATTTTTCTTTAAGCCGAAAGAAACCCTCTGCTATAAACAGGGACTAATTCATACTCTCCAACAATCAAACTTTCCTTTGCTATACCCAAGTGTTATAAAAATCAAAGGTAACTGGAGAGGGTATGTTTATAGGGTAAACATGCTTTAAGTAAGGCCTGCTATGTAGGTGGCTTGGGTGTAGCTATGGCCATAGGAATAGATTACCTTTCTTTTGCCTTTTCTTTTACCTCCCAAATTCAACAACCCCAGTATCAACCACTTTCCTCTGTTTATGGATACAGTACACTTTCCTGAGCCCAGAAGTAACAATAATAGTGATATACTGATATTCTACCCAGGGTTGAATACTCACTGTGCACCAGGCATGACTTGGCATCTTACTCAGCTCATCACAGCCCTGGGGGTGTCACAACCTTCCTCAAAGAGAAAATGGAGGGGAGAGACGGAAGGTGACTTACCCACGATCATCCAAACCTAGGTCTATCTGAATCCAGAGACCACACTGTTAGCCACCCCACCATAGATGAGGGTCTTCTTCACTTTTTCTGAGTCACTGGCCCCTCTATCTGCTGAGGAACATAAATAAATACTCTCTTTGTGGGGATGTGCATACATCCACATTGAAGCCTATTAACCATGTCAGGGGATTTGCAGAGCCTCCAGGGCTTATGGACGCCTGCTTGAGAATCTATGTACTACTCTAAGCTCCTCGAGGGTAGGAATCACACTTTGTTCACTACCTTGACTCAGTACTGAGATGTATATCCAGTACATCTCCAGTACTAAGATGAAGAAATATTTTTTGAATAAATTACTAATTGCAAAGACTGTGAATAGGATATTCAAGTTGAAGCTCTAAACAGCAGCTTTGTAAGCCTGAATAGAAGATATAAATATACAGACACCTTCCAGAGGAGTAGAAGAGCAAAATAAAAGGAGGAAGTGGGGACAGAGATAAAGCAAAAACATCTTACTTTGCCCAGGAATCGATTTTGCAATTGGAAGTAGGCAGAGACATTGTCATGGTGGTTCTAAAACACCTCGTAGCTACTTCTGGTTAGTTCTCATATTAACTCCTGAAAAGAGATTATTGAAAGCTTCTTCTGCAGAAAAATAATATACTTAGAATTTCAAGATGAGAAGTCAATTATCAAGAGCAATCAAAATCTCATGTTGTACCCCTTAACTGACAGAATTCTTGATCCCTGGAGATCTCAGGGGGAACTACAAGAGCCAATGGCAACTTCCTTCTCTCTAGGTCCCTCTAGTCCCTAGGTCCCTTTCAACCTCCTACAACTCTGGGGTTTTTGTTTTTCCACAGATTGCTACCCCTTACATGTCTTCTTATTCTATAACTACTGATTTTGCTTTGCAATCTCCTTTTCTTCAAGAGTTGGAGGAGCCACCCACTCTTGAAGTTAGACTTCAGACGTGCTTTAAACTTGTCAGCCTGCACATTACTGCAATAAGAGGCCAGAGATTCCCCTGCTGATATGCAGGAACATGGAAAACAGCCAAGGTCAAAAGCCTGCCCTTCCCTTGGCCAGAGCGACTGGACATCTGGGGAAACCAGAACTCTGAGTTCCCTCTCAGTGCCCCCACCACCACCAATAATGGCCTGCTCCAGCTTTGACACCCAAGGTAGAAATCTGGAGGCATTCTCAATTTTGTCCTTTGTCTTACCTCCCCATCCAAGTCCTCCTGGCTTCACCTTCCTAGTCTTATCTCCAATTTATCCACTTGTCTGCATCTCCACTACTGCTGCCCTGGGTCAGTGCCATCAATTCTCTCACAGATCATGGAACAGCCTCTACTTCTGCTCTTCCTGCCACGACAATTCATCCTCTACACAGCAGCCAGGGTTGTTCTACAACATAAATCAAATCATGTCATGTCCCTGCTTAAACTCCTCTGATGTCTGCTCAGTTTTCTTAGGCTTAAAATCTAAACTCTCTACCTCGCCATAAAAGGCCCTACGTTTTCTGGTCCCTTCCTTCTTCTCCATCCTCATCTCACTGTTTTGTGCTCTACCCAGAGTTATGGTCTTCAAGCCTCTTCAGCTTATAAACTCCTTCCCACCTCCAGCTTTTGCATGCCTCCCGGGACCACCTCCCAAATGCACGCCTTGGCATGGATACCTCCTGACTCTCCCCTTTTAAGACTTGGCTTAAAACTTACTTCCTTGGAGAGATGCTTGCTGAACATCCTTCCTTAAGTAGGTTCCTCAAGTTAATCTCAGTATCTTTCTGGTTTCCATCAAAGCCATGACCAAAACGTGCAAGGTTTCTATTGAGATGTCTAATTATTTATATTCTGTCCCTTGACTAGATGGCAAGATCCACAGGGGAGCAACCATGGCAATCTTATTCGTCACTGGTTTCCTAGCATCTAACTGAGAACTTAACCGTTTGGTGAAAGAATGGACAAATGAGTGAATAATAAATGAATGAATGAATAAATGAAAGTCTTAGTAGCCAATGGCACAAGAAAGAGATATATCAGATCCTCAGTTATACAAAATCTAAATTGCATTAAAAGCAGCAGTAGCTACCCCTGTACAGGCGGTGTGAAAGAAAACCTGCACTTTGCATAGAAACCACCACTTTGTATAGAAACCTCTGCTTTGTGTAGAGCTCAGAGCTCTTTCCTTGATTTTCTTTTTGCAGCCATTAAATTTCTCTAGTTCCAGGACAAGCACAGGCCTAGTGTCCAGACCCTGTCCGCTAAAAGAAGGCAAGTCAGACCTGAACTTCCTAGCCACAATAAAACATCTCCTTCCTCCTTCTTTCATTCTTCCAGAGGGGAGGCATGGCAGGGAGTTCCACTGGGCCATCCAGCACTGCTTTTATTTGTAAAACACCACTTCCTCGTGTCTAAATGTTCTGGGATTCATATTTTTACTCACCATAACATTGTCCATGAGCTGGTGGCAGACAGCTACAATTCTTCATTTTGAACAGGCTGCATCTACTAGCATCACAGCCTCATGCCAAAACTTGTTAATGCCACATCTGTATTTTTATGAATCGGGTCCTAAAAATTTGCATATGTTTTCAATCAAAAAAGACTAATTCCTTTCTAGTGGTTTAAGAAATAAAAACTTGTGTTCTATCTTTGCTCAATTACAAGAGTTCACAGTAAGAGCTCAAACATTCAAATGTCGAGGCAGAGGTGGCACTAAATCTCACAAGGTGCCTCGATTTGCTCCTCCATTGCCTACCTCATTGATGTTCGCAAACCCGAATGCCTCTTGGGGGATCCATGGAAAGCACCTTCATTCAATGTAAATGAAGAAGTATTTGCTGACACAAATGATACCTACATTAAGTGGATTTTCCTGAAGAACAATTATGGAGAATTGAGGAGCTGCTTTTTCTGCATTTTGCAAGGCAAGATAGGGAATACAGTTAGGCCTCCAAGAGCACATTTTCACAATTGAAAGTATGTGTGAGTGTGGGGTTTGGGGGGTTGGTGGTGAGAGGACAGTGGTTGAATATGCTTTGCCAGGGATGCCTATGATGGCAAGAACTTGCTGGAAAAGTGATCCCGTGGAGTCTCTAGAAGAAACCCAGAACAATGAGGCTGGCCACAGGTAAATCTTAGGCATAAGAAAACAAGAGTGTGGATGATCCAACAGGGAGGGGGAGTATAAAGAGAATTGGGAAGCAGAATATAGGAATATATGTTTGGTGTAGGCAGCATAGACTACATAATTAGTGGCGCTGAGGGCAAATGAACATGTGAGGCCCCTTCTTTGAAAAACATTAGGAATTTCAAGACAGTGACAGCAGAGTTTTAACCTAAGAGTGAAGCCCTTCCAAGTGTAGGGCCTGTGGACTGCACAGGCCATACGCTGATAAATCCAGGCCTGGGTGTGAGGTTTAAGAGGGGAAAGGCTAGCTCTAGGGGGTGTCAAAACTCTTTAGAAAAGTAAACTTTCCCCGGTCCACCGTGTGCTCGGAAAATACCACTCTTGAATGACCATAGTGAGACAAATAAATCATGTCTGGACTTAGCCTCCAGAAGTGGCAAAAAAGGGAGGAGCTGATGGGGTTGTTATGCTAATTCCAATTTGTTGTAATTTTTAGAGTGACTTTTTCTAAATTATGTTCATTTCAGCACCAAAACTCCAGATTCAAGTCAGAGCCTTCCGATGCTATTATGAGCATATTACTGATGTCTAGTAAAATAACATCTTGTGATGTTTCTTTTATAGGGGCCATAAATCAAAACATTGAAAACAGTTAATTTTTAATGTACCACTATTATCCATCTTTAGTTATAAATTTAATGTCTCCTAAGGCCTCATGGATTGTAATGCAACTCAAAACATGCAACGGCTGCTCAAAAACAGAAGGTTCCCCCAGTATCTCATTATTTAAATCCTTAAAGATATGGTTTTAAAAGCCTGAGGATATCTAAGCAAACTTGTTTAAAGGAGTCATAAAGAAAGATAAGTAGTTTTCCTCTGAAGCATATGAAATTTATTACAGCATACTAAAGTAGGATTATATATTGACTAAATTTCTAAAAACATTTATTTTCTGGTGTGCATGGCATTTGGGGAAATTCACGAAGAAATAAAGGGGATAGGGCTTAATACAATCGTCTGCATTTGCCTTAAGCAAAGCAAGATTTCCTACGGGTCTTGGAGCCAATTCCATCCTGAGGATAACAACACTGTTCATATCTCAGGGTGTCATGAATCTTGTGAAAGAGCAATACAAAATCTTCACTATTCAGGAGGAAACACAAGTGCAGCCTAGCGCCCTGATACTCATGATGGCAGAAGTAGCTTCACAGAAGAGCCCCAAGTAGGATCTACACTTTTCAAGACAACTGCCAAACTCTTAGAACTTTCCTTTACCTACCTCTTCCATGCATGTTTGAGGCAGGCTTCATGTGTTTGCTTTTTAACGCTATAAAACGCTTTCTTCTCATTTCATATGACTTTAGGTCAATTGCCACTTTTATTAGCTTTTCTCTGTGAGTAAATGTGACATTTCTCTTAATATTTTCCCTACATAGGGAGAGAGTTGCTCCCATAGACATCCAGAACTTCTCTGATTTCCCCACTTCCTCATACTGACAAGCTTTCCTGCAGAATGACTTTGCATCTGGAAGTGTTAATTCCAGTGCCGTTTTCCCCTTTGCCAAGAAAAGGGAGAAGAGATGAGATACTTCTGTATTAACATGAAGCAGGTTTTACTGGCAGCAAATGGATCCAGGAGGCATTACATCTTTACTATGTAGAAAGATGTCGTACCTGAAAACCACCATCCTGTGAACTGCCCCCTCAGTACCAAAAAAAGCAAACTGACCCATTAGTGGGACATGTAACAGGTTCAACTAAGAAGTAAAACACAACAATGAAACGTCACCCACAGGCCAAACGTACCAGCTCTTGGTTAAACTTCACCTGAAGCACTACCTGCCATGCTATTTGAAGGCAAGACTCGGGGAAAGACATACATGCTAAGTTATCCCAAAGAATTGTCCCACACCTGTTGAATCTCCAGCACTGTGTCATTTCATGCTTGTCCCAGAATAAAGAGCTATAGATTGAATACTTTCTGATCAGAAAAAAATCACCATGGCACACAATCAACCACATTCCTTGTTCTGAATAAAACATCATATGCAATGTTATCAAGTTTAATACCATATTCCATGTAACCATGTGTATATTCAACTCCAGGGAGTTTGTGACTTGGTGTTAAACAGCCTGCAGTATAGAGGAGAGGTGTAATTCCCAGCAGCAAAAGTTGCTAGACTTCAGTATTCCATTCATAACCATGTGGTAATTACATGTGTCACTATTCAATCGTAATGCAGACAGGATGTAAATAAAGGGTGGATTCTCAATAGCTAAAGATCAGCTTTTAAAATACAAAACCCTCTGATAAATACAATGTGTATAATTTCTAATGCAAAGCCTCATAGAAGTATAATTTTTAAAAAGCAACAGATAAAATGTCACTAATAAGACCTGCTAATATGAATGTTTCTATTCTAATTCATTTAAAGAGTTACAGTTACCCATTCACCATTACTATGCCTTGATCCTTGTGTTTTCTTCAGAACTGCCATAGAAGAGATAGCACAATCCATTAAACGGCCTTCTTAGAGATGATAGTTTCAGCTCCATGAAGATACATATTTTATTTTCCTTATTCCTTGCCAAACATTTGACACAACCAGAAGGACGTGAGAGTCACACCACACTGGCATATCTGGTGAAAGCAAGCAGTCGGCTGAAAACCACGACTGGAGAATTGCGACAATTTCTGAGTCCACAATCATGCCTTAAAAAGTGTGTATAAATCCTAGTAAGGGCACAGTTTACATCTTAAATAACACAGAAACATTTGAATCGTGCTAAACCCAGCCCCAACAAGGCAGAGCAGTAATGTGGTTGTGGGGTGGGGAGGTGAGGTAGGATGGAGGGGGCTCTTGGGAAGGGTCAGGGCACGCGGACATTCTGCGCTCACAGAACACAGTAGCAAACACAGGGCACAATTCACAAACATCAGCGAGCACAATCGAGCACGCACACAATACAACACTAGAATGCAATTTTTTAATAAAAATGATATAAAAGATGGTTTCTCACCCCTCAAAACAAAACTGGAACTTTGGTTTACAGGCCCGGCTATGCCCATATGCCCTCCTCGTCATCCTGCGGCCGGCCCGAGGTGGGGAGGTGCACAGAGAGGAGGGGAGCACCAGAATGAAAGAAGAGAAGGTTAGTTACACCGAGATGCACTGGAAAGGCACACTAATCTTCACTTTGTTTTTTAATCTTCAAGACTGAAGAAAAAAATCCATAGTAACTTAAATTCCACATCACCGACTTGTCAAATACATAACCGGGTTTTGTATCTATGGCAACCCACACACAAAAACATTCCACCCACCCAGCTCTGAGTCTGTGTCAAAATCGGATTAGAAGATTAAAATTAGTCTACATTAGCAGATGATTATTTTTTTGGAAAGCATGCAATCTGAATTGCATATGCCTAAGGAGTAGATTAAACCTTTTAAGTAAGCAGAGAAGTAATTATAGTAATCAAATACCCTTAATTTCTCTTAAGCTTAAAGTATCAATAAAGGCTGAAGAATTAAAAACACACACACACACGCACACACACACACACACAACTCCATCTACTGGGGTGGAACAAACTTTTTCAGCATGCGATAATTCATATTGGTTATTCCACAAAGGCTCAAACATGCTGCGATCTTCTTAGTTGACAGATTCTATTTTGCTCTCAGCATGAAAGAGGATGCACTGGCGATGGTATGATTATACAGTTGCATGGAATGATTATACATTTGCAATCAAATAAGTTTCAAAGAAAAGAGAGGTAAACTTTCAATTCAGTAGAATGCTTGTAGAAAGAAAGTTTTGCTTAACTTAAAATTGTGTTCAATTATGGATAAACTGAAACTTCTTTGGTTGGAATTCTTGTTGAAAAGTGTTTCGAAAATAGCTCTGGTGACTTTCCTCACTTAGTGAAGTGGCTAATATAGAGGGAAATGGAATCTTTGAAGACAGAAGTATATCCCCAAAGCAAAGTCCCTTTTTTGAACAATTCTCACAGTTTACTGCAAGGATTGAAACATACCCTGGTGTCACACATAGTTTGAGAGCTGTGCCTTTTAATAGGTCTCCAGTGAAGTCAGATTTTTCCATAATTTGCTTCTTGTTTTGAAAATCAGGAATAGAAGAAAAAAAATAACCTGGAACATTTTCTCATTATTTGACTCCTTATTGGTTAAGTTGTTACACTCTTAGGTTGAATCCTATGAAAATGCCAATATTTGGCCATTTTTACCTAGAAAAATAGCAGTTTCATACAGTTCCACCTAATCCGGCCAATAGGCCTAGTCATTTTTATCTACTCAAAGATTTATTTTTCAACTGACTTTCAATACAGTTTATTTCCTTTGTATTTCTATGTATTTTATTTTATGCATTGAAAAAAGTATTCTGAGAAGAGATCCAGAGAGTTCATCATACTGCCAAAGGGATCCACGGCCCACGAAGGTTACAAATCCCTGACTGACTTGAGTCAATGGAATGATTTGCACAGAGTCTGAACTGGACAACTCAGTATGAATTTTCACTTGACAGCTTAGGTAGGAATATTCTGGCAAACAATAAAACACATTGATCATTTTAGCTGGGCCTTCTTATGTAAAAATTATCTGTGTTTATTTATTATTAAACAGTCTAATAATTGCTCTTGCCAAGAAACTTCCCTTTTCCCTATGTGACTTAGGAAAAATGTATTTTTACATTCATTTAACTTCCTCTCTGTCCCTGGAGAAAAGAAACTTTGATGCTCCTTTTCATCTTCATGAAGGAGGGAAGTTTACACCATGAGACCCTAGGCCATTCATAAATGGGTTTCAAGGGGCCTAGCAACCCCTTGAAATTCAATGAAGAATGTTGTTGAGTATGTGTGCAAATATATGTCTCTGGATGGAGGCCCTAGCTTTCATCATATGATTCTTGACCCCCAGAATCGCTGCTGTAGAAAAACTCCAAGCATAGAAGGATGCTATGATTTGCCAAAGTCACAAAGCAAAATAGGAGGCTTTCTCTAAAACACAGCCTACGGCCACTGCCGACTTCTTCCTAAATAGCTATAAAATAACTTGCAGAGCAGTTTATTTCATTTCACATTTAAAACCCAACATATATACATTCATTTTGTTCCAAATCCATTCCTATCAGGTTTTAATTTTTAAAAGAGAAGAAAGTAAGCAAAAAGAAAAGCCACTGCCACCAAAACCTACTACTATTTTCTTAACAGTGGAATGTGGTCTAATGCAAATCACTTTTAGCAAATTAAATATATTAAAAAGTGGTAATTAATTATGATTGAAACAGACAGGAGTTGTAGTTTGAAAGTACACGCTGCCAATATCACTACTACTGTTCCTCGTCCACCATAGGAATAAAAAGGGGCTCCCAGATGTCGAGGGTTATTAAAAACCAGATGTTCAGATCGACATCTTGTATGCTAGTGAATAAAGTAAAGAAATATGACAGTCCAATGTAAACTTTGCTAACATTTAATGTGGCAGAAATGTGGATAAATTCCTTTCATGAACTCAGAATATTATGCATTTTTAAAAGTTTTTAGTTTTTTAAAGTTTAAAGTTTTTAAAAGAAAATAGAGAAGTGGTGGCTCTTTCTGGTCTCTCTAACCTTCAAAGCTTAAACATGAATTGACCCTCATCGCCAAATGATCTGGGTCAGAGTGAGTGTCCGTTTGGGGAATAAAAAACAAAAATGCAGGAGCTAATCAGTGCGGGAGCTCCAAGTCTTTCCAAACATATGCAGCTGTTTCACTGCTGCGCTGCCTGCATCTCTGTATGCAAATATTAATTTGTTCAGCAACCTTACTGCACAGAAATGTAAATTTGGGGACCCAAAAATAAGAAACAGACAAGTATCACTTGATCCTTAACTTCATGCTAAGTTGTTGAGAAATACTTGGCATTTTAAAATGCATCTATCAGGCCTGGGAGAGTCTGTTTCCTTTCCTTGTTTTTCTGTTTCCAAATCTACTTTGCAGTGGCTGTTCTGAATGCTGCTCGGTGTTTGATCCCTTGTGTGTCCTTTGTGAGTGATTGTTCTGCCACCAGTTGCCAAAATATCTGGATGGGAAGAAAGACTCTAGTCCATCAGTCATCTGCATGCTTTTGTTCATCTGGGGATGGGAACATCCAAGGTGGACCGAAGCCCAGAGAGCACAGTGACCACAAAACCCAGCAAATTCTGAAGGGGAGGAGGTTTAACTATCAAATAACCTCAGGACACATCTACAGTTCCAGGGATGACGTGACAGACAAGGGGGTCTTGATGGAAATCCTGTAGTCCCAGATGCTGCGCCCTAATGGGATTCTGTAAATATTGAGATAAAACAAAATTCCTCACCGATGGGCTGCTCACAGCGGCTATGTTGATGACAAGCTCTAAAGGCAAAGGGACTGAGTCATCGTTGACAAGACAAGAGACTTGTTGTTGTGGGGGGGCATTTATTAGCTCCAGCAAAGAGGCTCTGAGAAGAAACTCTATAATCTGACATGATAAATGAATGGCCCAGTGTAAACCTTTAATTGGTCTCTATTTTGAAGTATTAGGTATAGCCAGCAGGCAAACCTGAGGCCACCACCGGATTTTTTTTTTTTTTAAAACACCTGAAATTCTCTTTGAGTTGATAGCTGGCTTTTTTTCTTGAAATCAAAGAATTAAGTTCCTAATGGGGATCTTACTGTCACTCCTGTCCTAGAAAGGAAAGCAAGTAGAACCAGCGAAGTATCACTTTCAAATAGCCTACTGCCTTTGTGGGAACTCAGCCACGGTCTCTGCCTGGAAGGTCCACCTGGCTACCTTGCTGGAAGGGGTGCAAGGAGATGATCCTGGTTATAACTAGGTCTGGTGTGGGCAGTCTTCAGACTCGCCTCCACCCCTAATTCATTCATGGCTTCTCTAAAGCTTCTGAAACTTCAAGCCCCAGGACTTTGCAACGTTTGGCTGCACAAGTCATGAAAGCAAGATCACAGTGTGGAATTTATGATGTGCCCTGAGCCTGGGCTCAACCAAAGCAGATGCTGTTAGCATTTCCAACTGCAGGCTTGGCCAGAGCCGGGAAAAACAGACACATCTGTAAAGGAAAACAATAGGCTTAGGCATGAGCCTGCAAATGTGGGGCACCGAGCCTCATCAGGGTACTAGTAGGTTTTCTGCTAAGGTCAAGTCCAAACCTTCCCTCTGGAGACCATTCATTCTGTCTTTTATTTCTCCTGCTTCCTGGAATGCTTAGTCCATGGATGAATGTCTCTGTTCAGGTGATGGGGTCAGGTATGGCTATAAACTCTTACATGACTTGTATTTATTATAATCTCTGGGGCCCATTTGCAGGTAAGATCCCCCGCCAAAACAGGAAAGTCCTAGCCAGGTTCAGAAATCTGCTTCCTGCTCTTTTAAAAATAAGCGTTAGCTTATTTCTGAGCTGGGATAGAAAAGAGCCAGTATGTATTTGCACCTCCTCCAGGTTAGAAAGAGTGCTGACGGCTTCTGTGTTTCCTCCCTGAGGCTCACCAAGGCCCAGTGACACAGGTGTCAGGAGGTTCTTTGTGCAGATATGGAAAGGAAGGCTCAGGGAGGGAGGTCAGGTAGCTCACCAAAGGACACCTGGCCAGCAGCTGGGGAGCCAGGGTCAAATTCCAGCCTGTCTAACCACAAAAGTACACCCTTCTGACTCCACCATATGAGCCGAGAAGCCACAAAAAGAAGAGTTCACTTTGACCCCAGAAGACATTTGTTGGTTCTGCTTAGCTCAGCTCTAGAGTACGTTGAACTTGGTCCTGCCTTCTTTCCAAGCTGTTGAAGACCATGGTTGGAACTAGAAGCTACAATTTAGTTGGGTCCCTCTGGCTCTTGGAAGAAAGGGGTCTTCATATGCAAGTGGAAGCTATTTACGTGGACATATCAGCAGCACCCCAACACATTTTAAGATCTCTGAGGGGAAAGGCAGCACCTTCACCTCCTTCATACTGTGCCATGATTCTCAGATGTGGGAACTTAGATATTTCTAAATGAGTAATTATGGAAGGCTCAGTTCTCACTGTTTTGAATGACTGGATTCCTCTGAAGGAATATGCTTCCTGGATTCCCAGAGTTCCTTACGATTGCCAAGATTGTGTTGACTTGTGTCTTCTCAGAATGACTCTTCCCCTCTTCTATCGCACGAGCCACATCTCTGGTTTATTCTTCTACACCCCAGTGGTGAAAGCGAAACTTCATTGGCTGAGGGGGATCACAGTAGGAGATGTCCATATTTTAAAAGACACACTGGGGTGTCTCTCAAGGGAGAGGCAGGTACTGGAGAATCTGTGCAGCCTGGATTGGTTCTTCTCAGCAAGTTCACCTCACTAGGACACGCTGAGGCAGGGCAGCCACCTGAGACCACTTTGTCAAGCCATCAAGAACGTTATAGAAGTTTGGGTGGCCTTTTCCTCCACTTCTAATATAACATCTTTAAGTGCTTCCTCAATTTTTTTTTTTTGCATCGTCATTATAGGGCAAATTGAAGAAACTAGTTTTCTATTTCCTTCAAGCAAAATAGCTGTGACAAACTAGTCTTTGGTGCACTGTGCCAGTTCATTCAGCTCAAGGACATCAGATACCCAGCTGAAGATGAGAATGGTCGAAGCCTCTATGTCGGCCAACAATATTGTTTGGGAGCTTAAAATCAACATCTGCTAAAAGCGGAACCATTGCCAGATAACCATAAAAAAGGGTGGGAGTGAAGACAGGCTTTATTTTCGCTCCTTCATCGATCAGTCATTAACACTTGGCTTTGTTAAACAAAGTGAAAATTGTGTTTTTAACATGACTCTGGTTCTGCCATTTCCTTCATGGTAGGCAATCAAATTTCCTTTTGACTCTTCATTTCCTCAGCTGCTTAAAAAAGAAAATGAGGGGAGGCTGAGGCAGGAGAATCGCTTGAACCTGGGAGATGGAGGTTGCGGTGAGCCGAGATCGCGCCATTGCACTCACTCCAGCCTGGGCAACAAGAGCGAGACTCCGTCTCAAAAAAAAAAAAGAAAAAAAAAAGAAAAGAAAAGAAAATGGGACTACCATATCCTGGCCCTGATGCTTCATAGGTTTGCTGTGCAAATTAAACCCAAGAATGTAAATTAAACCACTTTGTGGATGTTACAGACTTAGACCAATATAACTAGACATATCATCCCTGTTGGTAGCATTAAGAGTTGATTACTAGTAAAACAAATTATTTGATATTACACTAAAGCTGAAGGCAAAATGGTGTGTCTAAAAAGGATCTGATGGGGTACAAAATGATTCTTAAATATTTTAGAGTCTCTGGGCTGTTCAAAATTGACATTATTAAGATCATTAATAGATGGATGCCCAAATCCGAATTTTTAAAATGCTATTGGTCTGTAAGGTGGTTTCCTGCAATAACAGACTTTGTGAGTGTGTGCAGGGTATGTTTAAAGGATGCTTCCTACTCCCTTTCCTCTGCTGGTCCCTTATCTTTGGAGTGCTGCAAGTGCCTGGAGTGTTGTAAGTCAAACATGATCCCTATTACATCAGTTATAGAAAAAAAGAGAGGCAATGGTGTTTAGCAATATAAAATGGATTTCCCTGCTTCCCGACATTTCAAGGTTGGCCACCCCCTCTCAATGGGGGAGCTAAAGTGCTGCCTCTTAGACAAATGCGACTGGATTAAAGCAGCAAGTTGAAAAGAAATCAACCCTCCAATGTTGCCAAGATGCGTTGCATCTGTAAGCTGGAGAGTGCAGGCTATGTCTGAAAAACCCCTGTTGACTCAAAGGATACTGCAACAAATCTCTTAATGTAACCCTAATACTGCAAACAAGGTGTAAAACCTAGACAAATCAGTAAAAGAAAAAAAAAACACTCTACCCCAAATAGCATAAGACTGAATGAAATCTTCAGTAGGCTCAAACCTCCTTTAAGGAAAAATCCTTTTCTAACAGGAGGATCCTGATGCATTAAGCAGCTCTGCATTTTTCCCATACTCAGTGAAGACCCTACCTGGCAGGGCTTATTAATCATGCCCTCATGTGCTCACATGCAGGGAATTAGCATCGCACCCAGATTAAAGGGCTTTGACAATAACCTGCTCATCTGCAAAGCCAGCTTCCCAACTGCTGCGTAACTCCGCCTCCCTCCCTCTCCTGTAGCTCTTAATGGTTGGGTGAGCATGTAACTGCTGGTAGAGGAAGGAGGCAGTTAAATACCTCCCACAACAACAGTTCAGACATTTGTCCCCATTTCCTTCTTTACCTGTGGCCTCACAGAGAGCCACTGCAGGGTTACTCTACAGCTTCTGCTCTTAAAAACAAGCAAACAAATAAACTGCCCCTTTTATTTCCCAAGGGTGGGAAATCACATATGCCGTCTGGCTCACTTTCTAGTAGTTTTGGGGATTTTTAGTAGTCTCTGAGGGATAAAGAAAAAAGAGACATCTGCGATATCTTTCTATTTCTTAACCTGCTAAACACAGTATCCTCCAATCTACTTGTGAGAAAAGAAGTATTGGGAAAGAGGCAAGTGGCTCTCAAGAGCTATTTCAAAATGCATGCCAGGATATCCTTGGCTACAGTTCTGAAAGGACTGGCCCAGGAGTGGCAACGGTCAAAACTTCTGAACCCTTCTCCCATGCAATACACATCAGCACCAATAAGAGGTTTCTTCATGGGTTGTTGAATCTGAAGGCTTCATCCCCACGTGAAACAAAACTCAAGGCTCCTTCCAAGAAGTGGGCCATGACATTAGATTTGCAATGCAAAAAAAAAAAAAAAAAAAAAAAAAAAAAATATATATATATATATATATATATATATACTGTCTCTTATCTGGGCAAGCTTTAGACATACTAGCTTGGTTGGAAACTGATATTAAAAGCCTAAAACATGTAACTTTTCTTATCAGGTTACTATCATGGGGAACTAAAGATTCCTGGTTTTTTGTATGTTCCATAACTATACTTTAGTAAGCCCTGATATACGGTGTTAATTTTTCTTCAGTGAAGGAAACATGAAGATATATTTATGTGCACACATACATATATATGTATATATAACGTATATTCAAACATGCACTCAGAGGAAGTTAGGGAGAGAAGTTTCTAGCTAAACATGATCTTGTGAAATTCTTCCATATGTGGAAAAGTCGTCAGTTCATCTGACATAGAGCAATACATACATATATACACACAGGATGCTATGTATACATTTATCCCACATTCATTTAACCTCAAAACATAAAATAAATTCTTTTTATTCCTCCCTAAGCAAAAGCTAGGAATAACAACTCTATATACAGAATTCATCTTCTGGGGGCAACAGAGCAGGTTGGACCCCTTGCCTGTCTGTCAGAGTTCAAAGGGCTGCACATTGACTAATCTGTTGGTGAAAGTGCAAGGGAAGCAGAGCATCAATCAGAAAAGCTGGCCCTGCATTCACAGAGAGGGGCTCAGTGGGAGTACGGGATCCCACGGCCTCAAGCTGGTGCCCCAGGAGGGGCTGCTGTGACTGCTTCATTCTTCTGTTGGACTGTGAGGCCCCACCAACTTCTTGTGGACTAAGCATAAAATGCAGAAGGAGGACAAAAGCAGGTGGGTTTTATGAAAAAAGAACTAGGGCCAGGAAACACATGGGCCTGGAGCTGTCACCTGCCTCCAGCCACAACATCGATGAGGACATAATTGCAGGGATGGCTGGAAATTCCCCTCTTTAAGGAATGCTCTTATAGGATGCTGACTAATTCTACCTGAGAGCAGTACCCAAGGCTCAGGTGTATGCAGAATGGACAGAGGTAGGAGGTGAGAGAGCAAAAGCCCTGCTTTTCTTTTCTGAGCCAACTCTACCTTATGGCTCTTTTGCCTGTAGAAAGAGGGGAGAAGGGACATATTTAGGGACCAGAAATCTCAAAACCAAGGCAGTGAGTGCTGCAGCCTCTCTGAAGCAGAGTATAGGTTCAGTACTGTAAGCATCTGCCTATATGCAAGAATCCAGAATCCAAACACAGAAAGGAAAAGCAGATTCCTATCAACCATTATAAATTAGGTCACTGGGATCATTTTACTGTATCTTAAAATACAATCTGTGTATCAGTTCTGTGACCAGAGTTTGAAGAGAAGGCCAAATCTAGGCATGGGTTCTTTAGTAACCAAGAAATTTGATGGCTTATGGCAAAACAACATGTGTCCCAAGTAGAATTCTATGGGAATTTTCAGCAGAAAATGGAAGTGAACATTCAATGCTCTGAAATATGTCCAATGGTACAAACACGCACTTTGGCTGAGAGCCAACACATGCTGGGACCACACAGTCATCAGGAGCAGCAGAGAAAGCACCAAGGATTACTATTTATATCCACAGACAGATTCTGGAAATTACCAAGTAGAGTGGATAATATTTAGGATTAGGGCAATCAATTTCCTAGGACAAGATCCATAGAATGGACAGACACCTTAAAGTTCAGAATGCAATAGGGAAAACCTAGCTTCTACCACAGAAAAGTCACTCTCTGAAAGTACCCCTAGCACCCTGGCTGATCTGACAGCAGCCCTTAGCAGAATAAAGCATCCTCTGTTTTGCTCTGGGGGCATGGTTTGCTCCAGATCCTTACATGTTCAGAGGCTCAGGGGAGAGTGAGCAAGGGAATGTGAGTCTTGGCAATCCACTGCCAAGAACCCTCTGTGACCCAGAGCAGTTCCCCTCCCTCCCCGGGCCAGTCTCTCCACTACTTGAGGATCTCATTCTGGTGATTCCATAGAAGCAGGAGAGTTTGCAATTGGCACAGGGACAGCAGGAATAGAGAAGAGTAAAAGGGAACAGGTAAAATGGGGGGAAATGGAAGGAATAAACTCACAAAACAGAAGAATGGAAATAAAGACAATGAAAGCTGGGGCAAATGGAAAGAGAATGGATGAGACTACATATTTTTTCTTCTTTTTTTTTTTTGAGACGAAGTTTCACTCTTGTTGCCCAGGCTGGAGTGCAATGGCGCGATCTCAGCTCACTGCCACCTCCACCTCCCAGGTTCAAGTGATTCTCCTGCCTCAGCCTCCCAAATAGCTGGGATTACAGGCACTCACCACCACACCCGGCTAATTTTTGTATTTTTAGTAGAGATGGGGTTTCAGCACATTGGCCAGGCTCGTCTCGAACTCCTGACATCAGGTGATCTGACTGCCTCAGCCTCCCAATGTGTTGGGATTACAGGTGTGAGTCACTGCGCCCGGCAAAGATGACATTTAATTCAATTTTGGAAAATAAACAAAATAGGATAAAATTTACTACAATTCCATGGGAAAGGGAAAAAGCACATTTGCACTCAAGAATAAGTGGATCCATCATAGTTGTGCAATCATAAATACACGTGGTTGCATAGATGTATCCAAGGGGTTTGCCACCAATGTATAGTACTCAGAGACTCAGGATTTCATCTGGGGCCTGTTGACTTTCAGTTTTGTGACTCTGGATCATTAACAACCTCTGAGTTTCTTTATTTATGCAATGGGGATACTTCCATCTGCCCTTCCTACTTCCCGAAGCTACTATGGGAGCAGTTCATTCAACAGACATTTACAGAGTACCTCGTAAGGGCCAGACATGTGTGAACATGGGACAAAGAATCTGAATATAAAATGTGAAATTCAACCAAATTTTTCTGTAACTGATCACATAAGTATCATGTCTCCATGCTCCTAAACTCATAGCCCTCATTTAGAAGTTGGTTTTCTGTAAGTAAAATGTGAAATTTAAAATTTAAATACTATCAGAAAGTCTCAAAGGTGGTCAAAATCCCTCGAGCTCTCCAACACCTATGAGCGAGTATTTGCATTCAATGAAGGAGGAAGAGGAGAGAAGAGTTTTCTCTTGGGCTTTCAAAAGTGGCCACCTATTCTGAGGTTTCCAGCCCCAAAATATTTAGGTTCTTTGCCATTTAGGCCCTTCCCAACTAGAATCAGAGCGGCAAGTGCTTTAACACATAGAAGTACATTTTGCACAAACAAGCAGTGAGATCAGGGTCCTTGAAGACCTAACACCCAACCCAAGACCCGGGAAGAGAAATGTGAGTCCTAGATGCACAAAGGGTAGCCTGCATGGTGCCTGGCATTTTAAGTTGGCTGGGGTGTGGACCTCATGCTGATGCTGTGCTTTTCTTATTCACCAGGTTAGTCTATACCTGGGAGCCAATGGAATGAGCTTAATAAAATATGACTTTTACTGGGACAGTAAAACTTGTATGATGCCTAGAAAAAGGAAAGTAGAAAGACTTGGTATCACTGATATGTTTTAAGGCAGAGAAGGAGATGCTATTTAAAGAAAATGACAGATGAGACTGATGACAACAGATACAGAGAACATTTAGGAAAAGCTGAATTTCTACTTGGCTTTGTGAAATCAATCTTGGTAACCTAAGAAAAATCTCTAATGTGTCTCCAGCATGTTTCATTTACTCTTTGGACTTTATTGTTTCTCAAAACACACCAGCAGCTTGTGTCATGGGAAATATTTGTTGTCTGCCCCCATGGCCACTTCTTGCTTTGAAGGATTTCCCAAGTCATTACTGGGATTTGTCTAGATATTCTACTTGGACATATTCAATGGCTGTGACCATCCTGGGGGTCACAGCCCACCAGCTATTAAAAGCTTCTCTCTCAGGTAGGGGGCTAGATTCTTGAGCTGCCACACTGCACTGACTTCTCTTACATCTTCTCCAAATCTTCCCACCCCCTCAGTAATCCCTCAAGGGCTGTGTATTTATGACTATTCTTGATATCCTGGGTCCTCAACCTTAATGACTCCCTTAGTTTAGATCTACTGGGTTATTGGTGGGATCACTCTTTCTCAGATATTATTGCCTTTAAGAAGGTATCCCAGGAAATGAATGGAAGAGGCACTTCCATTTTCGGTTGTGCAAAGCAAGAAGCTGCCGGAAAATCCCACCTTCTGATAAAAAATACTGCTGGAAACTGGATCAGTCATGTTATAAAATGGGTAGTCTCTTTTTTCACCTGATACTCTGAGAACAATATTTCTTACAGCACAGATGTTACTTGAAAGAAAAAAGAAATCTACAATCAAATAAGTCTGGGAAATACTGGATTAAATTAAATTGGGGAGCTTTCTTTCTTATATGACTTTTTAGATCCTTTGATCTACTAATTGCCCCAGGACGCTCGAAGATAGAGTTGTAATATGGAGCACTTTCACAAAATACTTTGCCCAGAGAATCTTTGTTTCAAGGCTTTCCTCATGGGACTAATGTTCTAAAAGTTACTTTGGGAAATGCTAGTCTAGACTTATAATACTTGGATTCAGTTTCTCTTAAGGAGCAAGAAAAATCATAGTGAAGGAGAAAGAAACATGGAAGAAATGGAAAAAGAATATAATTCTGTAAGTACCTGGCAATACTCACGTAATTGAATTACCTAAGGTAAAACGAGTTTTTCTGGAAAAGTAACAAGGCAAATGATTTTTCATATTTCTCCATTTTCATGTGTTCTGATCTCTTAATAAAGTTCAAGAGGCAATATCAACATTTTGTAGCCCTTCTTCCATAAGTCATTGTTGGTCAAGCCTTTAAGGCCACAGGAAGGCCAGGGCTGGAAGATTCACAGAAAGGGAATCAGGAATCCCTGAAAGAGACCTTTCCCCTTTAAGTCAGGTCAGCTAACATTATGTACATTATGAACATTTAGTTAAAATCTCATCCACATCACCCCATTATTAGGACTCTCATGCTTTCATATGGCTGTCATTTTTCTCCTAAGAAGAAACATATACTCATATGTACCCTGTATCTATTAGTGTATGTGGTCTACACAATTAAGTGTAGGGTTTGTAATCAATTGGGAAAGATAACTATTGATAACTATTATCCATTGATAACGACTTTATTCTGGGACTTAGATTTATAACAGTACATATACTGATATATTAGTTATTGGTTACCAAATCTCAAATCTCCAGTATAGGACAAGGTATCATTCCACTAGACCTGGGATGCCCAGTCAAAAGGGGCATCCAGCTCAGGAGATATAGCCATCTCCAGCACTGGTGCCAACCTACTCTCACACTAGGGTTCCTTGCTTAATCTCTCCTTCTCTAATTAAAAAAGTCTAGCAAAGGAGCCTTACTGACTTGATGACTTCAATTTAAAACCACAAAAATATCCTTGTGGTCAAGGGTATTTTACTTTCACAGTGACCCCCACTGCAGAATAAGTTTCTAAGGTATGGGCCCCTAATTAAGTTGGAGCTACCTTTTATCTGCCTTGTTCTGATTGACATGAACCAGAAAAGAATTGAACAAGACATCAGACAACCTGGATTCTTATTCTAGGGCTAGACAGCAAATGCCTTGAAGACAGGGGTTCTGTCCATCATGCTCTTCCCCAAGTGCCACATAGTGGCTGCCATGGAATTAGGTTAGGAACTCGGAACAGGATTCCAGCCTATTCACCCACTTCCCGGGCTCCAGATTTCTCATCTGGAGAAGGCGATGAGGTTAACTGCCTCTATGTCCATGGGTTGCTTAGAGTGTTCACTGAGATGGTGGATGTGAAAGTGAAAGACCATCACCATCTTCCTAACAGTAGCAGTGAGAAACATGTGCCAAAGGTCTCAACAACGTGGCTTAGCCAGACACTCTTCAAGGAATGCTAACTCTTCTGGGAAGGACACCACCCTATGACAAACTCTAGTGTCAGTGGACAAACATAAGAGTCAGTCAAGTGGACAAGACACCCTAGTTTGTGATTACACCTCTCTGGAAAAGTAGCAGGAGCCTAGCTTTTGTAAGAAATACCATTCACAAAGCAGATAGATGTGCTCTAGTGCCTCATTCCCAGTAGAACATATGAGCATATGTGTCTCTGTGATGAGACAAGCTGGTTTGTTATCTCAGCAGGTCCCTGGATGACCTACTCCCCTGACTTGGCTCCAAATCCTTCTTTCTACTCTTATGGTACTCTCTGTTTTTGTCTCTCTGTTGGGGTTTGAGTGGGGGAACTCAGGATGGTCTTCTAGCATGTGTGGCTCAGAATGAATGGCCAAAGTGGGGACTGCAGGCTCCCACCAATAAAACCTCATACTCACCCTATCTGGGAGAATGCCAAGGAGAAAAAGGCAGGGACCAGGAATGAGAACGAGTTGGTTTAGTTAGCAGGATGCCAGGTCTACTGGAGCAGGCAGAGGTGGGGAGGTGGTAGTGGTGGTGGTGGTGATGGTGAAGGGTGGTAATTGAATAAATAAAACCAAAACACAGACATACAAGATAATGACATGAAATTGACACCTCTCTCCACATTTCAGATCTCCAAATCAAGAGCAATATTTTGGGAGCTAAAACATGAAATCATGCCCTGTCTGTACTTGGCTTCGGAAATCTAGATTTTTTTCTGTGTGAACACCTTCAGCAATGTTGGGGTCTCGGAGGGCAAAAGCTTCCAGGTACAAAGGTCAGGTCAAGCTCAGGGGCTGGGGAGCCTCCTGGTGCTGGCTGCCTCACTGCACAGCTCCCAGGAGAACTTCTAATGCTGTGTTCTATATAAACAGCTCCCCCAGGACTTGTACTCCAGGTAAAACATCTTGGAAACTTCAAATCTTAACCTCTTTGGGATGCTAGCAACAGGAGGTGAAAAGGAAACAGAGCCACGTGAAAAGTTTTCGGAGCATCACAAGTACCTCCTCCCCCAGCAAACAATTAAACTGCCTCTTCACACAGGTAATTCTGACAACCCCTCACCCTGCCATATCCAAAGGAGTGCATACTTATCCAGATGGTTCTATTTTGTTACCTATTGCTCCCATCTATGGAAATGTATCAGTTACACTAGGATCACCAAAAACGGGGGCAGGGGGAGGCAGGAATCTTAGTACAACAAAGTAAGAAATATTGCTCATATTGACTATATTATCCTGCTAGTTTGCATTTAATTTCCTAATTTCCATAAAATTCACCTTCAAGAGTTTTAATACTAAACATTGTAAATAGTTTTTGCATTTGGTGGGTGAATGTAAATATTGCTGTAAAACCACAGGCGGTTTTTGTTTTTGTCAATCCATCTTTTCACATGCGTTACTTAGTCAAGGGAGGAGATAGGGTCCAAATCAAATAAACCAGACTCCTTGACTTCACTGGCTAAAACGCAGGCAAAACGGATTTCTCTCCTTGTTGTTTTACCTCACCATTAATTTGCATCACTAAAGAATTTTCTAGGAAAGTGCTCAGCGAACTCAAGGCTTCTCTGGTTGCCAAGCTCATGGAAACAAAGTGCTTTCTCTTAAAACTCTGAAAGAGACATTCCAAAGTAACCCGCCATGAGATACCGAGCCAGCAATAGACTACATATCTATGAAAGAAGAAAGGAGGGGAGGAAAGAAAATGCATAACATAAACAAGAAAAGACAAAACCTTAAAGAGGAAGGAGAAAGAAAAACATTTAGATTCCTTGACTGATGGAAATAAATACCAAAGCTATTAGTTTCAGTTCAAAGAACGTATCACTTTATGATGTTTATTATTTCTTGAGGATTATTTATTTTATCTTAAAATATCTAAAGGGTAAAAGGGGTCTTGGAGGTAAGCAGCGATGAAACTGACCTGGTCCGGAGAGGGCCTGTGATTGGAATGTTGCGACCTCCCAGGAGATCGATGGTGGTGGTGATGGTGGTGGTGGTGGTAATGGTGATGGTCATCATCATAGTTGTCTGCCATCAACTTCATTCTGTTCTGGGTCTGTGCAGAACAAAAACCAAGGAAGATTCCATCAGGAGCCAGAAGATCAGTCAAAGAGATTCAGGGCATAATTACAGTACCTATAGGGATCCCTTTGTTCCTAATTCAGGAATTTTCACTGTTAGTCAAGTTGAAACTTAATAAAGAAAGCACCATGACATTAACTTTGGTGAAAAAAGCTCTGTCACATCCTTAAAGCTATTATGTTACATCTGTAAATGTTAATGTACTTCCTTCTTGTGATTTAAAAGGGAAAAAATGGACATACTCTAAGGTGCTTTGCTTTACATTATCAAGCAATCACAGAGATCCAAGGTGAGCTTGCAATTGCAACAATTATGACTGAGACTCTAGACCAACACTCTAGAGCAAGCTGGAGATGGAAGTCCTGTATGGAAAGATGGGAAGGGCTGGGTAGAAACACAGAACTACAGATAAACAATGGTCTCACAAGACAAGGCAGAAAAATCCACTTGAACGCTGCCAAATGCAAAAATACTGATGGAGATGGTTTACTGCTATGATGACTTCTTGGGAAATGGCTCTCTACGGACATTTTAACCGATTTTGTTCCTTAAGGGAACTGAGCAAAAGGTACAAAGTCAATGGGAAAAGAACTGACCACTCTAATTTACAATCCACGATGCCTGTCACATGAGGCAACTTGGAGTCATGGTTAAACCCCCAATGCAATAGAAGTGTACTGCTTTATTATGCAGGGCAAGAAATGGACCAGTGATGAGTTGGCCTGACAGGCTCTCAGAATCTAGAAAAATGCCTAAAGACCACGGGAAAAAAGCAGACAAAATTATCCAGCTCAGAAAGTCAGGAAATGAGGGTTTGAGGACAGACCTGCCTGGATTCAAGTCCTGGCTCCACCTCTTTGCTGGTTATGTGAACCTAAGAGAGTAAACTATTTATAAACCTTAATTTCCTCAACTCTAAAATGAGAGGAATAGTGCCTCTTTCCTCGGGGTTGCCGCTAGGAGCGAATGATACGATGGACTTCAAGTGTCAGTCCAGTAACTGGCAATGAAAGTCAAATGCTGTCATTACTATAGTTACTGCTGTTGTTGTTTGCTGTAAGACATTTTTCCTCCTTTGTATGTGCTGCTTCCTTTGCTTGCAATGCCTCCCTAGCCCCCTTTCTTCACCTTTAACTTCTATGTCTGGCTAACTCAAACTATTTAATCTAGGAGCCTTTTCCTCACCCTGTCCTGGAGGCTGGGTGACACGTGCCTCCTGCATACCATGGCTCTATAACCACAGATTTATCCGTCCGTATGTCTGTAGACCTTGAAGCTATTTCTTTCATCTGCCTCTCCCTAGAATCTCGCATAGGGCCTAGCAGATGTAGATATATAATACATGCTGCTGTAATGAGTGACCAAAAGAATGAAGGGGCCATGATTTTGAGGGATGCTGCCATCCTAGAGACAAGCTACATGTTTGTTTTCAGCAGGGAAGGTCACGGAGAGTTGAGGACATTTCATGAGTTGCCATAACAATCCCACTGGTGGCTCAAGATGACAATGAACCAACAATACTTTCAGAGAGCCAGAAGTCAGTGGTTGGCAGAGCCTCCAACCAGTTGGAGTTTTATTATGTAATATAAATAATACACTGACAATAAAGAAAAGTCTGGACCTAACATTGTGCATTCTTAATAGTATTTTTCACATACAATCTAACTTATTCTCAATACTTTCCCAGGAGCAATTATTACTATCCTCATTTGGCAGCTAGAAAAGTAAGGTGTAGATTTCAGCCCCAAGAGTCTCTTTCTTGACATAGAACATGGAGATTTTCTGGGTCATCCAATTCTCAATCTCTAGGCTTTTTTCCTTGTCTTGCTGCTAGCAGAAAAGGCAAACAGCTAAACAGGTAGAAAGAACTTTCCCATAAAATGCTTTGATTCTGTTAAGTTTTGGAAACACCTCACATCCCAATTCTATCTGCCAGAGGATGTCTTATGATTTACTCACTCCATTTTTAAAAATGTGTACAATATTTGAAAGGCCCCAAAGTGAATGTTAAAAAAAAACTGTCTATATGAATAAAAACAATAAAAATAGAGGGAAAGAGCCACTTAAAATTAAATAAAAAATCCCAGGCAACCTCTGGCAGCTGAGAGCATTTCCATCCTTCACTTGTCCACTTAAAGTGTCAGAAGACCCAATGGGCAAGTTATGCCTTGTGAGAAAGAGCAGGTCAGTGGAGCTGCTGCAGACTAAGTACTGAGATTCCCCTCAGCCAGCCTGCCATTGCACATGAGATTCTGAAATTTGGCGTTTACACCTAAAATTCCAGTATTGTCAGGATCCTGTACTTTTGAACTCATGAACTAATAAATCTGGAATTGTTTCTTCTAAATAGAATTCTGAGAGCCTGAGGGGAGCTGTAAGATCTGCTGTGGGCAAGAAGGAAGGGACTCGCTCAAGAATGAAGGATGGAGCCTAAATGAACAAATAATAATTCTGCTATTGTAAACATCGTAATATCCTCATCCTTTGGGGAAGCTCCTGTGATTTTATGAGATTATTTTCTTACCAGCAACAAGCCTAAAGTTCCCTACCTTTGAACTGTATCCCATAAAAGAATGTACAAGCTAAACAAGATGCTATATGCAGTCCTAAATGTGTCTGCTAAAATGAGGTGTTGGAGAGTAGGCATGTCATGGGATAAAGACTGTAAATGAATGATGTCATCTTTCCAATTTGGTGCTGAAATATAAATAAACCACGTTGTTCATGTGAATACCAGATCTGGGGGAAATGTACACAGAGCAATTGTGAGCGGAAGAGGCTTCTTTTGATTAGTCTGGGCTGGAAGAGAAGAGTGTGAAACAGAGATGAAAAATGAGAGTTTGGTCTGATACTCTAGACCGTTTTTATTTATCTTGCTTGTAACATATCCCCTAAACTGTGACCGATTTCTTACCGGCTAGTTGCTGGTGTTCTCTCCTATAAAAACAGTTTGACCAATCTTGATCCTTTAATTGTCAAATTTAAAATGGATCTCTTTTAAATTTTTTTTTTTTAAGTCTGCACTATCTAGCTTCATCCCCACCCAATTATACCGGTTTACACATAGACAAGGGTCTGGAAGGACAGGAAGTCACAAATAACACTCCCTAACAGTCAATGAAAGAAAAACTACAGAAATTTGTAACAAGGATTGGACAGGGATACTGTTTGTTCAAATAACTCTAGGCCAACTTACCAGGTGATCCCATACATAATGGTCCACAGCCCTGTAGCCTCAGATGCTTGAGGTGCCCGCTGAAAAGCCTGAAGCAGCAAATCTTCTGGGCAGGCAAAACTAAACACCCAGGAAAACTAATATAGAGTTGGAGAGGGATTGCTTTCCACAGCATAGCACTTAGGAACTCAGGGACTCATTTAGCGATTCACTGAGGCCCATTTTTATTTCCTTTGCGGTGTCTACCAAACTGCTGACCAGACACCTTTGCCTTTGGCTAACTGTGTTATACTCTTTTTACTATATTACGTCATGACTGTGGAGACAAATCTAATCAGATTTCATTTTCTACTTCCTCTTTCTTCAAGGCGCCACCTTATTTCTCTGGGGCCATCGCCTCCTAACAGCTCTCCTGCTGCACTCTCACCTCCCATTGAACACATTCCATAGCCAGAGTGACATCAGATTTCTGTTCCTCCCTGGATTCAAGTTCTTGGGAGGCTCCCGCCACACTCAGGAAAACAGCCTGGGTCTTTGACATGCTTAGGCATCTCTTGCTAGGTGACTGCTAGTTACTTCCAGAGTTACACCTCCCAGTCTCCTTGTCCCAGCCTTGGGACATGCTGTTCTCTCTCTCGGTCCTGCTCTTCATGCTCTACCCCTTAAACCTGAGTTATATCCATTAGTTCTCTGGTCTTAGCTTCAATGCCATCATCTCCAGAGACAACTTTCCTAAGCCCGCCTCTTCCACTGCTTTCAGCAGAATCCTGTAGCCACCCCCCTGGGTCTCTGCCATCACAGAACTTATCTGAACCAATGGTAACTAACTGCAGGTTCACTTGGCTTTCTCCACCACTAGGTTGAAAATCTCTTGAGGGAAATACTATGTGTGGATTGCCCTTGCACTCTCCATCTAGTGCAGAGTCTCATGTCTTAGCTGTAAGTAAAAGTGTGTCAAAGTATATGAGTGTAAAAATGGATGGATGGAGAGGGCACACAGGCTACTGTGGAACACATAAGAGGGAAGATGGGAGTCTAGGATGAGCCAGTTGAGTATTTAACTTTTGATGTGGCAGTTTAACTTTTCCTGTTTATTTGTTTTTGTTTGTTGTAATTCTTGGGAGTGGCGAAGGAAGAGTATGTGCATAGCTTTGGAGCTGTTAGGCAAGTCGAATTGGTCTTCTTCAAGAAATATGCCATTCCTTAGCTAATTGGACCCAGTGCAATACTCTACCACCTCCCTGATTACTTACCTCACTAAGAATAAGGGGTGTTGGGGTGTTATTAGTTTCATTTCTTACTATCCCCTAGCGTTTGGGGGAGCAGGAGCCTTTAGAAAACCTCTGTTAGTGCCAAAAGTCAAACATGGAAAACTGAAACTTTATCCATTAACTAAAATATCTGATGAGCACCATCTGTGAAAAGGTGCCAGATACTCCAACTCTTTTGACATTTCTGAAGAGTTTATCCAAGGAGCTCTTGAAACAAAATGAAAATCCTTGATCGACTAGTAATAGACTCAATAGCCTAATGGCAATATGGAGTGATAAACACATTGAATTAAAACTGCTTTTAAAAATATTTTAGTAAGGTGGCAATAACAAACTTTGCTTTGATCAGTCATCTGGATCAAGTTAACGATAAAACCTTCATGAATACGGTTTAAATAGAAAAAAATATAATAAGATCTGTTGCTATGGGATATGGAGATAATACTGTACAATAGCAATTACTGTTTTATTCTATCAGGCTTTCTTTTCTGTCCCTTTTTCCCACTAGGGAAATCCCAAACGTTCAGGAACTCTTCTACTGTCTTGTTTCCACCTAATCAGAGCAAGGTGAACAGCTCTTGTCTCCAAGTAAAAGATGAGCAAACCAGACAAGAATGGGATGGCTAGGAGAGGAGAGATTTCCTGACCATCCACTAGACTCACATAGCAATGAATCATAATTGAGTAGAATCTAAGTTGCAGCACTCAGGTCACAGTTGGAGGACAAAATGAAGTCAGAGGATGCAGAAGCTATTAAAGGAATGTGCCGCATTGGGGAACTTTCTGGGAGTATGTAAGAATAAATGATGTAAAGGCTTCTACTGTGGACACTGCACTGAAATTCACTCAACACTTACTGAACATCTGCAACTGCAATGATGCCAAGAATAATTATGTGCCAGGCTAAGTGTTTGGCCAGCATTCTCCTGCTGAATCCTCACTCCTGAGATGGCTATTCTTGGGGCCCTCTTTTACAGATGAGGAAACTAAGCCCATAACTATTCAGCTAGTGAGTAGAAGAACAGAACTCAAACCCAGATGTCTGACTCCAGAGTCCTACAGCAGTGTCATGAAGGGTAAGGTCCACTCCAGGTGCAGGGGTGAGGCAAAGATGAATAGGACATGAGGAAATAGAAGCCTGACTATAAAACCGTATAAGAAGAGGAGGAGGAGAGAAGGGTATGGTTTAAATGGATGTTCAGAGGCAACAGATCCCCTCCAGCTGAGGGCAGAGGCATCAAATAAGGCTCCATGGGTCAAACGCCCCTTGAGTTAAGATTTGAAAGTTGGCTTGGCTATAGGTATAAGGAGAGTACACTGGGGAGATCGCACAGTAAAGTGGCCCTCCAATCACCTTGAGAGGAAAGCAGGTCAATGAGGGGAACTAGAACACCAAATGTGAGATATGCAAGTGTGTGTATGTGTGCGGGCTTCCTTCATTCCTTTACTGGATGTGGAAAGAGCAGGAAATGTATGTGAGATGAAAATTCACCACCTTATTTTTCAAAATAACATCAACCTGTGGCATTTGGAAGGAATTTAAGACAGAGCCACAGCCATATACTCACCCATGTCACACTGTAACATCTCTGGGAAAATGGGCCAGGCTCTTGGCATCTGTGTGTTTACAGATATCTACACAATCCACTGCTATAGCATCAGTCCTTCCCTGAGCACTGGTCTGATCTCCCCAAATTCATTCAGCTGATCCATCCTTCCTGCCCCTCCTCTATAGCAGAACAGAACACTGGTCGGACTCTCCCTCCCAACTTTGTTAAAGGTGGCTCTCTCTCTCGGTCCCTATTTACAGACAGAAATTTAGTAGATCATCATGAAGGTTTGGCTGGTGTTTTTATACCTACTCATTAAGCACTTTTATTTTATTTTATTTTATTTTTAATTGTTGCAGAGAATGTCAGGGTCCCTCCTATATTCTCTTGTTCCACACCAGATCTTGTCTGCAGCTTGGATGGACAGTCCTGGATGTGCTGCTGTCTTCCCACCAGGAGCCCGTGCATCTTCCTCGGCTTGAGGTCTTGCTTTGGCCACAGGTGCACACTTGGCCAGGGAATGGGGCAGATGGGAAGTGTTAGGGAGCTCACGCCCCTGAAACAACTCTAAATCTGTGAGGGAAGGAGATGGTACATAAATAGCCAGCATCCTGGCCCCTCAGTGGACAACCCTACAGTGTGCTCCAGAATCTTTCACTAGGTCCTCAGCAGTGGGAGCCCTGTTTGACTATAGCAGAAAACTGCCCATTGATGCACCCTTTGTTGGCCTTTTCCCTTCCCTGTATCACTGCCCCATTCTCTCACCATGTTTCTGGAGATCACTTCTCAAATAAACTACCTGCAGTAAAAGCTTGTCTTGGGATCTGTTTTGTTTGTTTCTGTTTTTTTTTGTTTTTGTTTTTGTTGTTGTTTGTTTTTTTGAGACAGAGTCTTGCCTGTCACCCAGGCTGGAGTGCAGTGGTGCAATCTCGGCTCACTGTAACCTCTACTTCCCGGGTTCAAGTGATTACCCCACCTCAGCCTCCAGAGTAGCTGGGATTCCAGGTGCCTTCCACCACTCCCAGTTATTTTATTTTATTTTATTTTTTGTATTTTTAGTAGAGATAGGGTTTCACCATGTCAGCCAGGCTGGTCTTGAACTCCTGACCTCAGGTGATCCACCCACCTCAGCCTCCCAAAGCAATGGAATTACAGGCGTGAGCTACCTCACCCAGCTTGGGGTCTGTTTTTGCAAGAATCTCAGCTAAAACCCTAATCATAGTTGAATAATTAACAAGCCTGCACTTAATTTTTGCACAGGACTAACACACCTGTGACTCCTAGGCTCTTTTCCATGGATACTTCTTGAGAGTTCTCATCACTTAGCGTGACAGAACTCTCACCTTCCTTAGGGAAGTAACACCTGCCTAGCACTAATTCAGTTTCGGCCAAACATTCATATTGAGACTCAGACTGAATCAGGATTCCTTGAGTCTCATTTCCTATATCTAAAAAATGGGCAAGAGAGGGAAGAATGTCTTCAGCATAAACCAAACACCATAGATAGACAGACAGATGCTGATCTACTGCTCCTATTGCATATTTTGTGCAGTTTTTCTTTTCTTTTTTCCTGCTAAAGTCAGGGGAGGGAAATTATGTTGCTAAGTTGCTTTCTGTGGCCAGGCGCAGTGGCTCATGCCTGAAATCTCAGCACTTTGGGAGGCAGAGGCAGCCGGGTGGCTTGAGCTCGGGAGTTAGAAACCAGCTTGGGCAACATAGTGAAACCCCACGTCTACAAAAACAAAATACAAAAAATAAGCTAAGTGTGGTGGTGCATGCCTGTAGTCCCAGCTACTTGGGAGGCTGAAGTGGGAGGATCACCTGAGCACAGAAGGTTGAGGCTGCAATAAGCTGTGATCATGCCAATGCACTCCAGCCTAGGCAACAGAATGAGATCTTGTCTCAAAAAAAAACATTGCTTTCTGCTGCCACCTTAGGAACCTGGGGAATCCCCTGAAGGGTTATGGACAGTGACTGTAGCCAGAAGCAGCATCTCCCCTGTTCTACTGTCAGCCAGTACAGCCCATGAGGAAGGATTATTTATAAAGAAAGAGTTCTATGTGCTCTGCTCATAATGTTAGGATCCTAACCGACATTGTGAGATGGAGCCTCCTGTTAACATAAAAAATAATAACCAATGCCTGCTTGGCCCTTGCTGTGTGAACAACACTGTGTTGGCATCATCTCATTAAGTCAGTCTGACATCAACCCTGCGATGCAGGCAGGGGTGGGGATTGTATTTAAAATCTTTAATAGCTGCTATGACAGATGCAGAAACCCATGAGAACCAAGAGTGACACAGTTGCACATGCCCTGAATATTTGCCTTGGTTGAAGCTTCTTATTACTCCCACTTTACAGATGAAGAAGATGAGGCTTAGGGATTAAGCAACTAATCAGAGCTCAAATAACTGGTAGATCTGAGGCTCTGACTGTGCAGCCTCCTTTGTAACCAGTGCATCCCACTGCTCAGATCCTTAAGGACCAGCCCCTTCATAAACAAATCAAGACTGACCTGGGAATGGGCTCTGATCACCCACTCCAATCATAGCTTTAAAGAAAAGCAGCTCACTTTTGATTTTAAAATTCCCTCTGAAAACGATGGAACTCAGACACATTAGAAAATCTTAATGGAGCCCCAAAGAAGTCCATGTTACTGACCATCCCCTAATATAAATTCAAAAGTCATTATGCACAGTCCACACTAGCGTTTAATGCTTCAACCAATGAGACAGCTAACAGCTAGGCTAACACATTAGCAACTCCAGACAACCAAGGAATTTCTAACATCCTGAGCACCATTGCTAGTGGCAGAGTCTGGGGGAAGGGAAAGGCCCTAGATGTTTCCACCACAAAGTTACTTAGTTAAGCGCAGGTCTGTTTAATTAAGTCGTGGGCAGCACATGCTATACTTAGCTTTTAAACACTTGTAAAGTCCTCTTCATTCATTTATCTTACTTGTCACTGACAAGCTCTTCAAGGACTGTAACAGTATGCAGAGCATGAAGAGCCTGGGTAAACAACACATATTTTATGTGGAGTCTAAACTGTTTCAACTCAGAAAGTCAATAGAGGGTCTCTGAAAAAAACTCCAGACTCTTCTACTACAGTGTGGAAACATTCTGTGCATGGTCTGTTAGGAGTTTCTTTAGAAAGTGAACTCCAAATAAAATCCTAATTTTTTAACCCAAAGGTAAAAAGACAAAAATAAATAAATAAATAAATAAATGGAGGAGTGGAAGAAGAAAGGTGGGAGAGAATGAAGGAGACTGGGAATAAATAAAGGAAGGAAGAAAGGAGGGAGAGAGTGAGGGAGGGAAGAGAAAGAGGAGAGAGAGAGAGAAGAGGAGAGGTAAGGAGAAGAGAGGGAAGAGAAGACAAGAGAAGAGAGAAAAAGAAAGGAAGGAGAGAGGAAAGACAGTGTTTGCAGGTATTGAGATTCGGACTCTAGAATTGTGCTGACAAGTGAAGACAACATTTTCATTCCATTCATAATCCAACAAATATTTATTATCACTGGTTTAGGGAGAACTGGCATCATCAAAACAGCTCCCTAACTAATGAATGGGCAAAACAGCCTCGGGGTATCGCCTAACAGAATTGGCCAATAGGCTAGAAACTGGAGCGTGAACATTCTAGTAGAACTCTAGGAGCATGTGAGATTCTAGGAGAATGTGAGGTTGAGTAAAAGCCAGCAGCGCCCTCCGAAAGAGGCCGTGAGAGTCTTAAACAGGGCTATGAAGAGAGGGGTTCACATACCCTTGGAGGCAAGATAATTCACAGGGAGTAAATGAACTGCTCAACAGTTACATATTTACTCTAAAATATATTAAAATAAATTATAACAAGCACATCAAAGAGAGGTTTCATAGAAATTATGTCTTAGGATGTGGAAAACACTGTGAAGGTAATCCTCAAAATGTCTGAAGCTTGAGACACCACCATCAGAAGGGAAGGGTAAAGCAAAGGAGAACGGACTGGGCAAGCAGAGGAGACTAGAAACTCAGGTCAGCCCAGAGAGAATGAACATGTCCTGAGAACTGTGGGAGGACGGAAGGACGCTCTCCTTCAAGGGCTTTGACCTTCGCGCAGAAGTGGAAGCAAATGCAATCTGGGCCTGCTCCCAGTTCTAAAGCAGAATGGAAGGGCATAAACCTCCCAGCACCTCACCTCCTTCAAAACAAAACAAATGACCCCCCAAAGGGGGAGAGAAGGGATGGGGTGAGCCATGCAAAACATGTGGTGGGGCTGTGTTGGCCAGCACCGAGCACAGTTTTGACTCCAGGAGGTGTGGAGACAGCCAGGAGAGGCTTGGCAGCTGGGAGGGAGAACGAGACAGGGAGAGGCAGCCAGGCCCTTGGAGGGGGAACAAATCCCTCTCCCCAGCTGGTCTCACGCTTGGGTGAGACAACTGGAGAAAATGTAAACATGCTCATTAGCAGTTTTCCAATCAGTTGAAAAACAAATGGGAAGAGAAAAATGGCAGGCGATTGTTCCAAATACCAACTCTCTGCCACATCTCCTCAGGTGTTTATCAGAGTTGCCCGCTGTGCTGTCCTCCCTTTCGTCTGGATCACAACACCTTTACTAGCTTTACACGGAACACTTGGAGCTCACCCTAACTAGGGTCGATTTAGTTCTATGAGGAGTCACATACTCCACTCAGGATAGAAGGTCTCTGTGGACACCCCCAGAGATGCACAAACAAGACAGGGACATCATTTGCAGGTCTCCCCACAGCCTCATCCAAGCTGATATTCTCTCAGTACATGAACATGAAAACTCATCAATAACCCCTACCTCTTCTCCTGCGATAACTTACCCCCCCAAAGAAGAGGCAAAGTGGAAATTTTGTGAATCTGTGTGTGAATCTGACAGAAATCCAATTTCCAGAAAGGATGAAGTTATACTCAAATTTCATCTGGAAATGTCTACTGTGTTGAGTCATATGGTTGTTTTTTTTTTCCTAACACATCAACTTGAATTCATTGAATGGGTACATTTCAAAAAACACTTTCTCTTAGTCACCTATTTAAGGTGGAATCCAAAAAGCCTGGTTGTCTGTGACCCTGAAGTTGAAATAGCTTAAGTACAAAATGTCCAAATGTATTTAAACTTGAATCTGAACAAAAATAGATACTAAAGTACATAACTGATGTTTCTTGATAGTACTAGGAAAAGGCGGGTAACTTGAAAGTTGGGGAGACCGTCTCGTAGACTAGAGAATTTTAGGGCTATTTCAAATCTCTCCCCTACAAATAAGGACTTGCCAGAACAACCCAAATTCATAAAATGTTAATACTGGGCCACATCTTCAATTAGTGAATCCAAGCTTACTACTTTACAGAGGGGAGACTGAGGCTCCAAGAGGGGGAAGGTTAGTTGCTGATGGGCCCAGGAGAAACCCCCAGAATACTTGACAGCTGGAACCTGGCCCTGTCCTTGCCCCTGGCCGTCTTCTCATTTGATTTGCAACTGCAGATGAGTCCACCATGTCCATGACCTGTAACACCACAGGCCCGACTCATGTCATTGGTTTTGCGTTCCAAAGTACTATGGTATTAATTTCCATTCTTTCAGTCTAAACAGCATCAAACACCTAATCATTTTGTTCTTGATGGCTACAGATAGGTTAAGGAATTTTCCATTTCCTTTGAGATAGGAGCCTCACTTCTCTAGCAGAACTACTGATTAGGCTTTATAATTTTTCTTTTTTAAATAACATCTGTAAGTTTTTATTATGTAAATCATACATGCTAGTTATGAAAAATTAAAGAGTACAAAAGAGTTTATAAAAAGAAAAGTAATGTTCTCCCTCCCTCTGCTCCAATATTTATTCCCGCTGTTAAGGTTTTTCTGCCAATCTTTCTAAAAAATTTTGTGCTTAATGCAAGCACAGACACACATACTTACCCTTTACAAACAATATCTCCAATATTGTTCTTCCACATCAAGAACATAGAGAGCTTCCTCATCATTAATGGTTGCATGTTATTCCACTCTATGCGTATACTTTTGTTTACCAGTCCTCTATTGATGTGTTCAAATAGAGACTCCAAAAGGGAAGATATCTTTTTTTCATTTTATTCCAAGATGCATCCCAAGCACCTAAAGCACTGCCTGGCACATATGGACATATAATAAGTGTTTGTTGAATGAATAAGTGATGGGCATTTGGGTCATTTCCAGCTTTTCATTTTTTCCAACAATGCTTAAAACAATATTTTTGCAAAGGAACAGCTTTGCTTGTCCTAATGTGTTTGTTTCCAACAAAGACGGATGCTTAAACATATCATAGCTGTTTCTATAATGTGCTAGGAAAAAACAAGTTCAAGAGAGAACCCTAAAATAGAATATACACATTTTAAACTTGGAAGGATATCACCAAATTCCCTTCAAAACTGTCAATCAACATCCAGCCTGTACCTCTTTCTCTATGCTGTGCTAACATGGAGTTTCTCCAAACTCTTTAATCTTCAAAAATATGATAGGTAAAATATTGTATCCCATGTGTTCCCTAATTATAATTTGAAGCTGAGCATAATTTCATTCATTTAGTGTCTATTTCTACTTCATTATCTGTGAGCCCCCTTTTAATGTCCTTTTTTCCCACGTTTCTTCTTGATCATTTGGGAACTATCTTCTTATTTGTTGTGAGAATAATTGTATATCTAAAGAAAATTAGTTGGGGCTGATTTCAGGAAGAGAAGAGCATAAGTGAAGGTGGGAAGAGGGCACATAAAAGCAGGCCATGCAGGGAAGGGAATTGTGCAGACAGGTGAGAGGCGAGGATGCCCAGGAGCCCAGTCATTTGAACACTTTAGGTGTTCTCTTGAGTAGAAGAGAAAAGGGGGGAAAGTGGTAGGTAGTTGATATGCTGGGATGTGAACAGAGTTGGCCTCTGTTGAACCATTAGCAGGAATAAATGTTAGCAGTTGATATGGGGCTTTACTTCTCTGCAGAAGATTGTTGGGTTTTTTGAGTGTTAAGCATGCAAATGCCACTCATGCTTGTGTTGGTAGAAACAATCTAATACAACCTGCTTTCCCAAACAAGACTTCTCTTTGTAGCCATCCTGGTGGATGGTGGTCCAGTCTTCATTCCTTATCACTGGAGATGGGAGACTCAATAGCTATTTGATAATGTATTAAGCAGCTTAAATAGGATGCTCCCTGCCTCCTACACTCATATTTTGAGCTTTGTACCTGCAGTTGTACCCTACTTCTGCCTTTTTGGGCAGCTCACGTCTTCAGATATTTGAATACAGTTATGCCCATTATCTATTTGTTGTTCTCTCAACTAGTCACTCCCCACTTCTCCTAGTCCTCTCTCTGTACCCCATTGCACAAGGTGCTACTACATGCATCAAGGCTCCTTTGAGAGAATTCTTTGAATAAAGCCTGAAACTAAGTCTTCACATGTGTCCTTACATCTGCTAAGCATGATTTAAAAATAAGTAATATACTCTTAGGTTCCATTGATTTTTACCATCTGCTGTGCAATGCTAATGCTCTAATTTACAATTGATTAAACTCATATCCTGGTTGTTAGTTCCTCTGCCATTCTCTCTCTCTCTCTCTCTCTCTCTCTCTCTGTCTCACACACACACACACACACACACACACACAAACCCCAGAATTTTAATTCTAAGTATATACTTCATTCTTTTCCTTATTAAAAAAAAATTTTTTTTTGAGATGGAGTTTCACTCTTGTTGCCCAGGCTGGAGTGCAATGGGGCAGTCTTGGCTCACTGCAACCTCTACCTCCCAGGTTCAAGCAATTCTCCTGCCTCAGCCTCCCAAGTAGCTAGGATTACCAGCGCCCGCCACCATGCCTGGTTAATTTTTGTATTTTTAGTAGAGATGGTGGGGGAGTTTCACCATGTTGGCCAGGCTGGTCTCGAACTCCTGACCTCAGGTGATTGGCCCACCTCGGCCTCCCAAAGTGCTGGGATTACAGGCATGAGCCACCGCTCCTGTCCCTTACTAAATATTTTGTTTAGACTTATACTGACTAAATTTGGGTCTATAGTTTCATCTCGCTGAGATGTTTCTCAAGTCTGATTTTGTCTGCCATTGTTTTTGGTAAGCTACATGGCTTTGATGCATCCTATTTTCACCAAAAAGCATGTTTTCAAAGGCTTTGTATAATTAGTTCCTTGTACATGCTGGCAGGTCACAGCCTAGCTCCTCTGGCAACCTCCCTATAGAGGTGACAGGATTCCCTAATCAACCTGCCTATTATAAAGCTGTTCAATCAACTATAAATCCATCCATCCAGTCCTTATTTCTCCATGTGGTAAAAAAGCTATTCATATACATATAAGTTTGTCCTGTTGTATTCCTAGCTGAAATCTTGGTACCCTGGTACCCTGCGACTATGCCATTCCCTTGACTTGTCTTTCTATCAACCTTATCAAAAACCAAAGTGACGTTAGCATTACTTAATCTTCAGGAACAAATAAATCTTAGTGATTGCTGATTTTATTCTCATTTCATAAGACATCAATTTAAAGACTTATTTTGCAATCTAGGTGAGGACCAATATTGAACCTATAGAACTTAATCAACATGACATTTGTCTTTTAGGCATTTAGTGGTAAAGTTCTGGAGGTGGGTAAAATTCAGAAAAGCCTAAAAAAATGGAAAGTTAATTTCTGTCTTCTTTGGGTGCTTTCATCCACTGTTGGCAGGATTTTAAGTTGGCATAAACTTTCTCAAGGGCAATTTGGCACTAGGTATCAAAATTTAACATATGTCTACCCTGTGGTCCAATAGTCTCTTCCTGAAAAAAATGTTGGAGAAGAACACAGGGATGAATACAAAAGGGTATCACAGGGATGGCAATCATAGGAGCAGTTAATGAGAAGTAACCAAAATGTCCATATATTAGGCTTTGGTTTATCAAATCATTAAATAGCTGTTATTCCTATAATGAAATATTCAGAAGCCAGTCAAAAGAGTGATACGTATTTGTATTCACCAGAAGGAAAGTGCATCACAACATATAATTAAATGGAAATAAAAGCAGGCTGTGAAACAACATGTTCATATAAAATAGTATATAAAAGTCTACATTTAAATATATATATGGGTTTGTATATATGTGTGTGTGTGTGTGTGTGTGTGTGTGTATATATATATATATATATATATATATATATATATATATATATATATGAAAAGTACAGAAAGATGAGCACCAACCATTTATAATTATTGCTGGGTATTTGGATTTTAGGGAATTAATTTTCTCCTTTATTCCTTTCTATATTATTTAAATATTCAATCAGGTACAAGAAATAATAAAACAATAAAAAAAAAAAGGTTTCTCTGCTCCCTATACAAAAATGCAGAGATATAAATTACATCTCATATTAGGGGGAGATACTGTTGAAATCATTTTAGTTCTGGGGAAAAGACTCCTGAGACTGAGAATTTTGACTTTGGAGAATTGAGACTCCTGTTGCCTTCTATTTTAGTGAACTACAACAGTCCATTCAATGGAGCACCCTAACTTACTGGCCACAGCTTTCCTCCTTCCACCTTAATCTTTTAAAATTCCAATTTCTCCTAACAACCAGCATCACCAATCTCTCTTAAGTTTAGCAAACTGCAATGACAGGCATGGTTGTGTCTATGCACAAACAGCTGGATGGGAAAGGAAAGGTTCCCAAGACCCTGTCAGGCTCTGAACCAAGACACTAGTGCCAAATTCAAGTCCTCCCCCAAGAATCCAGGGGACCTCGGCTGGATCAAGTCACTGTCTATCTGAATGTCACATCATGGGCCTAAGATTGGGAGTATCTCTTTGCTGGGTCTTTTCAAGTTGAGAGAGTTAATAGTATAGCTCTAAGTTCAGAAAATATCTTTTAATAATACAGCGATGCAACAATGTATAGGCTAAAGTCATGCAAAAAAATTTTTCTCATTCCCACACACTGAACTTGGTAATTATATAGAAGCTTGGACATTAAGGACCCAGACATAAAGGAGTGGATTAAAAAGCATAATTATGGCTCAGAAACAGCATGTGCCTGGGGACACTGCCAGCCAAGTCCTACCCTACAAAACAAAACAAAAAAAGGTATGCTGTGGGGTGTTTTTTTTCCTCTCTGCCATTTTGGGAAATAACCCATTAAAAGAATAAAGCACCATAATGATTATTTAGGAACAGACATGATTTGGAAACTGGTAGAAAAATAGGTCTTTAGTTCTGGAATTTTAAGGTTAATGGCCCAAGGATCTCTCAGACTCTGAAGCTTTATAGGACATTTTATTTGAAATCTGTGCTCAAGGGAATATACTTCAAATTTCCATGTCTCAAAAGCTGTACAATGGAAGGAAGCTGTTATTTTACTCTTGGAGTGGTGGTTGGGGGATGCATTAATGAAAGACCCAAATCATAACCTACTAACCACAGCTAAGTATGCAGAAAATAAGAACATGCCCTAGAAGGCACCCAACCTTCATCAAACCCAGGGCAAGCTTTCATGAGCAGAATGACCCAGCAATCTAATCTCAGCAGCCATTTTATCATTAATTGAAAATGCTGGTTCCAAGCTGACTTTGTGTTGACAGTTTTCATATCACACTCTTTCTTAAGAATACACAGTGGCTCCCTATGTCATGTGCATCAGATAGAAACAGTTCAGTTACTGGGCAAAGCCAACCTCTCACTTTCCTTCTTTAACAATCCACCTCCTCCCAGCTTCCCCCACAGAAACTCTCCCAAAGATTGTCTGTCTCTAATTACAAGCACACAGACTGATCTCAACTCTTGTGCTTCCCTTGCTAGAAATAACTTCTCCCTACAAAACCAGGTACTTCAGCCTCCATAACAGTTGGGTTCAAAATGTACCTTATTAAGAAAATTTCCATAACTAGCAGGGTCCTGGAGAGTAAAGAAAACCACAAGTGGGATCAGAAGGCCTGAGCCAAATGGTCAAAGTTAAGCCACTTAACAGCTGTGAAACTACCTGCAAGTTATTTAACCTCTCCAATTATGTGCAAAAGGCATCAGCAAGCCGCTTGATATCAAGGAAGCTGCTCTAGATACCTGAGCTAAGTCTGTGGCTTCTGATTCCCTTTTATAGCCCTTGAAATTCTGGAACAAGGTCCAGACCCTCTCTGTGCTCAATAAACTCTGTGGATCAACTGTCTGTCTTACCCATCATCATGTGCCCTGAGCAAACAGGCTTATCTCCACCTCCACCCTGACTCCTGTGACACAGTCCTATACCAGTCTCCAGTTATACCTTTCCTGGTGACAATTACAGCCCAGAGTGATCCAAAATCTTGCCATTTATTTTACATTTCCAGTAGGTGAATTTGCAAGGCTATCTATATATGGAGACCAAGTGTTTAGGGGCCCAGGGATTCCCACATTTAGGGGTTACTGACTCATTTCATTAGATCAATGCCTCTCAAATGCTGATCTGTCAACCAGATCTATCAGCTTCTTGGTGACTCTCCCCTGAGATTTTGAGTGTGTAGGTGTGAAAGTGGCCCTAGAGTAGGTATTCAGTGAAGGAGGAAAAAAAGCTTGCTGGGCGATGTTAAAACAGAGTCAGGTTTTAGGAACTGCTGCTGCAGGTAATCTAACTATTTTAAACATTGAGGCTCACGGACCTTGTTTTTAAAGACTGTGCCTTGAGACAGCCAGAAATAACCCAGAGAACCAGAAGTTAAAATAATCATCTGTATCATTTTTATAATTATTTCCTCTAATTTCCAACTTTAATTTGACACTGTCCTTCTTTACCTGTCAGTCTATGGGGCACAACGTTAAGCCTCTTGGGAGTTCCAAGCTGGGAATTACTGCATGCTAGAAAAGGTCCAATGCTGTTCACTATCTCTTCTTAGCATGTCCCTGCCAAGGAATAATCAGAAAAGGCTTCTTTAACCTTCTCCTTCAAGTTTTCTCCTTTCTCCCTCAGGGATGCCTCTCTGGGGTCCAGGGAAGCTTTCATGCCCGTAAAGACCTTGGTGTTGTTGGACATGAAAACCAGCAGGCACATATACTAACTTTGTCCCTGAATAAGTATGTGGTTTCTGTTTGGTTTGTTCGAGAAGCTCTTTTTTGGATTTGCACTTCAACACCGTAAGAGATCTGAGAAACATCCTAACATCCTGGCAAACTGTCAGGAGAACAATCGTTTGACTGGAGAATGAGGCCTCTCCTTTCCCAGAACTATCCTTTGCATTCTCTGAGTTTGAGAATAAATATAATAACAACCAAACAACCATAAAAGTTAGACCCAAGCCTTGACTTCAGATGGCTCAAGGTGAGGATAATAATCTACAAATCAATCCACAGATCGTGCAGAAGGGAGGAAAGATGTTGTGCTGGTTCCCTGATCCCTATCTGGGGTCCCAGAGTTCCATGGAACATTCCAGAAGTAATTTGGCTTTGTGCTCAGTGCACAGGGACTAATGTTTTTCAACAAAATTTCATAAGGAGATGTCGGGATAATTTTGGGTCCTGCTCTCAACAGAAGCTGAAAATTAGGTGTGGCTAAGAAGACAGGATCAGGCTTTTTTATGTGACCGCTGTTCTGACAAAGTACCCAAGCAGTGAAAAATTGTCTGCCTTATCACCACAGAGAATTTATGATGGATTTGTCCAAGAGGAGTCCTGCTCATAAAAGCCTGCAAAACAGATCTATTAAAACAAACCTCTAATTATGAACAGAACAAGAATCCCACTGAGATAATTTTGCAGCTATAATATCAAGAAATTCAATAATCCCAAAGCCCAGTCACAGAATCATCCGACTTGAGAAGATTTGAGTCCGTTAAGGGTGATTACTGGGCACGCATGACTGACCACCAAACTAGGTGAGATGCTGCTGATAAAAGAAAAAAGAACAGGACAACAGCTTTCAACTCAAGCCATTTAAAATATCCAACAATGGCTTACAAGATAAAACTGTTTGGCAGCAGAAAGGGGGAACCTATTATCAAGTATATTTTCTGGACCAAATACCAGAAATGTAAGTAAGATGACAGGATGTGCCAGAGGTCATGTAAATGTGGGTGACCTGGTAAAGGAATGTGGAATGCCTGACTTCCAGCCAGCACTTAGCTCCTTCCACTGTGGAGGAAGTAAGGACCAAGGTCAGAAGGATGCTCTGCCTGCCCCTCACAGACTCTCTCCATGCTCAGCGGAGTTATTATTAGACTCAAGCATCACACATCACTCTAACATTTTCCTCAGAGAGAAATCTTAGGTTTCTTCTACTTCCTCAATTCTTCTGGTCTTGGTCAGGACATTAATATTTGTTGAACAGCATGTTTTTAAAGTGGAAAGATATTTCAAAAATCAAATATTCTGGTTTGTTTCAAAGAACATGTTCTCAGCTAAAGCCTGATTCTTTCTTCCTGTGGGGGTGAGCCACAGTTGGCAATGATTCACCGAAATTTCCACCAGCTAACAATAAAAAATTATGTCCCATTCTGAAGAAACAAAAGAAAAATTGTAGTGAAGTCGTACATTTCCTTTCCAGTCCCCAAAGACAATCTGAAGAACTGATTCAACATGCCGAATTAAGCCCTGAGAATTTATCCATATCTAATAAGGATTAGCAAATGTTACAACACTGAACATGGCTTGGACATAATTTATATTCCAACTTCTAAGCCATTGGGTTTAGTATGGTCTCATTCCAGCCGTGACATAGGAGGATACAGAGAGCAGTCATGCTGTGTCCTCTGAGAATCCCTGCATGACAAGCAGGAGGGCTCTTTATGTGAAAAAAGGTTTCTTTACACAGGACCAGTACCCACAGAACCAGAATGTGATAACTAAGTCTAAAGAACCACTGAGGGGAGATGTGCAGCTTCCCTCAAGCCTAAGAACATTGTTCTAGAAGCAGAAAACCTAGTGATAGAACCCACTCTGCCTCTTGCCAAAGCTGGGTGTCCACCTGCAACTTGGAAAATGTTGGAAACAATTCTAAATTACATATTGGGAGTGAGGAAGATTAAGACTCCTAAACTTGGGGCTAGCAGCTCTGGTTGGGTCTGCTCCATTCCATTTTTCATCCATACTTGCCAAAAGCACAAAGAGGCAACTGGGACATTTGCTCATACTATCTGCTATTAAGATAAATCAGCAACACTTAAGTGTCTGGTTCATAAAAAATAAACCCCCAGAGATTGCTCTTCCCCCACCAATATATCAACTTTTTGTTTCCCTGCCTTAGCAAGGATTGCATCAGTAGAAAGCTCAGGAACACACAGGCTTTTCCTGGAAGCCAAACCACATCTCAAGAAGCCTCAGAAGACCCTGGCCCCAGCAGACCCCCCAGAAGCCTAGACATGCAAACATCATTGTTGGATGGGTATAAACACCCCTTTCCTGGAGGGAAAAATTCTGGAACCCATCCTGAACTGGGTTCTTTCATTCCTTTCTTTCCTTTCTTTCCTTCTCTCCCTCCCTCTCTCCCTCCCTCTCTCTCCTCCCTTCTTTCCCTCCCTCCCTCCTTCCCTTGCCTCCCCACCTCACCTCCCCATCCCCTCTCCTCCCCTCTTCTCTCCCCTCCCCCTTCCCCTCCCCCTCCCATCCCCCTCCTCCTCCTCCTCCTTCTTCTTCCTCTTCTTCTTCCTCTTCTTCTTCTTCTTCTTCTTCTTCTTCTTCTTCTTCTTCTTCTTCTTCTTCTTCTTCTTCTTCTTCTTCTTCTTCTTCTTCTTCTTCTTCTTCTTCTCTCTCTCTCTCTCTCTCTCTGTCTATCTCTCTGCCCCTCCCTCCCTCCCTCTCTTTCTTTATGAGACAGGGTCTCACTCTGTTGCTCAAGCTGAGTGCAGTGACGCAACCATGGCTCACTGCAGCCTTGACCTCCCAGGCTCAAGCAATTCTCCTGCCTCAGTCTCCCGAGTAGCTGAGACTACAGGCACATGCCACTGCGTCCAGCTAATTTTTGAGTTTTTGTGGAAATGAGGTCTCACTATGTTGGCCAGGCTGGTCTCAAACTCCTGGACTCAAGCAATCTTTCCGCCTTGGCCTCCCAAAGTGTTGGGATTACAGGTGTGAGCCACCGCACCCAGCTAACAGGGTTCTTTGAAGACAATGTTTGCTCATTCTGTTCTATTTGTTTTTCTTCACAGATAAATGAGTACCTGGCTCCCAAAAAAGCAGAAGAGGGGACCCTATGTTTGAACACTGCCACTCAAGTTCTTTCTTCCTTGGTCAGTGAACAAGTCATGTAGATCCTAGTTTATGTTGAGAGATTGTCACCAGAGATGGTATGGGACCACCATTCCTTGAAGCACAGTGCTACCCTGTGGGGAAGAATAAGATAGCCCCATCTTTCCACCTCACAACTAAGATCAGCATCTTGTACATTTCTTTAATCCTTAGGGGTTTTAAAGACCTTGCCCCAGAGAAGATGCTTCAAGATAATGCTTCTCTGTGAGTTAGGTAGGAAACAATGTACCCATTTTATAGGAAGGTAAGTTGACCTGCTCAGCATCATACAACTAGTGAGTGGAGGTGAGTCAATGAGCAATCTTTGGAGCTTTCCTTCTTCACTGTTGCCTTTGAAATCTAGAATCCCCCAATATTTCCTGATGGGGAAAATGGCAATTGTATCTTGATGGGAAAGCAAATGGGCAGAGTGCTGCCTTTACGTGCAGATTAGCTGAGTGTGTGTCCTGGCCCAACCACTTATCAGCTCTGTGACTTGGTTTCCCCATCTGCAAAGTGGGCATAATGATGGTACTGCCTCTTCAAGTTTTTGTGGGGACTATAATAAAACAAAGGCACAACACTGTGCCTAGTATACCATTTCTTGAAGAAGTGTTAGCTGTGTTAATGTTCTACTGAACAATGCATCTTCTCTACTCAACTGTAGGCTCTGCAAAAGCGAATCCTGCCAATTGCCTGTGCATCCTCAAAGGCCTTGTCATAGATCAAGTACTTAACGTACTATGTGTGAATGCACTGGAATAATCTCAGACAATCAAAACTACAAGGGCTTAGAGGTCTGTTAGCTTCTCTCTTTTACTTTACAGATGGGGGAACTGAGCCTGTGAGAGAGAAGCAAAATGAGCTGCCCAAGGTTTCTCAGTGCATTGGGACCAGAGCTGGGCTAGAACTCTTGGGTCCATTCTCAGACCCTGAACCTTCTACTGCCTGCCAGGGCTCCCCTGGGGAGGTGGGTTGCCTTGCTTTGTTTAAACTTTTAACATTACACTTTAAGGTGGCCTTTGCATCAGACATCTCAGCGAGCATTAGACCCCCAAACCAGGAAGACTGACAACAGAAACTCTGCCTGGCTTTGTGATCCACATACCTCCTTCCTACCCCAGCACCCTAAGTGGCTTCATCACACCCAAGGTGGCCCAGAGCCACCTTTCTGGTTGGCTTCTGAGCTGTGTTTGTAATTCTAGGAGTGCTGGGCCATGAGAAAGAGGAAATAAGCCAGCTGCAAGATAATCAGTTAATTGTAGTTTCTGGGGCGTAAGAACAGCCTTGGATTTAGACCTTCTGAGTTGCCATTCTTGTGGGTTTTCACTGTTTTCTGGGATGACCACCTCTCTATCTGATCTAAAGTTATAGTCTTTTTGCCCAATTCCATTCCCAGGCTGTGTCAAAGATCATTTGAATGAAGATTTTTTGGTTGTGCCCAACGGGGTCATGTCTCAGTGGCTATATCAGGGCAGAGATAAGAGAATGGGGTTGGGTTGTTGTATGCATATTAAAAAAAAATAATAATGTCATCTAAACACTAGTGTTGTGGGGTTCTGGCTCCCCCACCTTGTCAACTTAGCAACTGCACGTGGGGAGCTGGCCCAGAGGAACAGATTCCAACTTTCCTGGCTGCAGTTTGTCCTCACTGAGGTCTCCCCTCCATGCACAGGGCTTCCACATGGCTCACCCCCCACTTGGCTGGAAAACTCTAGTGCTTTCCCGGGCAGGGTATCTGTGGAACACCCTATTCAAAATCAGCTCCCCAAATCCCTCATAGAGCATCATCTTTGGTTTTTCCCATAGTATTTATTATCGTGCAACATGCCCTACATTTGATGTCTTTATTTTGTTTCTTGTTTCTTCACTGGAATAGTTGGGGCAGGGAATTGTCTGTTTTGTTCACTGTTGTGTCTCCGGTGTCCAGATAGTATCTGGAACGTAGTACATGCTCAACAAATATTTGCTGGATAAACTGCCTACTTCTTTCCATGCCCACCTAAGTTTTGAAAATCTCTCTCTGCCTCTTGTTGTCTCTGTTTACTGATCACTTGCACTTCCTGTAGTAGGATTCTGCCCCAAATCTATGAGTGGCATGTTTTCAGAATGTAGCCTGAAAAATTTAACACGAACAGTTGACATTTATTTAAATATTTACGAATGTCAAGTCCACTGTAGGAGACGGCCATTTCTTAATGCTCTAAAATCTTAAAACTACCCACAAGTCTAATAATTCAACTCTTGGGCATTAATCCTAAAGAAAATAACATAAAAAATAAAAGACTTATGTACTAAGATGTTCATCACAGTGTGATTATAAAAGTGAAAAGCTAGAAACAAATCAAAATCCCCAAAACAGAATGGTAAAATTAATGACTGCAAAATGATGGAAATCATAAACCAAGAAATATGTTTTCGAAGGCTTTTAAGGACATGGGAAAATGCACAAAATATTAAATGTTTAAAAGGCTAAACAAACTTTATTATGTAGTATGTCATGTCTTTGTTCAAATATATATGTAGACAATGGAATGTAGGAAACTATAAATCTTAGTGACAGTTATTTCTGAGTAGTGGGATTATGGGTAACTTTAGTTTTTTATTTACATTTTTTGAAGTTTCTATTATGAGCAAATATTATTTCTATGATAAAAGATGTATCTCTATGCTTTCAACTATGGAAAAGCTCATTTACATAGAAAGAATGCTACAAAATCAAATCCTTATTACCTTTTAATCTAGTGCATTATTAAGGGGTAACATTGAAAAAAAACAATAAACAAGGGAGATTCTGGAACTTTTAGTGTGTTGCAGAGAATCAAAAGAAGAAAGTGACATCTTCCCCAAAAGAATATAAAGTTGAGAAAGATTAAAGGCAAACTACTGGAAATTTTAAATTCCAAGTCTGATAAATGTCTTCCTGTAATCATGAGAGGAGAGGGTGAAAAATCCTTTTCCTTAATTTTCAGGAAAAAAATCCTGATACTATTATTTGAAAAAGCTGAAAAAGAAGAAGTTCTGAAGCCAGGAAAGGACAGACCTGGTGTGCACCACAATGGTGATCAATGACAAAATCAATATCACTTTAACACAGCTTTTCAAGGGGCAGTATGAAGCAAAAAGGAAGTGAAAAGGGGCTTTTCTTTCATTTTGAAATCCAGCATCAGGAGGACACAAGGGCAGGAAGTGGGATCTTTTTTCAATGTATTTGAAATGATAAGGTGAAGACAGGCTGAAAGGACTTTTAATTATATGATGAGAGGAAGGAACGGAGGGAGAGAGAGAAAGGGACCAGGAAAAACCTGGTTTTATATGTTAAATGATGAAAAAGAAAATGTAAAACTAAAGAGAAAAAGGCTTTCCAACAGATACCTTGAGAATGAAACACAAAGGCTGCAGGAGGTAAGTGCCAACATTTCTTGCAAGAAAACCAAAATGACAGCACACTTGATTGAGCCTGCAGCCTTCTCCCCTAGTGGCAACCGGTGATGTCTGGTGATGCAGGAAGAGATAAGTCGCCCTTCCCAGCCTGCACATGGTGGCCTCAGGTCATGGCGGGAGCCAGCAGGGGCCAGGCGAGAAGGGTCAGGAGGGGTGGGGAGTGGTTGCTCAGGGTCACAGAATAAAGCCTTCTTTATTCTGCTTTTTAGCCTCAAGTTTACAGGGGCTAAGACCTAACTGAAGTATTGCACCAATTCAGGGATAGCTCCTGGGAAGAGCATGGAAAAGCTTCAATGTGAGTCCCATTTGGGCTCTGGTTCCACCCCTTACCAGCTGTGGCATCTCTGCATAGTTCCTGAACCCAAGTTTCCTCATCTGTAAAACAGAATTATTAACATCTGGTTTTTAGGGTTGTCATGAGGATTAAATGAGATAATATATTTAAAATCCCTAGCCCAATGCCAAGTATACAATAAGAGCTCAAAAACTGTTGGTTCCTCACATTCTAAAATGTGAATAGAAAAACAATGATGAAAAGCAAGGTCTCTGCACACATTATACCCACTCCTAAGCCTCACTGAAGCAATGTCAGTCTAATAACTCCCAAAATCCACACAGTCTAACAGCTGGATTCCTCCCCACAAAGCCTAATGGCTCCCTGGTGGCCAACATCTTGGGAAGTTTCTCCTGTACACACTCTACTTTGGTGGTGGATCTGAATGTTCTCTGAGGCGGTAATGAACAGGTTAAAGTTGAAGGGATTTCAAACATGTCTAATCCAATAAGAGGCTTGGTAAAACATGCGTTATCACTTAAAGAATAAATGTTTAAAAATAGAGCACAGATGTGAAATTTGAATAAAAAGAGAGAGAGAGCACAGTGAGAGATCTTCTTGGCATTTGCATGCTATTCCCTGTTTTGGTCACCTTCAGCTAAGCCTGTTATTCTGATATGCTCTGCCAACTGCTCAGTGCTGTGGGGTGCTTCAAGTTACTGAAGCAAAGTTGGCAAATCACTCTGAAATTTAAAAATCAGAGCCACCTCCCCCTTTATGCATTTCTAAAAGCCAGGGAACACAATGGTAAAGTTGATCTTTTCAAGTTTTTCTAAACTAATACTTAAAAAGCAAAGAGTGAGTTTCTCCACTCCTCCTAAAACTAGCAATACTTGTACTGGGATCCTTAAAACCCTAAGAGAAAGTATCATGGTTAAATAGGCATTTGTCACAAAAGGTGGGCTACAGATTGCCAATCACAGAATTCATGGGAATTTCTACTTATGTAGAAAGCATTCTCTGATTCCTCCAGCAGGCAAAGGTTTTTGAACTTCAGTAACATCTCTGCAACAAAAAAAAATAGCACTTTGTCCTATTTTATCTTTCATGAGCTAGTATCTATGATACTGCTAGTAGAGATGATAAAACTCCAAGGCTTAAGGACAAAATCAACACCTCCTATAGCCAAAGAGTGCCCATAAGTGCTCCATGCATGTTTAGGGAGATGAACTAAAATATGTTTAAAACAGAGCTTTCACCCAAGGAAGACACTCAAGTGAGAGACTCACACAGTTGGCCATCAGGTCAGCTTGATGCTCTGGGAAGATGCCCTTCTGATAGGGATTTGAAAAATGCATGAAATCAGAGAAAATACTTTGCCTCCATATTCACTGAGTGCTATTTTTTGTTGCAAGGGCAAACTGAGTGGATTCCCTGAGTACTGGGGTTGAGGCACCAGCTGCCTAGGATAAAGAATGTTTCCAGGCTAAGAGAGCAGATGAGTGTCTTACCCAATTGCTTGGACATTAAGAGGAAATTGTTTACAGTAACACTGAGCAGTTCAGGCTTTACCTCCATAAGAATAACCTGCCAGATCTGAGTATTTCTTTTTTTATTAAAAGGGGTTCTCTAGAATAGACTGTAAAGACACTTTGCACTGAAGTCAAAAATAAATAGAGATGTGGCTAGATTCTACCGGTGGGACACAAACAGCTTAACCCAAAGTGGGTCTGCTGTAAAAACCAATACATTTGCATTTTAGCAATTTGATCTGGACCAAGTCTGTGATGCATTACAATGCTGGGATCAAATCAAGCTTTTCTGGAGGTAATCCAAACACAACAGGAGGCTATGGGAACCCTACTGCATGGGGTTCCTCTACTGCTGTTTAACTGTGCTAACCTCCTGAACCATAAAGGGTAATTAAAAGTCATCTGCACATGAAGCACTGAAAGTGTAAATGGGAAGCACAACCGTGGCTTCTAGCAGAGGGGAGAAGAAATGTCTGGCTAAACACTCCACTCAGGTGCTTCTTACTTTCCTGGACAGGACGGGTCTACCTCTGCTGAGATCCAATTTTGACTAGGATTCCATCCTTGTAGGTGGCTCTCCTGAACACATTCCAGGGCAGCCTCTGCCTTCTCCCATTTTTTACCACATCTGCGACTAATCCTTGTAGACTAATCCTTGTAGACAGTCCTATGATTTTCGGACAACACAGGGCAGAGAGGCTCTACCTAAATAGATTACATTACATGCAACTTGTTATGGCCTCCAGAATGTTTACCTAGACATGGGACTTTTTTTTCTGCAAACCCCATGGGAGGGGGATCACAGAGAACCAGGGGACTAGTCTCCTGGTCTTAATGCCTTCCTGCTCTAGCTGACCTATGTGTTTCCTGGTGGCCAAAAGCAATGCCCAGAACTGGTAGGAAAAGGAAAAGAAAACCAAGTACAATTTATCTCTGATCTCAAAAATAGTCTAACTAGTTCTGAGAAATAAGCTGGTTCTCATTTTAACTAAACAATAATGTCTGGCCCTCATTTTAAAAAGGCATGTTCATCAAGGATGTGTGTATCACTACTTCAGCACACAGGGGAGCATTTGAGAATACGGCTTACGGGGTAAGATTTAGTTTTAAGCTTTCTTCAAAAACCCCTTAGTAGCAGGCAAATCCAGTGATTTCAGAATTAATTATTTTGATGTCAGTCCTTTTTTCAAGGGTGAAGAAAAAGAGTTGGGGAGATTGGCTCCAAGACACCAAAAAAGGAAAGGTGGTAATTTTCTTATATTTTTTAGAACTGGCCTCCATAGAAAAAGAACCAAATCAAAATTTAACTGATTCCCAATTGAGGCCCTCTCTCAAAACTGCACAAATCTGCAAGCAAGATTATTTTTAAAAAGAAGCGAAGTAAAAGTATCAGAGGTATGTGCCTGTAAAGAAACAGAAGTGAAAGGAATACAAAAGTTGGATAGTTTTAGATATCTACTCTACCAAACTAGAATCAATCCTTTATCTTTTTTTAATGCAACAAGTAGCAGAAAGTTAATTTGTACTGCTCTTTTACCTTTATACCATGCTCAGCCTAGAACTAACCCAAATGTCAACACCTGAAGAGCATCACAAAGATTCTTTTATTGTTAAGCACAATTGGAATTTCTGAACTCATTTCATATCACTTTTAGCTTTATTGACAGATGTTTAACAAGAGTTAAAACATTTCTAGGCAAATTGATTTATGAGATACTCAGGAGTTTTCAGGGATGAAATGGACGGATTCCCTTCATAACAGCAAGCAATCTCTGCTACTTCTGAGAACTCAGTGACATTTTACTCAAAAAGAGCCCAAGAAATTGGAGGAGATTTGAACTAGAAGAAGGTAAAAAAATTTGGAATAAAAGTCCAAAATTGCCGCCACCCCAATTAGTTCAACCATGGAGAAAGTCACTCTGTAAAAGTGTCTTGCAATGTGGCAAGAAAGGGCGTGGTGCCATTTTGTGGTCATCAGTTGACACACAGGCCTCATCTTCTCTATCAAGCCCTACAGACTGGTGGTGGCTGCCTAGAATATTGGGGTGAGAATTATGAGGCTAAGTCTTACCTACAGGGAACAAGGATCATGATTGATCAATGATGTTTCTTTTCTTGCCATCATGATTTATTCATTCATTCATACATTCAACAAATATTTGCTGAATGCCTACTAGCATTCAGCAAATGTGCTAGCAATTGTGTTAGCAAAAGATAACACAATTATCTCTTAGAGATCAATGATGAGCAAAAACTCATGTTACCATATTCTCAGTCCTTATGGAGCTCAAAAACTAGCAAGGCAGATAGCTATTATTAAAATCATCACAAAACAAATGGAAAATTATATCTGTTACAAGTGCTATAAAATGGATAATACATGTGCTCAAAAATGTCAGCTTGGCAGATTTGACCCAATTGAGCAAGTCCCAGAAGGCTTCCCTGGAGAAGTGATGTTGGACTGAGATTGAATGGATGAGTAGGCATTAACTAGGTAAAGAAAAGAGGGAAAAACATTCCAGGCAAAGGGAAGGGTACATGCAAGATACAGAGCACATTGGTTTGAGTTTGTATTTATCCTAACCCCTAGAGGAGCCTGGGAAGGGTTTTCAGCAGTAAGGACTGGGGGGTGATGAGTGTAACCTGAGATTTATCTTTAGAAAGGATTATGTTTCTGCCCACTGAAGTTTGAAAACAGCTGGCCTGGCCTGGAGGCCAGATGTACTTCTTCTCCTAGGCACAGGCAACCCCCAGTGCAGGCCAAGAGTTGGGGAATGGCTACTCTTGTCTACCTGCATGCCTCTTGACAGCAAGGAAGGTCAAGACTTGTACTCTGACGGCGTGTTGTTGAGACTGCCATAAAGTCACGGAGGGTATTTTGTCATCAGCCCTACTCCCACACTACTTAAAAATCTCGTCAGGTGTGACAGGCAAATTCTGGCATGAGTTCTCTTTTGTGGCCCCAACGGAAGCAGCAGTGTTTCCTAAAAAGGCAAGCCAAGCACCTTGAGACTCCATGGAGGCTGGAGCTAGGGGATGTGGAGAGTGAGCTCACTAGGGTAGCCTTAAACAGGCCAGTCCATAGTAGTGATGAGGGGAGCCCTCCCTGTTCTGAGGCTGCAGAGCTAGTGTATTCTGCTTCCTAACTGCACAGAAGTTCTGCCTCAGAATACACCACTCTTAGCAGATCCTGCACAGGAGTCCTACAGTCTATTCCACCCATTCCCACTCTGACAACTCACTTCCTTGCCTCCTTGCTCACTCTACGCCAGCCATATTGGGCTCCTTGCTATCCCCCAAACACACACGTACACTTCTGCTTCATTCCGTCTGCTGGAAAATCCTTCCCCTAGACATCTAAATGGCTCATTCCCTCACCACCTTCAAGTCCTTGCTCCAATGTCTCCTTCCCAATGACACCCATCCTGTCTACCCTATTTTAAATTGTCACCAGATCCCTGATCCTACCCTGGAACTCCTGTTTTGCCTTATACTAGTCTGTATTTTTCTTCTTTTCTACCATACAATTTATGTATTATGTCCGTTGTTTATTGCCTTTCTCCCCCTATTAAAAAGTAAGCCTGTCTGGGTGTGGTGGCTCATGCCTAACAATCCCCACAATTTGGGAGGCCAAGGTGGGAGGATTGCTTGAGTCTCGGAGTTCAAGACCAGCCTGACCTAGCGAGACCTTGTCTCTTCTAAAAAATAATAATAAAACAAGCTAGGCATGGTTGTGCACAGCTGTAGTCCCAGCTACTGGGGAGGCTGAGGTGGGAGTATCGCTAGAGCCCAGGAGTTGGAGCTTGCAGTGAGCTATGATCGCGCCACTGCAGTCCAGCCAGGGTAATGCAGTGAGACTCTATCGCAAAAAAAAAAAAAAAAAAAAAAAAAAAATTGTAAGCTACACAAGGAAGCGGTCTTTATGTATTTTGGTCACTGATGTATTCCATGCCTAGCACTGTAACACAGAGCAGGCAGTCAATGAATACTCGTTAAGTTGAATTCCAATGTGGCAAACATAGCACTTGGTCTCACCAAGCTGCACACTCCTATTAATTCCCATCACCCTGGACAGGTTGGGAGTCACAAGCTGAACCACTGGAACTGGGTTTCTCTGATGACAGCTGTGAGGTATGGGGGCTGATCATGGCTCACAACATTGCTTTAGGGAGTCAGTGTTCAGCCTAGCCACAAGCAAGGTCTTAGCACTCCTGCAGCACCAGGGCCAACGCTGCACCAGATATGAGTGGTTTGATGGTGATTAAGTCATATAGTCTCTTGGACTTTGGTTTAATCAACTCAAAAATAAGGGTGATGCTTTCCTTATTGGGCCAGACAAAATATCTGTTATAGATGATTCCCCAGCACTGCCAGAGAGTCTGGCAGAGTAGGTAGGCAATAAGTTGGTTGATTATAAGGAAAAAATGAGATGATGTTTGTAAACTTAGGTTACCATAAAGCATTTGGCATAGAGCCTGGAAAGTGGTAATCATGCATTCATTCATACAACAAATATTTACTGAGCACCTACTATGTGCCTGGCAATAACTCAGTCACTTGTGGTGGTCTGGGAAGGGGAGAGATTTTCTGTATACGTTGAGCTCAAAAGGCTACCTGGGCTAGGCAGTGTGGCTCACACCCGTAATCCCAGCACTTTGGGAGGCCGAGGTGGGAAGACTGCTTGAGCCCAGGAGTTTGAGACCTGCCTAGGCAATGTAGTGAAACCCCATTTCTACAAAAAAATACAAAAATGAGCTAGGAAAGGTGGGGCATGCCTGCTGAGGTGGGAGGATCACTTGAGTTCAGGAGGTAGTGGCCGAAGTGAGCTGTGATTATACCACTGTACTCTAGCCTGGGTGACAGTGAGACCATGTCTTGAAAAAAGAAGGCAGTCTGAAGAGGGTGGCATCTCTCATGAGCCAGTCTGCCTCAACATCTGCACAGAAGACTGAGCAGGCCAGAAGGGTGGCCTTCCCCTTTCATTGGCCTGGTCCCTGAAAGAGCTCTGCTCTTCCAAGTCAGCCATGCAGGTCAAGACAATTGAGATCTGGGACTCACCCTTCCAGGACTGCCCTCCTTCACTGATATCTATGTGTGCTGCATATACAAACCAAGTACATGCGCAAGTACAGGCGCTATGGGCCTCTTCAGTGCAGGCTGGGACCTGGGGTCCAGGGTTTCTGACATGTCTGCTCACTGCTCCACAAGTGCTTTGGCTTTAGGAGAGGAGGACCAGGAAGCTTAGGTGTCAACATCTATCTGCTCTTTCTGCCACAGTTGCCACAGCTCAACAATGTGTTCTCAACATGTGCCCAGCTGTTTGCAAAGCAGTAATGATGAAATCAAAATTAAACTACCTCTGAGGGTTGGCAGTGATAATGTCAATTAGTAGTAGTAGCAATAATAGTAACATTAATAGTAATAGTAGTTGCAATAGCAGCTTACACATATGAAGCACCTATTATGTGCCAGGCATATGCAAAGCACTTGGTTTACCTTTCACCTCACAATAACTCTTTGAATTGTTAGCCCAATTTACAGATGAGGAAACTGAGGTTGAAGAAGGTTTAGTATCTTGCCTGTAATCACTCAGATAATAAATGTTAGAAACAGGATTCACCTTAAACAGCTTAACTTTGGATGTCATCTTTTATGATCATTTGGCAAAGGGTCTCCTTAAGCATTATGGTATATCCAACTGTGAGGCTGAGCAAGATACCCAACCTCTATGGGCCTCTGGCTTCTTCTCTATAAGAGTATCAAACCCTCAGTCTTGTTGGGAGGTGATGAGTTGATGTATGTAAAGCCCTTATACCCATGCCTAGTACATGATGAGAGCTCAAAAGTATTAGTAATTGTTGTTGATGTGATCAAATAACCTAAGCCTAAGGACTCCAGGCAGAACCCACTGTTTATGAACAGCTGGAGAACATTCTTAAATGGTTTTTTTGGCATCTACTTTACGTTTATGAAGATAAGGAGGCCTCACAATTTCTGGGAATACCATTCTGCTTGACACTCTGAATTTCTCCCTGAACCTGATGGGGTATGTGTGGAATCCGGTAGACTATCTAAAGCCTGAACCCCATCACTTACAAGCTGTGAGTCGTTGGACTGGTTATTCCACACCCTGAGCCTCAGTTATGCTCCCTAGAAAAGGGAGATAATCCTGCACACACTCACATGGTTGCTGTGAGGACTATGGGACAACATCTCTGAGGGACACTGGATACAAGACCCAGCATGGAGTAAATGCTCAATAACAGGGGGTTATTTTGATAGCACATTAATCATTGTTCTTAGAGTCATTATCATTGGCAATAAGGATACTGAAATTCAGGTGATTTTTCCTGCTCTTTGGTGGGTGGGGTGAGGAAGGATATCAGACCTAAATCACGAAGGAGCCCATCCTCTTCCTTCACTGCATCCTTCTCCACAACAGCCCTTTGGACACTGCCTTAGCACATACAGGAGCTGAACTCTGCGTAGCTGAGGTTTCCCAAATGTACCCCATGACACCAAAAACCAAGCTCGTCGTAAAGAATAAAGGCTTCGTGCAGGTTCCCAGGAACAAACTGAAGGACTATGCTCAATCCTTACTGGAATCAAGAAGTGAATTTTCATGATGCTGGGAAAGAAAAAAGGTAGCCTTAAAAATTCCTTACTGGGAAAAGTAGATGGGGACATGAGGAGCAAAGTATCTAAGAGAAAGAAAGGAAAAATTATCCATTCTGCCTGGTAAGAAGGCTTCTGGCAGCCTTTGCTCTGCAGCTCCACCAAGCTAATTCTGCAAGAGCTGACCCTATCAGGTGGCCAAAGTCTGGAACCATTGGTATATACACAATAAATGAAATGACACTGCAAATCATGATCTAATGCTATCATCTATGGTCTCAGTTTTTATGGCCATAGAGTACTGGAAATCATCAAAAGAGGTGAAGGTCAAGGTTGGATGAGCTCTTATGCACCCCCACCCCCAATGACGGGGGCAAGTGTCTCCTTAGCAGCTGACTGACCTGAGACCTTTGGATCATGTATGCATCGTAGCTGGACCAGTGGTACTTGGCCGTAATATCTGGACTGTGGCCAGCACCACAAGTGCATGGTATATTCGAGCTCAAGGGCTGTTTCTTAGGTCTATAAACCTGTGGGAGAAAGCTACAATGGTTAGGTGCAGGAGAGGAGGGTGCAGGGAAGGAATTAGGGAAAAGCAAAGAAAGACGCTCATTTTGACTTTCTGTGGCCAAGTAGGTGGAAAATCCAGTGTAAAAGATGCACAGCTCCAAACAAAGAGGTCAGGTGTAAGCAATCTCTGACCCCTGAGGCCAGCGTTAGCAAGGCATGCCACTCTGTGGAATGACCCCAGTGTCTGGCAGTGACTGGGACCCTCCCTCTACAAGGAGAGAGTGTTCAGACACAGTAGTGGTCTGTCTCTCTGTCTCTCTTTCTCTCTCTCTCTCTCATTCTCTCTGTCTCTCATTCTCTCTCTCTCTCACACACACACACACACACACATTCTCTGTCTCTCTCTCTCTCTCATTCTCTCTGTCTCTCATTCTTTCTCTCTCTCTCACACACACACACACACACACACACACACACACACACACACACATTCTCTGTCTCTCTCACTGTCTCTGAACAAGGCAGCCCCATGAGAAATGAACTCTGGTGCAGGGTCAATGTATGCCTTTTCCTTCCTGAGGGGTAAAAGGGTTAGTCACATTGTAAGTGGAGGGAACTTATTCCTTCAGGCTTCCCTTCCACTCACCTTGCCCATGGTGCTTGGCACAGATCACTCTAGCAGGCAGAGAGCCTGCCCCAGGGGCTGAGTCAATATGGACACACTCCACATGGTTACTGTGTGGCCATTAGAGAGCTTCAGAGCCACATAAGGCCCTAGGTAAAATGTGGTAGCCACTCTGCAAGGCCATAAACCATTGAGCTGACTGAGTTTCATAATGAACTCGAATCTTAGTGAATATCTTCAATCATTGCTTACAAGAGTCACCAAGTAATATGAGGAGGAGAAATATCATCTGAAAATTTCATGGATGATTTTCCAATATACTTCAGGTGTAATTATTTCCATTTAAGCCACTTCCAGAAAACCTTCCAGAGAGCAAGGAATTTTCTGCACAAGTTAGAACTATGCCCCTGCTTCCATGTCCCTCAAAACAAATACAGTGGCCTAGAGGGGTGAAAACACAGGATAACGGGGCAAACAGGTGATTTTTTAAAAATAGAGTGAAGAATGGCTGGGTGGTCTCTAAGCATAGTCTGGCAGTGCTAGAACCTGGGAGATGCTCCTTGGCTGAAAGGTATTGGAGGAAATAGTCAAAGAACTAAAGTTGAAAGAATAGGGAATGAAACCTAAAAACCTGGATGAGGGCAATTCTTTACAGGGACCAGAAAATGAGCAAGACGGAAGGTAACAGGTCCAACAGGAAAGAATTTTGCCCAGAATTTAAATTATAAGTTTCTAGAATTTAATCAGAAGTCAAACAAAGTCCACTGGAGGAAAGAAAGTTGAGAGCTATTTCTGGGGAGATGACGCTGACACAAAAGAAAGGAAAACAGCACTGGTTGCAAACCACACAAGCCCAGCCACATGCACATAAACACAGAAAAGCAGTAAAATGGTGTTGCAGCGACAACTGGGTCCATTGCACTCCTACCTGGTTTTAGGAGCTTGAGCCCACAGGATGGACATGGGAAAATGAAGAGTGGCTAAAATCCAGAGAAAGCCCCCAAAGCCCCAAACCCAGAAAAACACACCTGTCTTGCAGGAGGCCCCACCTGCTGCTTTAATTGATGTACTAGTCGGTCTTTTTCCCGCTTGAGGGCCATGACTTCTTCCTGCGTCTTTTTCTTTTTGGAGGCAGACAATTCCAGCAAGGCAATGTTTGCATCTTTTTCACTGATGGCTGCAAGTAGTGCTTCCTGTCTGGTAAAATAAAGATTATTGAGATCATTTTTGTAAAATAAAAAAAAAAACAAACAATTGGCATTTATAGTTGAAATGAACCACAGAGTATTGTCTCAATGGAAAGAAATTATGAATACTACTTAAAACAAACTAGCTCTTTGGCTTTCAGAATGGACAAAGTAGTTTGGGTCAGAATCCCTGAGACTGCACACTGCAGCCACTGAGAGAGGAATCTTTTAATGGCTTCACATGTTATAAATGGGAAGGGACAAATCTGAGCATTCATTGCTGACACATTTATCCACCCATCCAACCAAACATACATATATTCATCTATCCATCCATCAATTTGCCAAGAGTCTTAGTCTGTTTTATGTTGTTACAAAGTAATGTCTGAGACTGCATAATTTATAAAGAAAAGATGTTTATTTGGCTCATGATTCTGGAGATTGGGAAGTTTAAGGGCATGGTGGTAGCTTCCAGCAAGGGCTTTTGTACTAACATGGCAAGAAAAGTAGAAGGACAAGTGAGCAAGTGTGAAAGAGACCAAAGTAGAAGGACAAGTGAGCAAGCGTGAAAGAGACCACAAGATCAAGCAAAGCTTCCTTTTATAACAACCTGCTCTCTCAAGAACTAATTTACTCCTGAGACAAGATAATTAGTCCATTTGTGAGGGCTCCACCCTCATGATCCTCATGATCTAAGCACCCCTTAATGCCCCTGCCTTTTAATACTGTTATATTGGTAATTAAGTTTCCATCATATGAACTTTTGGGGGATACATTCAAACTATAGCACCAAGTAAGCTTCTAGATACTCTGCGAAAACCCCCCCAAAACTGGGTAGCAATTTCACCTATTACTTTTTTAATGCAAGATTTTCTTTTGAAGGCAGGCAGAGAAATTTACTGGAAACCCTGTTCTATTTTCAATGCATTTAGTGATGCTCCTTTGCCATCCCACCAAAAACGATTACTTCCTCAGCCTTCCTTATTTCAGTAATTACACTACCATCCACTAAGTAGTGCAAACCCTGAACTTAGAAGTCATCCCTGAGTTCTTTCCTTCTTTCTCTATCCAGAGCCAATCCACTGACAACTTCAGTAGGTTTTACTTGAAAGTATGCCCCTTATCTAAACTCATGCACTACTATAAAAACATCTACGAACCATCAGCATCACTCACTGGGGACCACTACAAAAGCTTACTCATTGATCTCTCTGGTAAAGAGAGTAAAGTCATCTTTCAAAACATTATAAGCCCAGATTCCACCATTCTATTGTGTAAAGATCCATTGCATCACTCTTTAGACTTGAAATCCAGACCTTTTATTGATGCTTGCAACACATTACGCTAATCAGCCATGACAACCTCTCTGAGGGCCTCTGTTCCTCTTCTCCTTCCTCAATCATTAGGCTCCAGCACATTTCGTTCCAGGTCTCTGCTAGTCCTCAAAAATGTTACCCTTGTCCCCTCACATCACAGGCTTTGCCTTTCTATGCTTTTGCCTCACACAGCTCTTATCTTCCAGGTCTGTGACTGACCACTGACTTAGACCACCTCATGTCCAAGTCGGTCATCTGTCACATTACACTACTTCATTTTTTTTATAGAACTCTTTGCCATTTGATAGCATCTTATTTATTATTTGCTTTCTAGACTTGACGCTCCATGAAATTGGGACCTCATCGATCTTGTGCACCACCAATTCTCAAGCTTCTAGAAGATCCCTCAGCACATAGCGAGTGCTCAAAAATGTTAGTTCAAGGAAGAGGTAAGTTCATTTTTTACTTTTTACAGACTTTTAAAGATATCACCAGACACCTCTTCCTCTCATTTAAAAAAAATTAGAATGCTTTGCTTCCTGCTTAACCTACAGTCATCGCTTATTCAAAAAGTTTTAAAGTTGCCTCCTTCAATCTTTACAGTATAATTTTATGACCACATCTGTCACAAATTTTAACCTGGAATTTTCTGGGATGATTTTTGCGTAGGAAATAGCTCTCCTGGGTGTGTTTCACTGAATCTTCCTTTCCACTGGGAAAGTCTTATCTCCACCATTTGTGTCTCTTCTGAAACATTCTAGACACTTTGGAAGACCCCACAGCCCCAAGGAAGCCTCCACATTGGGAACTTCCCTCGCACACAAGGCCCAGGACTAAAACCTGGTCATGATCCTGTTTTGCCTTTCTTTAATCTCCATCACCAGACCAGGCCCTCTCCAGATGTTTGGACAAGGTGGTCATTATTTGGATCTCAGATTATTCCCCTTTTCACTGCAGGGATTTATATGGAGTTTTCTGGGCCCCACTAATGCCTGGTAGTAGGAGCTTCTGTTTGAAGCTCACGCAGATGTGTGAGCAGCAGAACATGTCAGGAAATATCTCCATTTTCCAGAAGAAAAGCAGTGCAGGCTGGACTACCGGCAGCAGCATTAATATCCAGCTTCACAGAGCCTGTCTGCCTTTGGATAACAGCTGAGACAATAGACATGCTTGCGGCTCCCAGCCAGTGCATATTTATACAGAGGGCGAAGCTGAAGAGGCTATACAGACTTTAAATCGGGGAGAGCCTATTTGCTATCTGCTATTCCAAACTTTAGCTACAACACACAAGGTGACTGCAATATTTTATCCCCTCTGTTGCAAACTGAAATATCTAAGTGAAGCTTTTTTAATGAAAACAAACTAAAGGACCGATATTAGGAAAATTGGGGATTGGAGGTAAATTGACTACACCTCTACAACGGCATCTTTACAGACATATGCAGGTATTTAAAATGCTGATTAAAAAACCTTAGTGATGTGAAAATATTTATGTTTGTTGAGAAACAATTCTCTATGAGTCTCTCATGTTTCTGTACATTTTACAAGCACAGGCACTATTTTCTTTTATGACAAACTTTCAAGGCCGTTTGTATAGTGACTAGCTTTGAAAGACAGAGGTGGTATTTCTTTTTGGATCAAAGGGAAGACACGCTTACTGCCCCATATAATAGTGTCTCCTTCCAGAGCAAAAGGCAGGCATGTTACTGCCCATTATAAAATATTCAGATTCTCTAATCTCAGGGTTGCCCTCCTATAATACAAATGACTACATGTATGTGTTCATCCAGTCCATCCGACTGGCCTCCATGGGACTTGGAGCTAGGAAAATTGACACAAATATACTAATTCTTCACTCTGTGCCATGAGCAATAAAGTCCTTTATCTTTGGCCCAGAAGTCTCTTGTCATCTGCCTGCATCCATGGAACTGAGGCAGGCTAACTTGTTAGGATGCCAGTAGGGAAGATCTCAGACCCTTCATAGTTTTCGACATACAAATGTATATATATCCAAGATAATCCCTAAAACATAAAGCTATACTCATAGGAAAAAACAAGGACAGGAAGGAAGTATACCAAAATGATAATAATCACCATTTCAAGGTGACAGGATGAATAAGACATTTTTTAACTTTTTTCTGCTTATACTTTTAAGCATTATTCTTAGAAAATATCCTAAGAGTAAACATTTAAAACTTGTAAGTTAAGCTTTCGGTCATCAAGTAAACAGCAGGTACATGGTTCAAAATCTTAGCAGGTATATAATTTGCTCATTTTCCCACCCAGGCTATCTATAATATGTTCTGTCTGTCCTTCCATTCTTCATGCACAGATAGGCACACACACATATTTTCACACACACACAATGTCTGATACAATCTACATCATCTACCACTTGGAAAACTGTAGTAGTCTCCGAACCAGACTCCCTGTGTCTACTTTCAGCCTGCTTTAACCCATTTTCCTTTTCTACGTCAAAATTTGAGATTATATAGCTTTAATCACTGTCAAAAGTCATCATCAACCAAAAAACAATCATTTTTTAAAATTATTTTACTTTAAGTTCTGGTGCACATGTGCAGAATGTGCAGGTTTGTTACATAGATATATACATGCCATGGTGGTTTGCTGCACCCATTAACCCATCATCTACATTAGGTATTTCCCTAATGCTCTCCCTCCACTAGCCCACCAACCCCTGACAGGCCCCAGTGTGTGATGTTCCCCTCCCTGTGTCCATGTGTTCTCATTGTTCAACTCCCACCTATGAGTGAGAACATGCAGTGTTTGGTTTTCTGTTCTTGTGTTAGTTTGCTGAGAATGATGGTTTCCAGCTTCATCCATGTCCCTGCAAAGGACATGAGCTCATCTTTTTTATGGCTGCATACTATTCCATGGTGTATATGTGCCACATTTTCTTTATCCAGTCTATCATTGATGGGCATTTGGGTTGGTCCCAAGTCTTTGCTATTGTGAATAGTGCCGCAATAAACATACATGTGCATGTGTCTTTATTGTAGAATGATTTATAATCCTTTGGGTATATACCCAGTAATGGGATTGCTGGGTCAAATGGTATTTCTGGTTCTAGATCCTTGAGGAATCGCCACACCGTCTTCCACAATGGTTGAACTAATTTACACTCCCACCAACAGTGCAAAAGCCTTCCTATTTCTCCACATCCTCTCCAGCATCTGTTGTTTCCTGACTTTTTAATGATCGCCATTCTAACTGGTGTGAGATAGTACGTCATTGTGGTTTTGATTTGCATTTCTCTGATGACCAGTGATGATGAGCTTTTTTGAATATGTTTGTTGGCTGCATAAATGTCTGCTTTTGAGAAGTGTCTGTTCATATCCTTTGCCCACTTTTTGTGGGGTTGTTTTTTTTCTTGTAAATTTATTTAAGTTCTTTGTAGAATCTGGATATTAGTCCTTTGTCAGGTGGGTAGATTGCAAAAATTTTCTCCCATTCTGTAGGTTGCCTGTTCACTCTGACGATAGTTTCTTTTGCTGTGCAAAAGCTCTTTAGTTTAATTAGATCCCATTTGTCAATTTTGGCTTTTGTTGCCATTGCTTTTGGTGTTTTCGTTATGAAGTCTTTGCTCATGCCTATGTCCTTAATGGTATTGCCTAGGTTTTCTTCTAGAGTTTTTATGGTTTTAGGTCTTACATTTCAGTCTTTAATCCATCTTGAATTAATTTTTGTACAAGGTGTAAGGAAGGGGTTCAGTTTCAGTTTCCTGCATGTGGCTAGCCAGGCTTCCCAACACCATTTGTTAAATAGGGAATCCTTTCCCCATTGCTTGTTTTTGTGTATGATTCTAAAATTTAGGCTTTTAAGCTTTAACACTTATTTATCCTCTCATAATACCATAAAAAATCCCAATGAATTAATTTCTAATTCTCACTTTACTGTCAGAGAAAAACATATATCAATTTCTAATTCTCTATAAATGTCATTAAATACAGTTCCAAGTCAAATTAGCCTTAATTATCAAATCTCAAAGTACATTTAAAATCTTTTTAATAAAATTACATTTAAAGCCACTCACCAACCTTAAATTAATATTCATATAAAATAATCTAGTTTGCTCTTTGTAACCTTCTCCTTATTGTATTTTTGTTTTATTTTGTTTTGCTTTTGGCTAACAAATCTATTTTTATAGATATTGGCATTATATAATCATAGAACTCTAAATAAAATTAGTGTAACTAAGATTATCTATATTTTGAAACCCTCATTTAAATACTGGCCATAAACTAATGATATTTTCCCCAAAAATACCTTGATTGAGATCTACATTCAATAATTCTAGTCCATTTAAATCAAAGGGTCATTAGTATAAGATAAAAAGGTATATAAAACTAGAGAAATAAGAACATTTCATACTTCAGGATATTTGGCAAGGTATTCTGAATATGTTAAGGCTTATCTGGCTATTACCTATTTGTATAGATTTGGCAGGCCTAGAATTAAACTAAATCTTAATTCCAGGCTAACAGAGCCATTGAATTTGGTTTTTGAAGCAAGAAGTTTTTAAAACTGAGTTAAAATACCTCTTTCTTAAGCTAATAGAATTTAGCTAAGACAGGTTGAACATCCCAAATCCAAAAACCCCAAATCCAAAGTACTCCAAAATCCTAGATGCTTTGAGCACCAACAGGACATTCAAAGACAATGCTCATTGCAGCGTTCTGGATTTTTGGATTTGAGACACTCAGTTGGTAAGTGTAATACAAATATTCCAAAATCTGAAAAAAATATGAAATCTGAAATACTTCTGGTCCCAAGCATTCCAGATGAGGGATACTCAACCTGTAATTTAAATCACTGTGAGCTAATTATGTATAGTTATGGGTTTTCATTATCCCTGCCTTAAAGGTCAGATTTGTTTTGAGGATGGGTATACTGAATATAATTTTATAAAAACGAATTTCATTTTGCTATCCCTACGTCAGATTCTACACTTTCACAGTTCCCATGAGCCAATTTGCTGATACATTGGCAGAAATCACCTACCAAGAAAATCACATTGAAATAGATTAGGAAGCTTACATTAAATATCCTTGCTTTTTTTTTTCTCGCGGCAAATTTTGGTCCAGCCATTGAAAAACTGGAAAAACTAAAATACCACCAGTTCTGATGCACCACTTTTTTTTAAAGGCTCAAGTTTAAAGAGTATACCAGTGACAAGACACTTGGATATAAACCGGAAACAGAAAAATCATTATTTTCCCCAATGAAAGCATTACCTTCTAGAATCAAGACCAGATTTATATTGCTTCAGAAATTATTACTGTCCCATCAACCTGAAGAGAGTTCCATAAGCCTGAAATCATGTTCAATCTATCCCTTTTGCCTTTTTACAGACAACACGGAAAGTACATATATGCCCATTCTTAGACAGTTAGTAGGTTTAAGTATATACCAAAGGCTTGCAAAATTATCTTGAGAACATTGCCATCCTCAAGTACCAATTACTAAGGTGATCTGTCTATGCCCCAAAATGTAGCTTAAAATATGAAAAGGAAGCCCACATATACTAGGAAGGAAGATAAGATAATGTGAAGAGAAATAAATCTATAAAAGTCTGCTGAATGCCAAGCTAAGAAAGTGTATCATAGACAGCATTTTATCAACGTGCAGCCTAAACAAATGTCAAGGGGAATAATTTCTTTAACAAATATGGGCAACAATAGAGGAAAAAAGGGGGAAATTCTGTGCCCTGTCATACATTTAGTCAGGATTAACAGTGGATAAAAATATGTGCAAGAACACATTTAATAACCCTAAACTGTCATTCAGTGTGTAGGAGGTAGTCAAGATACAGCTAATAAAACACCAAAAAAAATGGTTTTAGCCACCCTGAAAAAAAAAAAAACAAAACCTTCCATGGAATAAAACAAAACAGGGCTGAAGGGCATCTCCTGCCAAGATAAATGCCTTCTTTTGAGTGTCGCCTGTGGCTAGCCCTCACAAAGAGAGTTCCAGGATCCTCTGATGGTAATACATGGCTACCTCACTTATCACAGTCCATTTAAAAGGGAGCTTTGTAAACATTTCTACTTCACTCCCCATTGCTGTCGTTCTATTAATGATGATTTGAGCTCTGAAAGAGGATCTAAAATTAATTTCAGGAGTTGCAAATGAGGCAGGCCAATTAGGAACTATTACAAATTGGATTTGGGAAGAAGCATTAACACATTGTTTCTTGTGGGTTCTTGTTTTAGTTAGCTGACCCATCTTTAGGAATGCATTCAATTACAAAAGCAGATGCTTAAAAAATGCATTCCATTAAGAATGTTTGGATAATGACATATAAGAGAAAGCCTACATTATGTATGGTGCTTAGCCCAGGCAGTCATGTTCTAATCATATTGTGGGGGGAAAAAGTCCGCTCAATCAACTTTTCTCAGCTAATTACTATTTTCTTTCCCTCATGACCCTGAATATTCAACTGTAAGTTCAGTAGGAGGTGACTTCAGACAGATGGTGACGAAAGATCCTATTCAAAACAGCCTCTCTCTCACCCTTGGGGTGAGGGTTGGGTGGAGATAGATGTTCATTTGCCTAAATTTTAAAAGCTGTGTTTTCAAATGGCATCTTGAGAAAGAAAAGTTCTTTGATATCAATTAATATCAACCCTACCCACCAGCAGAATGATGTATGATATATGCAGAAGGGGCCATGCAGAAAGCAAAGCAGCTCACATGAGGTGGGGCCCACAGGGTGAGATATATTTGAACAAGCATGAGTTTCAGTAAGGACAAAGAACAGACCAGATTCGTAAAGGCCAGGCTTTGGCAGCCCAGACTTCTTAATGTGGTTTGCTCCCTGTTGCCCACCTAAAACTGACCTCAAAAAAATAGTTTACTCCAATTACGGAGAATTCTGTCTTTGAAACCTAATAGCACATGACTGGAATTTCCTAACACGGGGGCCATGGAGTCTTGTGGAAGTTCTTTACTCTAAGCACCAGCTTCTACCCTGTTCCTTGCTCAGTGCATGAGCCAGGGAGGTGGCTGGCCCATCCGGCGGTTCCTCCAGTTTCTCCAACTGGACCAGAACACTCTCAAGTGCCAACGTCATGTGCTTCAGGGCACTAAGAGGGCAAATGCCAGCATCATTTGGCATCCTGCTACAAATCAGTAAGTCTGAAGCCAACTGATTTTCCCACATAGAAAAGGTCCAAGGCCAGAGGAGGAGTGCCAGGAAGAGCTATTCCCCCTATTCTAAATGTTTCTCTTGAATCCTGTCCTTCTAGAGAATTGATAAAAAGGCAATGAAGGATGGGAGGGACCATTGTCCCAGGTCTTGGCAGTGGACATGTGTGAGGCATTGCTCATTACTATGTGCCTGATCCACCAAAAAAAAAAAAAAAAAAAAGAAACAAGAAAAAAAGAAAATACTTCTTTTGAGCACTTTAGCCTATTATGATTTTTTAAAAAACATACCCACACAAATGAAATATTACTCAAGTTTTTAAGAGGAGGAGGTACTGATCTTTATTTAGTGCTGGGGCTTTGGAAGCAAATGTACCTGAGTTTGAATCTCAGGGATAACCTTTTGACTGTGGCCCTGGGTAAGTTACTCACTGTCTCTGAAACTTCAAGTTCCTCATAAATAACCTAAGATGGACAATCATAACTCTCTCTTGGATTGAGGTAGGAGAATATGGTGGAGGCAGGGAACCGAAGGCCATTTCACTCCAACTTCCTAGAACTAAATTAAAAGGAAAACCCTAATTTTCCATGCCTAAGTAACAAAAGGACCAAAGGTTACTCCGTTTGCAAACTCCCACCTTTTCTGCATGGCAGATGGGAAGTTGGCTGTCTGCAACCAATCAGACTGATTGCCAGCCCAGTCTTCATTTGCATAGAAGTGCAACTTTGTGGCCAGGCATGGTGGATCATGCCTGTAATCCCAGCACTTTGGGAGGCCGAGGTGGGTGTATCACCTGAGGTCAGGAGTTCGAGACCAACCTGGCCAACATGGTGAAACCCCATCTCTACTAAAAATACAAAAAATTAGCTGGGCGTGGTAGCGGACACCTGTAATCTCAGCTACTCAGGAGGCTGACACAGGAGAATCACTGGAACCCAGCAGGGGGAGGTTGCAGTGAGAGGAGGTTGAGATCACACCACTGCACTCCAGCCTGGGCAACAAGAGGGAAACTCCATCTCAAAAACAAAAACAAATATGAAAAAAACAAAAAGCAAAACAAACAAACAAAAAGAAGTGCAACTTTGTAACTTCACCTTAGCCTCTGATTGGTTGCAACCAATCAGATGTTTGCACAGGAATGTGACCTTTGTAACTTCACTTCAGGCTCTGATTGGTTGCTTTCAGACCGATTGCGGGCCACCGCTTCATTTACATGAGGTGAGCACCAAGTGGTCAATGGGAAACTTCTAGGAGGTATTTGAACCTGAGAAGATTCTGTATCCAGGCCCTGTAGCCACTGCTTGGGCCTGCTCCCACCCTGTGGAGTGTACTTTCATTTTCAATAAATCCCTGCTTTCATTCTTTTGTTGCTTTATTCTTTCCTTGCTTTGCTTTGTGTTTTGTCCAATTCTTTGTTCAAAACTCCAAGAACCTGGACAACTTGCAGTCAAGACCCTCTACCGGTAACCGGATCATCGTGAGAATTAAGGGATCACGCATGTAAAGATTTTGTTCAGTGCCTGAGATGACCACACAAGAAATGCTAGCATTTGCTTATTAAATGACACAGACCCCACCAAAGTTAAAGATTCAAAGGTTTTGCATTACTTTCTATGAGCTCCCCTTTATAGTGAATATATCTAAACATGCTCACTGGTCTCTTACTTTCAAGACAAACTTTCAGAGAGGCCTTTAAAATTGGTTTCTGTTAAGCTGCACATTTGACTTTCATGAGTTGACATCTGCTCCATAAACAGACATAAAGAAGAAAACAGACTTTGGAGAGGAGTCTGCTGACCACAGAAGAGTTGCATCCCAGACAAGCCAGGCTTGACTTGGTCTATAACTGTCCAATATCATTCCATCCAAATTGATAGGAAAGGCCACGTGGGAAATAGGCAAGACATGATGTCACATAGTTTAAGAAACTGAGAAATGGAAATGTGTTCTGAAAGGCGACTTTTAAAAAGTCAAAGTCAAGTGCAAAATCAAACAAATTCAAAATAAAAGATTCTTCCATTGGAAAAAAATATTTTAAAAAATTGGTAAATCTAGGAAGCAGGGAGGGTGAGTGAAATGAAGGGACTTCCATGACATACTGCAATACCCTCTGTTAGTGGTAATGTTAGATGATGGTGCTTGGTCATTCTTGTTATTCCCGTTCAGTAATAAGAAAGCCTCTCTGTTGACCATTCAATTCTGCCAAGGTAGCTTTCTATGTGAAATACACCTAACCAGAATCTCTGGCAGGTTATAGATGAGTGATAATGAGAAAACCAAATACATCTGGACTTCACTGCAGGACAGAGCTTTGTCCAGTATCTGCCTAAACTAAACCTATTGTCCATGGGTGATCAGTTACTGTCAAGAGACTGTCGTATTGCATTAACTTTTTGGTTGGAAATGAGTAACTACCAGAAAATAGGTCACTGACATCAAGGCTTAGCCCCCATAGCATCCAATCAATTATTTTTTTCTTATTGGTGAAGTGAGGTTATGTGTGTGTATATATGTAAGTCTCTCTAAAAACAATATGTTTTAATTTCGCCTCTATTGTATATTTAAAGCTGCTAATATTTATTTCTCAGTCTTTGCACAGAGCAGCAAATTGTCCGCCTACATCTTGAACTACATATTTCCCTTCTTAATTTGAATATTTTGTGTTAAATCAAACCTTCCATTGTTTATGTTTACATGGAATAGAACATTCCCACAGGCTAAATTGTAATACAAAACAAAACAGATCGTCATGCCATTGCTGTGAGAAGAATATGTGCAGAAGGGGGCACATTCTGGAATTCTGTTAGCGCAACATTCAAATAAAATTGAATTAAGGTTCTGTGGAGTGGATTTTTTTTTTTAAATGAAGTCTTGCTCTGTCACCCAGGCTGGAGTGCAGTGGCATCATCTCGGCTCACTGCATCCTCTGCCTCCCGGGTTCAAGCGATTCTCCTGCCTCAGCCTCCCGAGTAGCTGAGATTACAGGCATGCACCACCATGCCCAGTTAATTTTTGTAGTTTTAGTAGAGACGGGGTTTCACCATGTTATCCAGGCTGGTCTCGAACTCCCGACCTCAGGTGATCCGCCCACCTCAGGTGATCGGCCTCCCAAAGTGCTGAGATTACAGGCATGAGCCACTGCACCCAGCCTGGAGTGGATCTTTGTAGAGAGAAAAACATAAAAGTGAGTTTATTGGAGGCAGCTCCTTTGAGAGAGTTTTAATTCATGAGAAGGGAAAAGGCAGTTGTGCTTCTGCAAAGGAGAAGGAAACACAGGGTGGCATGTCTGTGTGTGCTGCAGGTGATGGTGGTAGCCAGGCAAAGGGCAGGTTTCTGCGAGGGGCAGGAAGGTCTGATCCCTTCTGGGAGAGGGGCTAAACAGATTCCCATCTGTTTATCAAAGCTGTTGATTCAATGTTAATCAAAGCTGTTCTCCCTTGTTGTGCCTGCCACAGAGCTGGACAGCAATTCAAGACAACCTAGAGGAGACATTTTGGGAGGGTGAAGGAAACTGATGGCTTTTAAGGCATCCTCAAAGATGCTCAAAGATGCAATTCTTCATGTAAATGTCTAAATTACTTTGTGAAGTCTGGATTTTAGGTCTGCCATCTTGTGGCCATTGCAATAAATATTGCCCTTTTCAATTTTTTTCTGTAGTTACATCTCTAATAATCTATATTCAGAAAAGGTACCAGAAAGAATGCTTATTTAAAAAAATAAACATTACACATGGGAGAGAGATCCATGATTCAGGGGGAGCTAGGACATTTCATATTCAAATCCCCATTCTGCTGACATTTTTCATTCTTTGACTAAAGTCTAGTTTCAAATAATTAGCTATCAAATTATCATTTAATACAGGATTGGGACTACTAAGAAGTCAGTTAAGAGGTGACAGGGAAGTTTTAGGTGCCTGTTTTTTTTTTAAAGAGGTCATTTAATGGACACAGAGTTTCTTCCAAATGAATGACAGTCTCAGCATTTCTGTACTTGCCATACATTTGCTAAGAGAACACCCAGAATAAAATAGATTGTCAAACCAAAGGGGGCTTCATACCTGAAAACTAAGGGAAATTGCTTTTCTGGAAATAACTGAAAGTCCAAATGAGTGAGATTAGAAATACTTTATTCCACGCCGTAAGGAAAAGAAATGAGACAAAATTTATAATAGTTCTGTGTTGGGAAGAAATGGTTAAAACGCCACTATGAAAACACACTAAGCCTATCTAATGCACACTCATTAATCATGATCTTGTTGATTGTGTCAACAGAACAGAAAGCAAATACATGTGGCCATTGCCTTTGCAAAGTTTCACCAATGCATCACAGCCTTCAAATGAAGAGGAGGCACAAGAGCATACTCAATGACCACAAATTAATTTCAGAGCCCAAGTTACAGAAGTATAGAACTATGCGTCTACATACATACACCTGAAGCCTTGCACTGCTAAGCAACGGTTCAAAAGACAGGCCAAACAAAGAGCTGCAAGACTCAGCTTATGTATTCCTAAATTATAAAAAGTTATATTTGTTAGTTACCTGAAATTTCTGGACTCATGAATACAATTTGTGGGATGCTACTGGAGTGCTCCTTCCCAGAGTTTGAAGGAACCTGAAACCAGACAGCAGCTGCAGAAGGAAAGGGTCTGGTAAACTACCTGGAGGAGCTCCACATCTGGAAAGAATCGCAAGGGAGCCAGCCCAAGAAACAATGGTATAGAAAGCAGTCTCAGATTTACAGGATGGGTGGCCTTGTGGCTCACAGAAGTGAAATTTCCACCCTGGGAGGAGCGATTACTGGAAGCAGGAACATTTCAGATATGAAATTATGAACTCCAACCTGAAGCAGCTAAACTGAATATGTTCCTCTAGGGTGGCTATTTACTGGCCACATAAGCAAAAATAAACCATCCAGGTGGTCAGAGGCAGTTCATCAATTTCTCCAACTCATTCACCACATATTTACTGAGTGACCACTGTGTACCACGTACCAGGGATGAATGGGGACAAGCAAGACAGAAACCATCCCTGCTTCTCTAACAGCAGAACTCAGAGACTGCTACCACAGCAGAACCCAGAGATTGCTACCACAGCAGAACCCAGAGATTGTCCACAGTCATGAGACAGACAGACCCTGTGATGATGCCACCAGACACAAAGAAACACCCTTCTATTACCATCATGAGCAAATGCTGGATCATCAGCAATACCGTGCAAAGAAGATATCCCTGAATCCTGTTTCCCAATTCAAATGCTGGGCAAAGAATCCATGTGGCATTTCCCTCTGCATGTATCAAATACTAGGATAATCAATTCAAAAGCTCCCTCCCAGCCCATCCTCTTCATCCCGAATGCCTAGTATAATCCAGTTGCAATCAGAAGCTCAAAATAAACAAATAAACAGAAACATGAAACCTCATAGTCATAGCTACTAGGCCGAATAATACGAAGTTCAAGTTCACTTTTTTATGGGTCAGAAACAATTGAATATCAGAAATTTTGTATGGTTCAACCCAATAGTCTTCCAAAATACAAGGAGTTTTATTGGTTTCTTTGTTTGCTTACAACACATGCCCATAGATCATTTTAAATCTTTATAATTTTATATCCTCAGAGATGTAAAAGGTTGAGGTAATTCCCTCTCCACAATATTCAACATACACCCAAGACTGACCACTAGAGGTAATTAACCCAGTCTGCAGAAGGCCTTTTGCACAAATTGGAGGTGGGGGAAGGAGGCCTAGGAACCCAGAGAAGTGACAGAACTCAGTCCTGTAAAAGAGGCCCCCAGGCCTGGAAAACCACTTAGTGAGAAAACATCCTGGTGACCAGACTCCAACCTGACACTGACTACCACTCCCTGCAATACCGATCTGTTGAATGCTGAGATCAGACCATCTATCTCCCTGGACAACCTTGAGGCTTCCCAGCTCCACTGACCAACAACAAAGCACCCCTGCTTAGATTTGAACTTCAAGGCATGGGACATAAGGCAGGGGTCAAGGAAGAATGGGGCTGGAGAACCCTTAAGGTGAGAGGTGAGGCCAGCTGGACTTCCTGGGTTGAGTGGGGACTTGGGGAACTTTTCTGACAAGAGGATTGTAAAAAGCACCAATCAGGAACTTTTCTGTCTCACAAGAGGATTGTAAAATGCACCAATCAGTGCTCTGTAAAATGCACCAATCAGCGCTCTATAAAACGCACCAATCAGTGCTCTGTGAAACACACCAATCAGCAGGATTCTAAAAGTAGCCAATTGCAGGGAGGATTGAAAAACGGGCACTCCGATAGGACAGAAACAGAACATGGGCGGGGACAATAAGGGAATAAAATCTGGCCACCCCAGCCAGCAGCGGCAACCCACTTGGGTCCCCTTCCACGCTGTGGAAGCTTTGTCCCTTCACTCTTCACAATAAACCTTGCTACTGCCCACTCTTTGGATCAGTGCCATCTTTAAGAGTTGTAACACTCACTGCGAAGGTCTACGACTTCATTCTTGAAGTCGGTGAGACCACGAACCCACCAGCAGGAGCCAACTCCGGACACAAAGGGATTCAAGATCCCATTGAAGAGGGGCATAATGAAAAGATATCTTTAAGGATGACTGCATACCTATAGGTGGTGGCTTAAAAGAGCAGTCTAATGTTGTTAACCAGTGTCTTAATTTCTACCATTTTCAAAGAGAATTTACTATGGACAGAATACGATGCTACGTGTTATGAAGGATCAGCAATGGGTAAGGCTTGCAAACTGATCTGGTAAAGAAAAAGACTTAAATTATATAAAGACTTAAATAATAAAATAAAAGATAAATAATAGTTTATTAACATCTTCATTGTTAAGATACAGGATAAGAAATTGTTAATAATTATTATTTTGATTACTATATGTATAAGCAAGGCATAAGTAAAGTACGTTGTTTCATTTAGTCTGCTCAAAATAGCCTTCCAAGAGAAAGTTTTATTACACCCCTTGTAAAGTTGAGTAAACTGAGACTGTAATATTTAAGGTTGTCCAAGGTCCCATTGCTTTTAAAAGGAGAACTGGAATTTGTATCCAAGTCTGTGATGTTAAAGACTAAACTTGGCCCTTTCAATTCTTGGTTGCAGGAAGGAAGAAATGTCCCTTTGGTCCGGGATGATGGGGGCAGGCTTCACAGAGGATAAGGGTGACAGCTGAGTATGAAGGGAGGGTAGGAATGGAAGGGCTCTGGAAGGAAAAGAGTGGCTTCCAGATGGGGTAAGTGTCTGATTGAGAGTTGAGATGATTCAGTCGATTAAAATTCTCTTTTGCTTACTTATGCCTGTTCCTAGTTGCATAACTTTCAAGGATGCTAGAATACCACCACCAAGGAAGAAATGTGGTCAAATAAAGAATGCCTTAAGTGCCAACGGAAAGACTGGTTTGGCCAGTGCTGACGTTTTCACGCATGCCCGCATGCACACATGAGGATGTAGGAACATTATGTGTAAGTTGTTTTCTGGGGAACAGCAGCTTTTTATTGTGACATTCAGTAATGTCCTTTCTAATGTTTGGAATTAAAATGACCCTTTCTCAAATGATGATGATAATAGTTAACACTTGAATAGTCTTATTTAATAGCTTAATTAGGTTAGCAAGCATATGTTGTTGGCAAAAAATATTTTTTCCTATGATTGGTCCATGACTTCCACGGTCTGGAAAACATTCACGTGATTGCTGCATGTTACTATCAGGGTATGTGTGAGGAACATCCTCTTCTGTTCTGCATAGGTAAGGGCTTTCCTTGTGAAAAGTGTTTGGCACTTCCAAGCTGGCTGCCTTATAAATGCCATGTTGAACCCAAATTGTTTGTACTGAGTGACCGTCCCTTTGCCAATGTCTGTTTCCAATATGGTATCTTTAGGATATAAGTGGAGAATAATCTCTTTATTTCACAAATAGGCCCCATCAGACAAGAGCTCGAGCTCCAGGTCCTTCTAGGGGTCTTCAGTGACCACAGAAGGAAAGAAAAGCTGAGTTGGTCAATGCCAATCTTTAGGAAAATTATTTCTAAAGGTGGCAAGAAGGGCCTAGTGTAAAATATGACATACTCTGCCTCTCTTTCGTTTGTTCATTTTGTTGGATTTTAGCACAATATGTATATATATATTGGTGGAATATGAATGTGGGAGTAATCAGCAACAGAGAAGACTTGGGAACATGGTAGTTATCCCTTCAATTATCTGCTAGAGTAACATAGATGAGGCTTGCTCCAGGGGCACCCTAAGATTTGAACTAGGACTTAAGGATGAAAGTCACAAGTAGGTAAGGCTGAGGCCAAGTTAGTAACAGGAGCAACTCTGGCTAAGTCAGAGCTGTCAGCAATGGCCTGGGCTCCCTCATACCCATCTCTGACAGTGTTGGTACAAACAACAGAAGGCAATGTCGAGAAAATCCCAGGGAAATAATTCTAACAATGGAGGAATGATGTGACTAAACACATGCTTTGGTTGGGTTTATTTGGATTGCAAGCAAAAGAAACTAATTCTGGCTAACTTAGCAAAAAGAGGAAGTGTTAGAGGGATACTTGAATAAACTGAGGAAAAGAAAAGAGCTAACAAGTGAGCTTTAGGAGGGTCAGTGAGAAAGTTGCTCCAGTACCCTCAGTAGCAGGAAATCCTAAACCTTTCTTCAGAAGACCTACTGTTTACAGAATAACTTTGTTACAACCTCCAGGCTTAATGGAAAAAGAGTAATGTTTGACCTTCCTGGAAAGAAAATCTGTTAGCCCCACCTAGGTCAATCAGTTATGGCCTGATTTCCCCATCACTAGAAACACACCCTAAATAATGGGATCACACCAAAAGAAAAAGGGACAGCTATGAGCTGAGGGTCATCCTAATTGGCAGCTCTCTAATGATCTTACAGCTAAGGGGTCTATTTCTATGGTGTGCTGGAGCTGGCTGCTAGCTAGCGAGAGTCAATTATGTGCATCTCCTTCCAACTGACAAGGGTCAGCCTGTACCTTGGCCATGGTAGAAGTATTTACACGATGGAAATTGGCAATCACTACCAATCAGGGATTTTGTTTTTTCTATTGACCTGGTTTACCAGCGCTCTATTGGCCTGTTTCAAGATAATTGAACAGTTTTGCCAAGACTGCTGAACAAGGGACAGGCCATAGAGCCTACAATAGGAAATACATAGCTAACACACACCAGCACATTTTCTGTGCCAAAGACTATACCATTCTAAGTCCTTTATGTGTACTAACTCATTTGAGCTGCACAACAATCTAATGAGGAAGGTGCCATTATGTTCCCATTTGACAGATAAGAAAAGAGAGGCAGAAAGGAGTGAATTAACTTACTCAAGTTTACATGGCTAGTAGATGGCAAAGTAGAGATTCGAACCCGGGTATTTATAATTTTATGTCTCAAAATAAAATAGATTATGTCTAGCATTGTTCTAAGTTGAGATACTCTTGACACAGAAAAAACAGATTCACTTTGAATCAAGTGAGAAGTTGGCTGAATTCCGATAAGAGGACCACCCCCTCAGTCACAATGCTGCCGTCAGTAAGAGCAGCCGACCGCAGCTCTACAACTGGTGCTCGGATGTTTATTTCATTTGATTGTATATTTATTTCATTTCTAGGGATGCCCAAGGACTGAAGCCAAATCACAAAGTTGCTAACCAAGTCCATGGGGAAGAGAGAGACTCACAATGCACACTGCTGGAACTCCCCAAGTGGGTGACAGCAATACTTCAGAACTCGGTGGGCAGAGCAGATCACATGGTTGCTCCTGGATGGGCTGTGATTTCTCAATTCCAGTGAGAAAGGGGAGAGAAGTCTGAACCTTCAACATACTTCCCCCCAATCCCACTGCCAATACTATAAGGCATAGAAAACAGAAAACAGGGGTAACATAGAAAGACAGTCATCCAATTTTATATATGTGCCTTTGACAAGTCACTTGACTTTACGTATCTTAGCTGTGGGAATCTATAAAATAAAAATGATATTACCTACCCCCGAGGTCACTAAGAGGTTCACAGAAGATCCCCCACAGGAAAGCATCTGGAAAACTGCAAAACCCCACAGGAATGGTGGGCATTACTATCAGGGGCATCCCTACTCACAAAGCTGTGGCCCCCTGGGACCCAAATGGTGATGGTGCAATTGGATTCATTTGAAACACTAGCTGGTATGGACACACCATGTGCTAGGCACTGCTTCTATTGACTAAGCCAAACTCATCAAGTTGGTGTAAAATCACCAGTCCGAATGGCTAATGGGAATTTCACTGGGGCAAACATAAATTCACGAACGGAAAACGACTATCTGGAGGAGGCACAAAAGAGTTTTCCTTTTCCAGTGGTTCATTGAGAGATCTGACAATAATCCATTGGCAAGAAAGAGAATGGCTGCTTCTAAATAAACTTAAACAATGATCAGTTTTTCTAAATGCACCAAACTTGCAATTAATATTTGTTGAATCAATGAATGGGATTCCACAAATCTGGGTTTAAATTCTGGTTCTGCACCACTGCCATTGGTGTGATTTTGGGAAAGCTAATTAACTCTTTGAATCTCAGTTTCTTCATCTGTAAAATGAGAATCCTAATACACTTATGAGGTATTATATAAGATAAATATGTAAACCATTTAGCACATTTAGTTGGTTGTATAACAAGCAGTTATTATTATTATAAATGCAAGCTATAGTTATTTTTTACCATTACTATGAGTGTGGTTCATTAAGTTATTATCGGCTACAAGATAAATATGTTCAAATCACCGATCTCTACAGATAAGAAAACTATTTTTTTTTTTGAGAAAACTATTTAAAAAACCAGGAGAGAAAATATTTTATTTTCTGTTTTCTGTACTTTTATCTACAGATTCAATACATTTCTAGTGTTTACCATGGTATCACAATTCCACTGCCACAGGCTTAAGCAGATGTAAATTGGAGAGGGAAAATTAATTTTTCAGATAAATGCAAAAAGAACTGCATTATAAAAATGACAGTGTAACTAAGACATTTCTACTCTAGATTTTGGCTTCCTTTTCTTTAATCACCTAGCAGGATTCTTTTGGATATCCAAACTCAATATTTCAACGGCTCTTCAGAGCCAAAAAGCTTTCTGCAAAGGATTAAAGAAGTAGCAAAATGTCATTATAAATATGAATTTAATTTGCTTGAGAAAAAAACCCTGCGTGGCTATGACAGTTATCCATTCTTACATAAAAAAAAAAATTTAAATCTCACAAGAGTAATAGAAAAATATCAATGAACTGCTATGATCAAATAAATGAAAGTCCTATCAATTTATTTGTAGTTTCTCTTTGAACTACAAATAACAGATGCTAAATATCTTCCTTTGTCCATTAAAGAAGTCTGAGATTCTTAGGTTTTTCTATCCTAAACAGCGCAACATGAGCCATGACAATTCTTCACTGAAACTGAATTAATTTAGCTTTTAGCTTAAAAAAGCTAAAGTATCTATAACCCATAAGCTGTACTAATATAGCAAAATAACTGTATTGTATTCTTAAGTGACAGCTGCATTCTTTAGGTCATTCCTTAGTTAAACAAAAGTGGAGGTGGGGAAGGAGACACAGCAATTGTCCTGATATGGAGGCACAAATTAATCTCCATTTTTATACTTAAAAAGTAATTATAAATAAAATGCTCACAGTCCTAGTGATTGGCTATTCATCTTCTTTTTTTTTTTTCATCTTAGCCATTTCCTCAAAGATCCATCTGCACTTCATTTATTTATTTCCCCCATAAAGAGGGATTATAACTCTCTTATCCCAAATTTGAAATACTGGTTTGTCTGTAAATATGGAAGCCTAGAAGAAACCACAGTAATTGGTGCTTTTAGCTGCCCACTTAATCTTGCTTAAGTTACCAGCATTCACGATGAGGAATGACCGAGAGGCACAGGTTGAGTAACTACCAGGATGGCAAATGCAGGGGATGAGGTTAATAAAGATTATTGTCAGGAACCTCAGTGATACTCCAAAGCATGAGAACCAACAAATCACAAATTAAGAGCACTTGCTAACTAGAAGCAAGGTGACAGCCAACTGCGGTAGTTAAGGCATTATTGCTTCTGTAAACGCTAAGCTCAAGTATAAAGTAGACATGTAATCTTCAACTCCCCGAACACCCCAATTTGGCCACTAAAGATGCTGTTTTACATTTCCAAACATTTTCCCCTGTCACTACTTTTTATACTTCAGTTCTCAGGTTGTAAGTATTTGTTACTTGCAAAGCAGCCCCCTTTGAACACTGAATCATGGGAGGCATTTGTAACTAACTGCCAATGCTGCCTGCCAAACAAAAACTCCCTGCTGGTGACATGACCACCTAGTGACCTCTAAAAATGTTGTAACAATGTGAAAAATAGCTCCCTCTTGTAGGAAACAGCAATTTTTTAAATTAAACGTACATCGAACGTTCGCTTATATACAGATAAATGGTGTTCAGAGTCACCTTCTCTGTTTCCAATTTCAATCTTTTGAAACCCAGCCCAAACCTAAATAAATAAATGTTGATACTAAGAAGAAACTAAGAGCTCAAGAGCCTTGTGATTTTGCAAACAGCTTTTTTCCATTTTCGAAAATCTAAACTCGGGGCCAGACACAGAACAGGTAATGAAAAGGAACAGGCTTGGCAGTCCCTCTGTGGTTCTAAGCTGAAAAATACGTCAGGCAGAAATAAGTGGCTATAATTTGGCAGGCTTAATGTCTTCAAAAGTTTGCAGCTTGCTAGAGAAAAAAAAATTTAAAACAGTTATAACATTTACAAATTGAAACACAGTCACGAAGCTAAAAAGCCAGATGAACATAATTTAATTATCCTCAGAGTTTTAAACATACTTTTATCATCTTCAGGTGTTTTTGTACCTACATAATAGAAGGCGCTGATAATTATTAAAACTGGGGGTACCAGGAAACTTTTTGATGCTAACATGATCTTAGGTGACTGTAATACTGATGAACTTAGTCTATGCCCTTGACATCAAAATATTCTTGGTCTCACTTTAAAAGGTGCAATGGAGCTTCCCATATGTGCCCCATGGGACACAAGGAATGGGAAATTGGACATGACAGTAAGTATTTTTGAGGCTGTGGATCACTGTTTTTCCGGTTAGTTTATCTTTCTAAAATTTCAAAATTAAAAATCTCAGAGCAACAGAAGTATGACATGTCAAAGGCTGTTTGACTCTAATGTGTCTCTTGTTCATCCTGACATCTTCTGATGAATTATTTCCAAACACTGGCCCAAGCCATGAAAAATCAAATCAGCTTGAAAACAAAGGGGCACCAACAACTGTCTGTTTCTAAGCCATTAAAATGCCTGGAAGATCACTCTTTTTAGAAAGAATAGTCAGTCCTTTTTACCTCCTTAAATCTTTCTCGCCTACCACCCCATCCCCTTCCTCTGTACCCAAGACAAAGAAAACCACCTTAAGAGTTCCCTCCCTCAAAGAGGGAGAAAGGAAACGTACATGCTTTTATCTCTGATTTTAAAAAATGAATAAGATGCAAAGAAGAAAAAAAAAGTATACCCAAATCCACGTTAAAATATGCTTCTACCTTTTCAAATTTTAGCTTAAACCCACTTTGCTAATATGCTGATATACCAAATTCAATATGCTTTTGGTGAAAACACTCCATGCTGAACTAAAAACTTCTCCCTGAACTAAAAACTACTCCCCTTGAAACTATGGTGTATGTGGGTATTCAGAAAAGAACACAGAACACCACATCATATTAGTGTATAGGCATGGTAAATTATTGTCATTTCCGGCCAAGGAGAGCTTCTCTGTTTTGTGACATTCCCCAGCTTTAATGAGCAACTCTGTAATATGTAAGTTGTTCTGGAAGACTTAACATTTACAAAAAACACAGCACGATATTACTTAGCATAATGTAAATTTGGAATTTTAAAGAAATCTGAGAACTGGAAAAGGATGTCCCTTCCACACTGGTCTCTCTATCTCAAATTTTTAGGTGAGGAGGTGAGTATTGGCAATATGATTTGATCAGTGCTAAATCCAAATTTATGTAATAAATCATTATAATAAAATTATACTAGGTGGACCCCTGTGAAACTGCCAGTGTCTGGGTATGTTCAACCCATAAAAATGACAATATCATAAGATTCAGCTTAATAACACAGTGCCTTACTTTCTTAATCTACTAAATAATTCTAATAATAATTATTTCACAGGATTGCTGTGAGAAATCAATGAGATACTATATATAAAGAGCTTAACACAGTGCTTGACACATGGTAAGCATTCAGTAAATTAATGGAGTAGGAAAAGGAGGAGTTATAAACCTATAAATATTGTTCACTTTGAACATCCTAATAATTTAGGTTATTACCACTTACATAAACATAAATTATTTATCAATAGCTTACAATTTAAGAAATGTAATCAAAATTCTTAGTGAGTATTAACTGTTTTCACTCTTAGATCATTAAAAGTCAATTGTATTTGAGGCTCAGATAATATTCCTCTTGGAAAAAAAATTCTATCAAATCAAGATAAATATCATATATATATATACATTTATACCTCTGAGTTCTTATTTTTTGTATTCAAATAACGATAGAGCCCATTTTTTCATCTGGAGAGAATTACATCTGATGACTATCAGAGTGACTGAAATATTAATGACTTAAAAAAAATTCACAGCTATCCAATATTTCCCAGCAATTTTGTGAATTGTGCCAGGTGATTCCAATAATCTGCTATTCTCCCCAAAAATAACATGGATTGTTCTAAGTCCATGAAGAAGAGGCAGAGCTCATATTTCATCTAAAAATCTTTTGTGCAAAAAGCTGTATCTACGAAATTATTAATTTCCAAAGGATGGAGGGACTGGAACCTGTGACTGAGGTAGTCTAGGACTCTGAAATGGGCTAAGCCGAATCATGAGACTTGGGTTCCCCAACTCCAAACTATGCACACCACAGCCACCCCACTCATACTGAGGAAGATCCCCCAAACTCTGCCTCTTCTCATTTCACGCTTTTCCAGAAGTTCATCCTTCTCAGAACCACTTCTTCTCTGACGGGTATCACCAAAGGTGAGGGGCAGACCAATGAGGAGGAGGGCTTGCTGCCATCCTGCAGAGCCTCCCAGTGGCCCTATCTTTGGCAGTGTTCTAACTTTTACAGATGCCTGTCCCCATTTGACAACTTTCTAACTTAGATTTCCTTGTCTCCTAGGACATCGCTAGCCTACACGCCAAGGGCTGGCGTTCAGACAAGGTGGGTCATATCTGTAGCCAAAAAAATCCAGCCATTTAATATAAGGAAGTGTGGATATGGGATCTTTCCCCTCTTCTTATTACACATTAAAAGCCAAACCAACTCCCTGCAAAAAGCTCAAACTGCGTAACGTTTTCCAAGAAGGTTATGGTGGGTTTATGTCAATGAAGGTGAATGGATCAAATACAGTCTTCAGTAAGATCTCTACCAACAAATAAGGCTTAAGCATATTAAAAGAGAGTCCATTTTGGGAATTCAAAACACTTGGATTGCTAAGGTGAGGGTTAACCGCTAAATTCCACCAGATAAGGTGGTTTTTCCTTTTTCTTTTTAGATTACAGACTCTGACTAATTCTTGATATTTTTAGTTCTTTGCAGAGGAATTTTAATTTGGAATAAATTTTTACTCCTTGACAATTAAGCCAAACTTCAGAAGCAACTCTGTTTTATGACATTTCAGCCTCCCCCAGTTTACCTATCTGTAAAATTCCTCCTTTTGTACCAATCCAACAGAGCATAAATTAAAGCACATTGCAAATGGTATTCTAAAGGAAACAGACAATCCCTGAATTGGTGTATTGCTGTGCATTTCTTCTTGTCATTTTGAAAATTACAATCATCTTACAATTTTAAAAAACAGCTTTCTAGATTCTTCGCAAATACAATAATATGACTGCTCCACAGTTCACTTAAATCACTCGGGTTTCACTTCATCTTCTCCACATTTGCACAGGAAGAAGTGTTCGCTATTGTCTCCTCCCCCTCTCTGGGAGTCAGACCAGCTGGGACGTTTTAAGTCTCTTTCATTAAAAAAAAAAAAAAAAAAAAAAAAAAAAAAAAAAAAGGTTAAGGTCAAAATAAGTATGATAAACATGGTAGTTTCCATTCTCAATATTCAAGGACGAAAGACTAAACAACAACAAAAAAATGTAACATTAAAATTCACTGAAGTATGATGAAGATTGTTTTTTTCTTCCCTTGCAACATAATCATGGAGGAAAAAAGGGTTTTGGAAAACAGCAGGTTTTACCTTTAGTAAATCTAGTCTTTCAAATGAGTCCAGTAGTTAATTTTACAGCTGCACATTCCTTAAATTTATATGTTTCCAATTATCTGAATGACTGACACTTTCAAGTTTTATGGTTGATTTTGAAGAGCAGGGCACTTAAACTTACATGAAGTAGATTTTTACACACATGAGTAATTAAATTGTGCTTAACGAGCTCTTCTTTGTACTTGTGAAGTTTTAGCATTTTGGTTGAAGTTTCCTTAAAAGTTAGTAAATTCCAACACTGGACTTTTCATAATACACACTTTGCTATTGGGCTTAACCTTTTTTACTTACAGAGTGTCAGCACCCCTCCGTGACATAAACCCCCTACCAAACAGTAGCCAGTGTCAAGGTTATCACATGAAAACAGACCGTAGGTTTCAGTCTCGTACTTTTCTAATGGCTGAAAAAGGCAAATTCACAGCACGGACAGAGTAACACATTGACATCAAAGAACCTGTAATATCACAGGTAAATTAATGTGCTTCCCACTGCCTATAGTCAAGGAGCAAACTGGATTCTTCAGAAACACATTCTGAAGCCATTTTATCTTCCCATCCCCTTCTTCCTTAAATGTAATCGTCTACTGTCTGTAATGTAAGCAAATACTTTAGTGAGGTTGTGAAAAATTGATTAGGAGCACCTTGAAGACCCTACCTCCGTGATATTTTTTTTTGTAATAGTTACATGGGTCAGCTCTTTGATATTTGCTGCATATAGAGGCAGAAGTATTCCTTCACTTTAGTTCAGAAACACTTGAAATAGACTAAGTAGTAAAAATTAGTTACATATTCCAGTTGCTGTTTAATGCATTATTAAAGAATTTTCACATATACATTGGTGAGAAAGATGGCTGAACTATAATGTACAATTAATATGTTGCTTTGCCAAGAGATGACTGGATCACAACAGTAGAGAAAGTCAGAAGATCACCCTGAGGACATCCCAACTAAATGCTCACTTATCACTGAATCTGGCTTTCCACGGGGTGTCTCTGCTAGTCTGCATGGAGGTGGTTCAGTGCACGTGAACACGCCATGTACAAATAACGCTCAGATAAAATAATCCAGAAATAATATACTTTTTGACACATATAATAAGCATATGGAGTCAGTTAACCAAGAAATGAAATACGGCAAATGTTAGTGGGTCAGGGGTGCCTTGATTTGTTTCTAGAATAGGAGAGCCTAAAGGGCATGACATAAACCTGTGGAAAAAGAAAATGGTAAGATGCAAATCTCCCTCTGAAAAGAGTAGGTGGGCCCAGGGTAGATTGGGATGTGCCAAATGAAGACACAGAGATGTCCTCTTAAGCATCACCACTTGTTCATTCTGTGATGCAGAGCCTGTGTCAACATTAAGACAGATGCTTTGAGGATCAAATAATACAATGCATTGACACTGATAATACAAACGAAAGGAGAGTGGCTGCCGTTATGATGTTTAGTCTTATTCCTTGCTATTCCTACCATCATCATTGTTATTACTACTGGAGCTCAGGTCCCAGCAAACTTTCTATAAAAGGCCAGAGAGTAAACATTTTAAGCTTTACATGTACAGTTGTTTCATTTATGCAAATAAAAATACAGGAGTTCAGTTACATTTCAATTTCAGATAAACAGTAAATATTTTCTTTTAATACAAGTGTGTCCTGCTCAATATTTGAGATGTGCTTATACTAAAAATGTATTCGCTGTTTATCTGGTTTTTTTTTTTCTTAGTTTTATCTCAGGCTTTCCATGTGTTATCTGGCAACCCTATTTATAGGCCATGGGTTTTCTGTTGCAGCTACTTGACTCCGCTGTTGTAGCGTGAAAGCAGCCATGACAGCACATAAACAAATGCATGTGGCTGTGTCCTAATGAAACTTTATTTACAAAAACAGATGACAGATGAGGTGATATGGTTTGGCAATGTGTCCCCACCCAAATCTCATCTATATAATTGTAATCCCCAGGGAGGGACCTGGTGAGGGGTGATTGGATCATGAGGGACACATGGTAGTGAGTGAGTTTTCACAAATCTGGTGGTTTTGTGGCGGGCGCCTGTAGTCCCAGCTACTCGGGAGGCTGAGGCAGGAGAATGGCATGAACCCGAGAGTTGGAGCTTGCAGTGAGCCGAGATAGCACCACTGCACTCTGGCCTGGGCGAAGGAGCGAGACTCCGTCTCAAAAAAAAAAAAAAAAAAAGTATGTGGCTTTCTTTTCTCTCTCTCTCTGCCCCCCTCCCTCCCTCCCTTCCTCTCTCTCTCCCCCTCCCTCCCTCCCTTCCTCTCTCTCTCTCTCCTGCCACCATGTAGGATGTGCCTTGCTTTCCCTTCACCTTCTGCCATAATTTTAAGTTTCCTGAGGGCTTCCCAGCCATGTGGAACTGTGAGTCAATTAAACCTCTTTCCTTATAAATTACCCAGTCTCAGGTAGTTCTTTATAGCAGTGTGAAAACAGACTAATACACGAAGATAGGAGTTGGCCCATGGGCCATACTTTCCTGACTCATGTCAAAGGTCAAAATAAAGCCTACACTGAGTTAAATAATCGGATTTAATGTAAGGATGGACTATTCTAAACATTTGAAGGGAGCATTTTCTTTCATTTGGACAAATAGGGTAAATTTTCACCACTGCCTGGCCACAATTCCTGGGTCTTCCTGTCTGCTACCTTGCCTAGGAAAATGTTTCTGACACTGCAATGCACCTGATATTGAAGCCACTGAAAATCAATATTTGACACATGTGTGTTCCAATATCATACCACAACAGACACACAAATGAATGAGACTTTGTGCCTGCCTTCAAGGATCTCCCACCCAGGTCAGGAGGGTCCTTATTTTTATTTTTTTTAAAAAGTAATATTAAAGGTAATACATATTGTAAGCTAGTTAGTTGGGTCAAGCAAACCCTTGGCCAAAGCTGGTAGAAGAAACGAAGGGACCCAGACCTTGGCTGAATTGCAACTTGAAGGCAGTGTGGCTCAGTCTTACTGACAGACCCATGCACTCAGATGGGTAACCTGTATCACAAATACGGCAAAAAAGCAGAGTCAAACTGGGGATATTTATTCAAGGAAGAAAAGCCTACAAAAGAGAGACGCAAGGAAGAATGGCTGAATATTTGATTGTGTGGAGGAGAGACCTAACTTACTCCATATAGTTTGCAAGGACCTGAATTATTTCACATAGCTCAAGATGACAGAACCACTGTCCAGTTCAGTTCAACTTAACAACTGTCTACAGAACACATACTAAGTAGGTAGGTGAAAGCCTGGCCCCACATGTACATTACAATCTAGTTGGAATGATAGAGGTTAAATACATAATTAAACAGAGAATCAAGAAAGAGATTCCTAAGAAAATGGCATTATTGGGGACTTGAGGAATGACTTGGATTTGGTCTAGAAGAAAAGGGTGAGAGGCAGCCTGTAGGCAGATAGGAAAGCACTGGCAAATGCTCAAAGCATAGAGCTTGGCATGTGGCAGGAACAATGACAAGTTCAATGTGGTTACACAGTTGGACCAGAGGAAGAATTAATTGTCTCCCAGCGATGGTGATGAGACATGAAAGCGTTTAAACTAATTATTAAATAGTATTGATTTTAGAGAGGTGGAATGTGGCTTAACTTATGGAACAGATGTCTAGTATTGCTAGAATGCTGCCCATTCACAGAATTTTCCAACAAGGAAGCAAATGGCCATCTTGAGTGAGACTATGAAGAAAATTCCTGCTCTAGAGAGGAGGTTGCATTGGTGAGATAGATGCATCGGGTGTGTCTTGCATTAAACAAATCCAGATTCAGAGAGGGACTCTGACTCCTGCCAACTGGTGACCCTGAGCTTCAGTTCTGCCATCTTTAAAGGGGGATAGTTACTGATTTTGCAGGGTTGTTGTGAAATTTAGAAATGAGTACCAAGTATAACTGTCCAGCACATAGAAGTTATTCAGTAAATAGTATAGACACAGACTTTCTGACTTTAAATTGTGGACATTTTCAAATATACAGAAAAGGAGAAGCATATAATGAATGCCCACAAGCCCATTACGAAAATTTAATAAATGTGTCATATTTTCTCACCTTTTATTTCTGAAGTATTTTTAAAGTTGGACATCAAGACATTCCACCCCTAAATATGTCAGTCTGTTTCTAAAAATTATGGATTTTCCCTATATAATAGTACCTAATAAAATAAAGCACAATATTACAGATATTTTATGCCTCTTTTTAAAATAAATGTTGGCTTCTCACGACGTATTTTTATGAATATTATTTTAGTGCATTCACTAACTCTCATGCAGACCTACCCTTTTCAATGTTTTAAAGTCCCCCAAACAAGTTCCCAAATATTAACATTCTCAGAAATACTTCCACTGTTTGCGTTTCTGTATTTAGTTCAGAATAAGGTTTTGCAATTTTTCTTTTTATGGATACAGCCTGGGGTGCACTGTTCAGCTACAAGAGTTCTGCAGTGCTCTCCAAATTTTAAAAAAGTGTTTATCTCTCTGAAGATGGACAATTTTAACTTAAATTATTTCTCTGCAACAGCCATAACAGATGAAAAGCACATTTGCAATTACTTGCCCCATTTTTAAACCATTTTCTTCTTAGGCAATTTTTGCTTCCAGGTGAGCATAGGCCATTCTCTCCTCCTCTTAGAACTGGCTTCTGTCACACCTGCTGCAACACTTGCATCGCATTTACTTACTAACGGGATCTTTTACCTTGGACTGTGCACACAGGGCCTGTGTCAATCCCAGTCCCCAGTCCCCAGCCCAGATCCTGGCAATTGCTAAGCCCTCAGTTAGGTGTTGGCTGAATGACTACACAAATGAAGGAGATACTTATGGCTTTGGCTGTGCTCTTATTTTGCTCATCAAATCTTCCTTTTCCAGACAGAGAAAAAGCAAAATTCTGCTTAGGTCGTAGGATCTTAAAGTCTGAATTAACAACTTCTAAACAAATAGGGTTTTCTGATAGTTTTCTATGCATCCTTAAGACATTTGACAATTGTTGAATGAATCCCCACTTGTATTTACTCTTATACCTCCCAAGAATTCATGAGACCAACTGACACTCAAGGAAATCTAGAGGCTAAATATAGAGACATGGGGCCTCCTTTCACCTGTTTCTTAAATGAGAACGTTCACCTCCATTGCATGTAGCCTAATGTGACTACGGGCAAACAACAGAATATGCAGTGGTGAGGCTCATTTTTGGTGGGGATTTTCTTCTTTTTTTGGCAATACATAGGGTGAGATTTCAGCTGCCAAATTATACAGCTCTTCAACTCTGTGCCAAACTTTATCAATTTCAAGAGTCACCTATTAGAACAATTTCTAAGAGATTAGTTTTAATCCAACAGGAGATCGCTTCTTGTCTTCCAATGTCAGAAAAATAGGTCAAAACTGAGTCTCCTACAAGTCCACATGATCTATTTCTTTCTTTTCATTTATTTATTTTTTGACTGAATAAAACTGGCATTCCTAAGATAGAGAATTCAGACCAGGGCCCATATGTGACTGTAATATCCTCATAAATCAAATTATGCAAAATACATGCAATTATCTACATTACCTACTTGAATAAAAGGAGACTTTTTTCTCTCCAAGACCCAAGAATGATCTGAAGTCTACTTTTCTTGGCAGATTAAATTGCCCATCCATCTCCAGCCATTGGTGCTCGTTCAAACAAGTAATGGCTCTGCAAAGGCTGATCCTAAAGGGTCCCCAAATTCATACTTAATCTAGAGATAAGTGCAGCAATCAATCTTTCCCAGGGTCTAAGAGAGCTATTGTATTCCACCCAATGACGTAGCATGTGCAACTATTGTTATGGCTTTCTGCCCTAATGACTCAAAATGAACATTTTTAGACAATCCAAACTGGCAGAGGTATCCTCAACAGAGGGAACATGCTTCAGAGAGTTGAGTGGGTCGTTACTTGAGGCTTTTTTCCCTGAGGTTGAGGGAGCAGCTGTTACTGGGGCTATTACATCATGCAGATACGATATTAATACGAAACACTGCAAAGTTTATCTTTAAAGATGGACCGCAGACCAGACTAAAAACCTGAGGAAATCTTGTCCACGTCTGTAACGTCTCTATTCCCTGCCTGCTCAGGTGAGTTTGGCTTTCCTGCATTTTGCTGAATAAAATGATTACGTGATCTCACTGTCTGTTTTATTCTTCTTCAGTCTCAAAAGAAAAAAAGAAATCCTAATAGAATGAGAGTGAGAGGGCAGTAGAGTAGGGTGCAGTCTTTTAAAGAGAAGTCTTTTAAACATGGCTCAAGGATACTGTACTCCAAATTGGGGGAAGAATCTGCTGAGGCTCAGAACCCCTGTAGGGTATGCCTGGGCCAAGTCCCAGGACACTAAGAGAACTGTGTGAAGCTACCAAGGCTGCCAGGAGGAGCAGCTGAATTCAAAGCCCAGGCCACACACAGAAGCACTAAATGCCAGCAGATCGCCAAAACCTGCTGTGGCCAAGGGCTGGCAACAGAAGGAAAGCTGCCCATTTGGAGAGGGGGCATCTGCCCCCATTTAAAGGCTAGAACACAACTCTTGGTTCTCTCCACAAGAAAAAAAAAAAAAAAAAGGATCAAGGACCCAAACAAAATAATAGGGGAATAGACGTATCAGTTTGTAGGTGATTTATTATTTTTATTTTATTTATTTATTTTTTAGATGGAGTCTCGCTCTGTCGCCCAGGCTGGAGTACAATGGCGCAATCTCAGCTCACTGCAACCTCCGCCTCCCAGAGAGTGATTCTAATTGAATCCAACAACAGTATGCAAGCTTTCCTGCCCAGCCTTGGAAATGACCCAAGGAGACTGGGCAGGTTTGGCATTTCAGGTAGATGTAGAAGAAACCAGACCGGAGCTCACCCCTAAAATAATGATGGGGGAAGAGGGTGAGTGGAGCTTGTGGGATAGACTGAAGACCCAAAAAGGAGGGTATCTAGTAGGGGGCACTCACCCTCTGGCCCCACCTCTTATGTCTGGCACAGGTTGGGAAGGGCTGGCAATCTTGAAGACACCAGGAACACTGAGATGCAGTTATGGACACAGCTCTAGGACTATAACCCAGAATTCACCTTCTCTGAAAGCCCAAATGTCTGAGAAAAAAGAGCTGCCAAAAGTCACATTGCATTCCTCCTTCACCTTCACACCTCCACTTCCTGGAACAGGAATCCTGAGGGTGATTACTTGCCTGATTTCCCATGCTACCTAGTTTATCTTCCCTCTTATCATGTTCTTCCTGCCACCTGTGTTTCCCAGGTCATATCAACTTGGGGGTTAGAGAAGCCTAATTCATTCAACTAACAAATATTTATTGAGTGCTTACTGTGTGCCAGGTCCTGTAACGGGCATCAGTGATAAAATGGTGAACAAAACTAGGCAAAGGTCTTGCTGCATTCATGGATTTATGACTTAAATGGCAGGGAGGTGCTGATACCAGTTGGAGAGGTGCTAATTCACTAGTCATGCAGATAAAATGTAACTTTAGTGTTCCAGTGGCATAATTAGTTAGCATGCAGTGCTTATAAAATGTAAATTGCTCAGCGGGCTTAGGTTTTTGCCAAGGGTGCCAGCTTCCAAGTCACTACTACTTTTTTCCATTGCTAACATATCTGCCAGCTCCAAAGTGGCATGTTTCAGATGTTCTCAAAGACCCCAGAGGCTTCGGCAAGGCCACCTATTCAGTTTCCACTGGCCGTCTTAACTGTGGGCCCTTTGCTTTCAGGCCAAGTATGAGGGAAGTAAAACAGAAACCCCTCTGTGGACAGACGCCCAGCTCCACTCGGAGTTACTCCTTCTCTCTCAACCCAGTTTCCCTAAGGTGCTTTAATTCCCAGGAGGCAAGGTGGTCCTTCATGCGTA